>NC_000002.12:76042625-76667625 GCF_000001405.40 Homo sapiens | reverse complement strand
TAAAAGTAAATGTCAAGGCATTTTGTTTATGGGAGAGTAGTTAGTATAATATAAAACATATCACCTTGGTATTTGTTATACAAAACCTCAACATTCCCTGAGATTTTGTGGCACAAAACCAATTGATGACCAATAATTCCTGTATTCTGCAGTTTACTCGGTATTACACATAAAGTCTTTATTTTGATAAAGTACATACCATAGTATAAAACATTCCAAGCAAACCCATGTATATATATGGCATATTTTGGCTTAGATTTTTTTAAAAGCCATTCAATTTTGAATTAATGAATGTGCTTGCCAAGGTTTTATATATCTATTCTACAAAAAGTATTGTCTATGGCCTGGTACCGGTTTCTGATTCAACCAATTCTTTATTACAGTTCATCTAGACTTTGTCCATTGTTTTTCTATTATAAGTAACTCTGTTATTAAGTCTTTGTGCATTAATGTTTGGGTAGCTCTAAATTTCTACAGATAAATGTTGGTGAGTCAGCCAGTGAATCCAGTGAGCTCCTTCTCCTTCTTACCCAGTTCCATCCTAGAGAACTAAGAGAAAAAGATTATTTTGCCAAAAATATAGAGAGTTCTTGTCTGTAACTTCCCTTACCTGCGTGCTTGGTCATCAGTTGAAGAAGCAATATATAATTCTCTGTATTAGAGATGTATACAATTTCACAAAACTGATTTTGGCCCTTAGTTTCACAAAAGGTATGACAATGTTAGGTCCATGGTCACGTGGCTTAATGGTAATCTTTTCCTATAATTTATTTATTATCCACTATTGTTACCACTCAGGTTCTTAACAAATAGGAATTTCAAATTCTGCCACTGCCCGTCATGGGCTATATAAGGTCTCTATTTTTTTCATAATTAGATATCCTAAAGTGACTAGTGTACCTCTATCTTTTACCCACCAGCTATTTTGGAGACCCCAACATAAGCTGGGCCCTGCGATTACATCAAGAAATGTCTTGGATGCCATTTCTGATGTCAGGGAACTCACTACCAGGCAAGGGAAAAAAACTGTTAACAATCAGTCACACGTACTATTATACAAATGCTAACAGAGGAAAAGGGAACAATTAAGTGAAGTTTTGTTTAAGCCATGAGATGGAATAATACGTAGTTATTTAACACAATGACATAAACCTATTTTTTAAAATTAAAATATTTACAGAAAATATTGTTTGGAAAAAACATGTTATCAGAACAGTACACATAAAAAGTACAATTATATCCTAGCAATTTTATGTGTATCAATGCAGAGAATCTAATTTGGAGGAAAATTCATCAAAATGCTAACTCTGTAATAATCTGTGTGGAAGAGTTTGGGAATCATTTTTCTTTTATTCTCTGCATTTTTCTGAATAGTTTTAATATCTTACAATGAGACATGTGAGTTCTACAAAAAGAATAACGGTTAAATTTGAATGGTATATGTTTTGTTCTAATTCTTTATTTGTTGTGTTTTTGATGATGGAACATTTTAACTTATCAATATTTTTATTTATAATTTCTTCCTTTGGTGTCATTTATAGAAAACCTTCTCCAGATCAAAATTTTATATTAATATTTACATTATAGTTATATTTTTGTTTCATGCTTTACTATTATTTAATGATTTTAGAATTTATTTTGATGTATCAAGCAAGATAAGCATCTTCTTCCCCATCTCTAAAGAGTCGATCAATTATTCTTGTTTTCTACCTTTTATAGAGTAACTTGTGTATTTACTACTAACTTAAAATGGCATCTTATTCATAAACTAAGTACACTCTGGTATATTTTTAGGCTTTGTGTTCACTTTACTTGTCTAATCAGTGGCCAATATCATATTATTTAAGTTATGTTGACTATATAAGTAATTTTTATATTATTTAATATTAGTTTCTATACATTCTTTATATTTCTCTTCCATTTATTCAAATAATTTTTGCTAGAAAAAAATTTGGTAAAAATTATTTGAGTGAAAATTATTATACATTTTATATTGCAGTTGAAGGAATTTTAGAATAATTTTATAAAACTTTATCAACAAATGCATAATTAAGATTTTGACTTGAGTTGAATTAAACCTCAACTGATTTTGGAATTATTTCGTGTTTGTACTATTCAGTATTTCTATTCAACAGTATGATTAACCAGTATCTTTCAATTTATTGGAATCAATAAAGTATTATTTCTATTTAGTTGCACATATTTATTATTGCGATATTCCTATATATTTTATATTTCTTGTTATTGTGCCTGGGATATTTTTCTATCCATTATCTATTCTGTAAACATTTGTTGTTTTTGTGTGCACAGTCTTAAAATTATCCATCAGGATTGGATAAAAATTACATGCTAGGTAATTATTGAAATGGGTGGACTTTTCATATTGTTCTACTCTGGAAAAGTGCATACAGGAAAATCCTTTCTCCTCCTTGTCTTTCTTTTATCTTTCTCCAATATGAACATTTCTTCCCTTAAAAGTTTGTGTCTAGCTACCTTCTGTTCTTTTCCTCTTGCTTTATATGTGTGTTTTCACATTTGATCTATTGTTCTTTCATCCCTAGAGCCCTTTCATATCTTCACAAAGAGTGAGAGGGGGAAAAATCTATATCTCTTTTGAGCACCAGTTTTAAAAATTAAATAAACTGTTATTAACAAAACCTCACAGCATGGGACTGGATAGGGTAGATGAGTACAAATTAGTTCAAGGCCTTATAACAAGTCTCCACAATGTTTAAAAAATTAAGATGCATAAATGAGGCTTAAGTTTTATTGTTTTCATAAAAGCCTCATCTACTACTGAGATGTGGTAGTGTAGTCAAATAACTCACATGAAATAGGCTTTTATACCATGCCAAAGGACAGCTGTTTGCTTGTTCCTTAAGTACGTGGTGTGTGTAATGACAGCTTCTCTAAAATGCAGTTCAACCTTCTAGCAATTTCAAAACTGATATGCTGTAATTGAGAATCAAGTGATTTAGTCTTGTTTTGTGTTACTGCTTTTACTAGATACATATTTTTGAGATTTTACTATGTGCCAAGAACTGTTCTTATAACTAAGGATGTGGTGGTGACCATGCCAGAATCTTGACTTAATAGAGCTTATACTGATAGGATGGACCATAAGTATACAAATACATGAATATTTTTAGATAATAGTATGTGTCTCTAAAATTTGTAAAAAGGCAGTGAGTTAGAAAATGTAAGTTGTTGTTACTTTACGCTAAGATTCTTATATGAGGCCTCTTTGAAAAGGTAGCCTTTAGGATAAATGTTGCAAAGAAGACAGTCATGGAAAGAGTGTTTCAGAGAGTGGACAGAGTAAATGCAAAGAAGCTAGACCAAGTCTAAGCTTGGCCAGTTCCGGGGATTGGGGAAGAGACTTGTCTTTCTTGAACATAGTGAACAGGGAGGAAATGACAGGAGATGAGCCCAGAAAGCTAGGCAGGGCCTTATTCGTCATGCAGCATAACACTGAGCTTGAATGTTGGTCTCCCTCACAAATACCACACCCTATCAATCATTGTATCCTATTGTCTACCTCAGCACCAGATAAGTGCTCAATAAATAGGACTTGGAAGTAATTAGAGTCTCTATAAAGGAGAGCACATCTTTAATTATAGCTATTATCTTAAAACATAAATATACAAAAACTAAAACTGAAAGTTCCTCGTATTATGTTCTTCTGTGGAGCAAAACATATGACTCAGAAGTTGACTTTTTCCTTCCTCATAAATTCTAGAAAATGAAATATAATTAACTTTCAATAAGAGTTTTCCATTTGGTTAGAAGAAAACATTCACAAACAAAATTAAATTTCCCTTGAAAACTAATTGTTTCATAAAAGCAAGCCCAAACATTATGGAGTGTTCCTATTTCCAAGAATAATGAGTCACTTTTTTTTATTCTGTTAAAAGGTATTGAATAACTGTAGCGCTTTGAAATTTCAAGGACATCATTTGCATTCAGTTTACAGCTTTCATCTTTTTTACCCTATACCCATGTGGGTGGAATATTTTTTTCTTAAATTCTCTTACTATGAGTCTTTTAATGTTTTGGATGATTTATCTCTTTTGTTTATCCTTACTAAGGGTCTGTATTACTGTCACAACTACTATCACCATCCTTATCACTCCCATCCATATTACTTGTTTCTATGATGGGCTGGTAATCAGCTATTACACACTAGCTCTCCCAATTGTTATACCACTGAAGGACTCCTATGTGGTTTGGTAAAACCTGGCTTCCTTGTAGTTCCTCACATGGCCCCAAATGCAGCAGTATTCACCCTCATAAGAGCCAATGCCAAGCCCGCAAGGCCCTACTTGAGCATTAAGACTTGAATCTGCTCTGATTGGTGACTATGATGTGCTGGTTGCAAAATATTTTAAATATTTCTTCAGCTTCAATGACTCAAGCACTCATATTCTTAGTGTGCTAAGCACTTTAACCAGATGTCATATTAAAAGAAAAAAAGAATACAATATCCCTGAATAATTGATGCTATCTCCCTTATAAACAATGGGAAAACTGAAGTTCAAAGGGTATGAAGTGACTTGCCCAAGATCACACTGCCAGGAACTGGCTTGGCTGGAATTAATCCAGAACTGTCTGACTCTAACATCTACGGTGTTAATTAGGGTTTCATGTTTCATGAATTGGAAATCATGAGGTTACTTTTGATGAATGTATCCATCCTTTTAAAAATCTTCTAAAATAAGGTAAAAGGAAAGCCAAATTATAATATTTTTACCAGTCGGAAATCATTAGGTTAGGGAGGGACTCTCCGGGGAAGGCTGATATTTACAGAGTCGAATATTTCAAGTTTCTGGGGTGGCAGCAGGCGCTCTCATGATTATCCCACTGGGACAACTGGCAAAATATTTGCTTCCCATTCTGACCTCTGTTTAGAGATTTTAAAACTTAAGGGAGAAATATTTCTGCTAGGGACACAACAATATTTACTCTGAATTGGAAGCTGAATAAGACTGCCACCAGGCCATTTTCTGATGCTTATGAAGTCTCTAGATAAATAGGCTCAGAAAAAATGTTATGGTGTCATCTAGGTAATAGCTCTTGAATGTTGAGAATTAATTACAGAATGTTGTGCTGCTACATTGTGGAGTCAAGGGGGGACACAGATGGCACCCGCGGGATTCCCTAAGGTGCCTGCCATTACTACCAGGTTCACAAGTAATAAGAAATATAAGACTGCAGCAACCCTACATAGACAGAACCACTAAAAGTTTAGATCTGTTAGGAATGAAGATTTGGGCCACTGCCCTATGGACAGATCATTGACTAGCTGCAGTTCTGGGTGAAGAGAAAAGGAACTTTTAGTTGGTACTAGAGAAGGGGAATCTAAATCCATCTCTGGCTACTAGTTACACAATTATAAACTATAATATATACAATTGTTTTCTTTCCTCCCATGTGTGCATGTGTGTGTTGGGAGAGACAGAGAATACTTTTTAATTTTTTTTTCTAATTTTACTCATTGAATATAATGGATACTTTTATGATTTTGTAAGGGAGAAGTAAATAAATATGTCTGGGCACAGTGGTTTATGCCTGGAATCCCAGCATTTTGGGAGACCAAGGTGGGCAGAACGCTGGAGTTCTAGACCAGCCTGAGTTCAAGATGACAAGACTCTGTTTCTTAAAAAAAAAAAAAAAAAAAAAAAATGGTAGTGGTGCATGCCTGTAGTCCTCGCTATTTGGAAGGTTGAGGTGGGAGGGTTGCTTGAGCCCAGGAGGTCGAAGGTGTAGTGAGCTGTGATTGTACCACTGCACTCCAGCCTGGGTGTCAGAGTGAGACCCTATCTCAAAAAAACGGAAACATAAAAATTTGTAAGTCATGGTGAAACTGTACAGGGCATGACTTTGCATGTCTTCTTTTGGTGACAAGGTGAGATGTTTTGCTTGCAATTTAGGATAGCTGCACTATGATAGACAAGAGCATTATTTTGAAGTATGAGAAACATATAAATGATGACAAACCGCTGAAGTTGTAGATTGTATTTTTAATCATTTATGCTCATCCATCATTTGAATACCCTTCTCATTTGGGGAATGTTTTCTATTTTTAAGTCTTCATAGAAACCAGGACCTGCTCCTTACTATAGAAACTGAGAAGCCAGCCTCTCTTGCAGTAAAGGAGCAGGCAAAAGATATAATCCTTAAAACTCAGATACCCTGATTTTAAAGTGGGAGTTAGTAATACATAAAGGCCGAAACACTGTAGGCTCAATTTTGGCAATGGTAGTGGTGGCAGGAAAATCAATTTTCTGGATACAATAGTGCACACAGTGGTATCCTGAGTCCCGTACATCAGCATCGATGGGGTGAGCTAGAACATTTAGCGCCCATTGACAGCATCAGTAGAGAGATCTCATAGTTCACAGCTGTGCTTGATACCACCTGTTGTCCAAGTCTGATATCAAGGACCCCTGGTGATTCTGTCAACATTTTAACAAATTAATATGCTTTTAATAAATTTCAGCTTTTAAAAGTCATTTTCATCAATGATATAATGTTTGTTCCTATTCTGTTTGTATGGTCATTTTAGCGCAGATGTGGCAAAATAATGTCATATTAAACACACAGATTTGGATTTTCATAATGGACAGGGAGCTTCTGTTATTTTCTCACATTGAGTTTTTAATTGGAACTCCAAATGCGTCATTAATAAATGCTCAAGAGAAATATGACAGCCTCCAGCTAAAGTTTAAAAGTCAATTTTGATAAAATGAAACCAGTTCAGACTGTTGCTTTTTTAATTTTTTTCCAAGTGAGCATGACTGATTAAGGCTATTTTTCCCTTAATTTAAATTCTCTAGTTTGGTCTCAAATAATATTCTGGTAAAAACCATTTTTTACATGATATAGTTGAGGCCTCCAGTTATAATGAAGCTGATTTTCAGTGTGTGCAGTGGAAGTTTCCAGTTAATAAGGTTAAAGAATCTGAGCATTCACCTCTTTCTCTTAACTATATCTCACAATGATTCTTAAAGGTTAACTCATCACTGCTTCAGATATCCATGTTTCAGATCTATTGTGCTTTCATTATTGAAGTAGATTTTAGTATATCTACACTCATTATGGGTTCCAAAATACTATGTCTTCTTCAACTCTTTCTCTAACATCGAGGGTGTTATAATTGTTCATTAAACAGTCACTTCTGAAACAACTGTGTTTTATGAGGCAGCCCATTATTCTTCTGCATGAGGCTCTGAAATATTTTATGCTATTTTTATTGACCTTGCTTCTTCTGTTGTATATTTTCAGCAATTTGCACCCACAATTATGACATGGTCATCAAATTCTACATTATTGTTTTGATAGCTGGGATCTCTTTAAAATAAAATATTTTCTTTTCATCACCTGACTTTTTTATTGTTCTAAAAAGAAATGCCTGGACATCGATTTCTGGTTCAGGATATGAGGAGCTTGGAAGTCACCACTCAGTTATAACCAGTAAAGAGATGAGCAAACTGAAAAATTAACAAATCTTAGACCCATAAGGAGAGTCAGGACACAGGGCAAAGCACTGCTTCCAAAATTAGAGAGACAGACAGGTAGGTGCAGAGAATCACAACTTACTAGAGCAGAAAGCCATAAGTAGAAACCTCTGTAATGAGTGCCAGGGTAGTAAAACCTAAAGTTTACTTCACAAATTATTGAAGGCTCAGTGTACACAAGTATGACAGTCAAAAACTCAGGGGGACCCAGCTATCCAGGGAGCAATTCCCACAGTTTTGTGAGTTTTTCCTCCAGGAGTTTGACAAGTTCTCACAGCAAATATTGGAGAAAAAAATCTCTGATTCTTTCAGGAGGCAGAGAGAAAAAAGAGGCATTTTGAAAGACACTAGATCATTCTGTTCTTAACAAACTCTGCCAAATATACTACTTAATCAGAGCCTAAGATGCTGGAGTTTTATCAGAATGCAACCGACCTGGGGGAAAATAAATATCCTACTCTAACTAGTGCTAAGCTACCATATGAAGGAAGAGAAATACCTAGCACTAGCTCATCCAGCTTACCTAAAGGTTGGTGGAGAGAGGCTGAAAAGCACTTGTGAATTCACAGTCCAGAGACATACGTTCACAAAGAGACTGAGACATAGTATTGGACAATAAAATGTTTCTCCTCCTCCTGCAACTTACTAACACATTACTAAAGATTTATATAGAGCAAGTCTTTTTATTCAGGACACCATATTCATGTATTTAAAAAAATTCAAAGACAAAAGCAATATAGTTTGAAGAAACAACAAGTATCAGAACTGGACTGGAATATTCAGGGATCCAGAGCAGAATTTTAAAACAACTATTAATATGCCAAGGGCTCTGATGGATAAAGTAAACAGCATATAAGGATAAATGGGCAGTATGAGCAGAGAGATGGAAAATCTAAGAATCATAAAGAAATGCTAGAGTTCAAAAACACAAAATGAAGAATGCCTTTGATGAGTTCATTTGTGTATGGGACATGGCTGAGGAAAAAGTATCTTAACTTGAAGATATCTCAGTAGAAACTTCCAAAACTGAAAAGAAAATTGAAAAAAGAGACTAACTAAAAAACAAAAATGGAATATCCCAGAACTGTGTGAAAGAATAGAACAATCAATAACTGGGACAACTACAAAGTGTGTAACGTTAATGTAATGAGAATACCAAAAGAAGGAGAAAAAAAAGAAACAGAAGAAATATTTGAAGCAATAATTAATGTCAGATACCAACCTACAGATCCAGGAATCTCAGGAAACAGAAATGTAAAAACAAACACAAAAAACTAAACCCTAGAAGTAGGCATTATCAATAATCAAGTTGCAGAAAATCAAAGAGAAAAAAAAAATTCTGAAGGAAGCCAGAGAGAAAAAAGATTTTACCTATAGAGGACCAAAGGTAAAAACTATATCCAACTTCTCAGAAACCATCCAATCAAGAAGAAAGCTGACTGAAATACTTAAAGTGTTGAAAGAAAAAGTCCAAGAACCTATCATTTCATAGCCTGAAAAATTATTCTTCAAGAGTGAGAGAGAATTAAAGACTTCCTCAGACAAACAAAAATTGAAAAAAGTTTTGCCAGTAAACCCACCTTGCAAGAAATGTCAAAAGAAATTTTTTAGAGAGAAGAAAAACGAAATAGGCCAGAAATTCAGATGCACTTAAAGAATAGAAGTGCATTATGGAAGGAATAAGTGAGGATAATATTTAAAAATATATATATTTCTTGTTTTTAATTGATCTAACAGCTAACAGATTGTTCAAAAGAATAATAGCAACGATGTATTTCATTATGTGCATATATAAATGTGTATGCTCACTCATGCTTATGTATAAGTTATAGATGCATGTAAAATAAATTGTTTTATCTATGTAAAATAAATGACAGTAATAGTACAAGAGATAGGAAGGAGGAATTAGGATTATTTTGTTATGATAAGATACTTGCCCTACCTGTGAATTGGTATAGTGTTATTGGAAAGTGGACTTAGATTAGTTGTAATACTACAAACTTGAGGGTAACCACTAAAAAAAGTTAAAAAAAAAAGAAGGTATAACTGATATGCTAAGAAAGAAGAGAAAATGCTCAATTAAAACCACAAAAGGCAGAAAGAAGAAGATAGTAGGAACAAAGACGAAGGGCAACAAATATAAAACAGTAACAAATACTGATGATATATATCCATCTATATCAATAATCAGTATAAATGTCAATGGTCTAAATACACCAATTAAAAAACAGAGATTGTAAGAATGAATCAAAAATAAGACCCAGTTATCTGTTAACTATAAGAGACTCACTTAAAAATATAAAGATACATCTAAATTAAAAGGTAAATGGGTGGAGAATGATATGCCATTCTAACAAGAATCCAAACAAAGTGGAAGTAGCTATATTAATTTTAGATAGAACTTCACAGCAAGATAAGTTATTAGGAACAAAAAGGGGCTCTACCTAACAATAAAGGTTTTAATTCTCCAAAAAGACATAACAATTCTCATCATGTCTGTGCCTAAAAACAGAGCATCAAAATACGCAAGGCAAAAATAAACAAATGAAAAAGCATGAGGCAAAAACTGATAGAACTTCAAAGAGAAATGGATGAATTCATGATTATAGTTGGAGGATAAAATACACCTATACTAAAAATGAACAAATCCATCCTGTAGAAAATCAGCAAGGATATAGTTGAACTCAAAACTCTCAATCAACTTGATATAGTTGACATTTACAAACTACTTTATTCAGTAACACTAGAATAAACATTCTTCTCACACTCAAATAAGGCATTCACCTAAATAGACCACATTCTAAGCCATAAACATGTTCTTACAAATTAAAAAAAAAATCATACAATGTCTGCTTTCAGAGCACGATGGAACCAAAATTATACTAGCAGAAAGATGGTTTGAAAATCCCAAAATATCTCGTGATTAAACGATTCACTTCTAAATAACACATGGGTCAAAGAAGAACTTTCAAGAGAATTAAAACAAAATTTTTGAACTAAGTGAAAATGAAAACAAAAGAATGTGTTGAATGCAGCAAAAGCAGTGTTTAGAGAGAAATTCATAATACTGAAAGTTCATATTAGAAAAAATATGTAAAATTAATAATATAAGCTTTTACCTTAAAAATGCTAGAAAAAATAAATACAAAATAAGCAGAATAAATAATAAAAAGAGCAAATATCAATATAAATTATAACAGAAAATCAATATAAATATTAATGAAATGAAAACCTGGATTTTAGTAAAGATAAAAAAAATTGACAAGCCAGGCAAACTAAGAAAAAGAGAGGTTCCTAATAACTCATGTCAGATAATGAAAGAAGAAAATATGATTGCAGATACCCTGGGCACTAAAAGGATAATAAAAACTTCATACCCACAAATTTGATAACCCAGATAAAGCAGATCAATTCCTTTAATGACATAATCTGTCAAAACTCACTTAAGAACAAGCAGACAACCTGAATAGGCTGTACCTAGTAAAAGTTAAATCGATAGATAATAAGCTTTCAAAATAGTAACCTTCTATAAGTTCACTGGTGAATTCTCCCAGACATTTGGGAAATAAGTTATACTAATTCTATAAAATCTCTTTCAGAAGTTAAAAGCAGAGTGGATACTTCCTAACTTATTCTATAAGGCCTCCATTACCCTAGTATCAAAATAAGATAAGGACATAATAAGAAAACCACAAACATTTCTCATGAATATAATGCAAAACCCTAAATGAAATATTAGCATATTGACTCTAATAGTGCATAAAAAGAACATACACCACAACAAAGTGGGATTTAGCTCAAGTATGCAAGTCTGGCTCAACATTCAAAAATCAATTAATGTAATTTATCACATCAACAGGTTAAAGAAGAAAAACACATAATCATAGCAATAGATGCAGAAAAACATTTGACAAAATCCAGTGAATGAACTACAAATAGAGTGGAACTTTTTTTAAACATGATAAAGAATATTTACAAAAAATCTACAGTTAACAGCATACTTAATAGTGAAAAAGAAGATGCTTCCCCATTAAGATCAGGAGCAAGGCAAGTATAGCCCCTCTCGCCACACTTTTTCAACATCATATTGGAAGTCCTAGCTAATGCAGTAAGACATGAAAAGGAAATAAAAGGTATCATATTGGAAAGAAAGTCACAAAACTCTTTTTGTTTGCAGATGTCTTATTGGCTATATTAAAAATTAAAATGTTAACAAAAAACTCCAAAATCTAAGAAATAATTACAGTAAGTTTGCACCACAAAAAATATACAAAAGTCAATCGCTTTTGTATATAGCAGCAATGAATAATGCATTTGAAATTAAAATCACAATGCTTAGATATAAATATATCATGTATGTATAAGATCTATATAAGAAATACTACAGAACTCTGATTTAAAAAATCAAAGATTAAATAAATAAATTGATTCTATATTCATGGATTAAAAGAGTCAATGTTATTAAGATGTCAGTTCTTCCCATCTTGATTTATATATTTAATTTAATCCCAATCAAAGTTTCAACAAGTTATCTGTGGTTAGCAACATACTTATCTAATGTTTATCTAGAAAGGCAAAATACCGAGAATAACTAACACAATATTATATGAGAAGAACAAAGTTGGAGGACTGACAGTATTCAACTTCAAGATTTATGATAACACTACAGTAAACAAGGAAGTATGACACTGGTTAAGTAATGGAGAGACAGATAAATGAAACAGAACAGAAAGTCTAGAAATAAACCACCACCTATTTAGTTAACTGATCTTTGGGAAAGGAAACAAACTTGACATCCTTCACAAAAATTTACTCAAAATGGACTGTAAACCTAAATGTAAAAAACAAAACTTTAAAACTCCTAAAAGTTAACATAGGAGAAAATAAAAATGATCTTGGGTTTGGTAACAACTTTTTACACCAGAAACGCAATCCATGAAAAAAAAAAAAGATGGATGAACTGGCCTTCATTAAAATAAAAAACTGCTCTGCAAAAGACACTGTCAAGAGAATAAAAAGAAGACAAAGACTTGGAGAAAATATTTGCAAGACATATGGGATAAATTCAAAATATACAAAGAATTCTTAAAACTCAACAAGAAAACCAACAATCTGATTTTAAAATTGGCCAAAGATCTTAACACACACTAAATCAAAGAAGATATACAGATGGCCAATAAATATACATAAAGATGTTCCACATTCTTTGACATCAAAGAGACAGTCATTAAAACAGCAGTGAGATACCACTATAAATCTATTAGAATGGCCAAAACCTAGAACTCTGACACGATCAAGTAGTGATGAGAATGTGGAGAAACAGTAATTCTCACTCACTGCAGGTAGTAATGCAAAATAGTACAGCAACTCTAGAAGACAGTTTGGTAGTTTCTTACAAAATTATACATACTCTTACCATAAGACCTAAGAAGTGTATTCTTTGGTATTTATGCAAAGCAGTTGGAAACTTATACCCACACGAAAACTTGCACAAAGATGTATATGGCAGCTTTATTTATAACTGCCAAACCTTGGAAGCAACCAAGATGTCCTTCAGTAGTTGAATGGATAAATAAACTGATATATCCATACAATTGAATATTATTCGGTGCTAAAAACAAATATGCTATAAAGTCATGAAAAGACATGGAAAAAACTTGGATACACATTAGTAAGTGAAAAAAACCAATCCGAAAAGGCTAAGTACTGTATGATTCCAACTATGTTACATTCTGGAAAAGACATAAAAGACCGTAAAATGATCACTGGTTGCTAGGGGCTGAAGAAGAGGCAGGGATAAGTAGATTGAGCAAAGTATATTCTACAAGTGTAGAGCAGTGAAACTATACTGTATGACACCATAATGGTGGATACATGTCATCATACATTTTTTCAAACTCATAGAATGTAGAACAGACACCCTCATGTAAACTATAAAGTTTGAGTGATACTGATATGTCAATTTAGGTTAATAATTGAAGCATGAGGACATTTCAAGCAATATTCTAACAAAATCATTTTCAACGGCTTTCCCTAGAATTAAGTGGCTGGCGTGCATTGTGCTCTGAGAAAATGGTGACCTGGGATAGGAGGAGCAAAGATGGTCGAATAGGAACAGCTCTGGTCTACAGCTCCCAGCGTGAGTGACGCAGAAGATGGGTGATTTCTGCATTTCCATCTGAGGTACCGGGTTCATCTCACTAGGGAGTGCCAGACCATGGGCGCAGGTCAGTGGGTGTGCACACCGTGCGCGAGCCGAAGCAGGGCGAGGCATTGCCTCACTCGGGAAGTGCAAGGGGTCAGGGAGTTCCCTTTCCTAGTCAAAGAAAGGGGTGACAGACGGCACCTGGAAAATCGGGTCACTCCCACCCGAATACTGCGCTTTTCCGAAGGGGTTAAAAAACAGCGCACCAGGAGATTATATCCCGCACATGGCTCGGAGGGTCCTATGCCCACGGAGTCTCCCTGATTGCTAGCACAGCAGTCTGAGATCAAACTGCAAGGCAGCAGCAAGGCTGGGGGAGGGGCGCCCGCCATTGCCCAGGCTTGCTTAGGTAAACAAAGCAGCTGGGAAGCTCCAACTGGGTGGAGCCCACCACAGCTCAAGGAGGCCTGCTTGCATCTGTAGGCTCCACCTCTGGGGGCAGGGCACAGACAAACAAAAAGACAGCAGTAACCTCTGCAGTCTTAAATGTCCCTGTCTGACAGCTTTGAAGAAAGCAGTGGTTCTTCCAGCACGCAGCTGGAGATCTGAGAATGGGCAGACTGCCTCCTCAAGTGGGTCCCTGACCCCTGACCCCTGAGCAGCCTAACTGGGAGGCACCCCCAAGCAGGGGCAGACTGACACCTCACAGGGCCGGGTACTCCAACAGACCTGCAGCTGAGGATCCTGTCTGTTAGAAGGAAAACTAACAAACAGAAAGGACATCCACACCAAAAACCCATCTGTACATCACCATCATCAAAGACCAAAAGTAGATAAAACCACAAAGATGGGGAAAAAACAGAGCAGAAAAACTGCAAACTCTAAAAAGCAGAGTGCCACTTCTCCTCCAAAGGAACGCAGTTCCTCACCAGCAACGGAACAAAGCTGGACAGAGAATGACTTTGAGGAGCTGAGAGAAGAAGGCTTCAGATGATCAAATTACTCTGAGCTACGGGAGGACATTCAAACCAAAGGCAAAGAAGTTGAAAACTTTGAAAAAAATTTAGAAGAATGTATAATTAGAATAACCAATACAGAGAAGTGCCTAAAGGAGCTGAAGGACCTGAAAACCAAGGCTGGAGAACTACGTGAAGAATGCAGAAGCCTCAGGAGCCGATGCGATCAACTGGAAGAAAGGGTATCAGCAATGGAAGATGAAATGAATGAAATGAAGCAAGAAGGGAAGTTTAGAGAAAAAAGAATAAAAAGAAACAAGCAAAGCCTCCAAGAAATATGGGACTATGTGAAAAGACCGAATCTATGTCTGACTGGTGTACCTGAAAGTGACAGGGAGAATGGAACCAAGTTGGAAAACACTCTGCAGGATATCATCCAGGAGAACTTCCCCAATCTAGCAAGGGAGGCCAACATTCAGATTCAGGAAATACAGAGAATGCCACAGAGATACTCCTCGAGAAGAGCAACTCCAAGACACATAATTGTCAGATTCACCAAAGTTGAAATGAAGGAAAAAATGTTAAGGGCAGCCAGAGAGAAAGGTCGGGTTACCCACAAAGGGAAGCCCATCAGACTAACAGCAGATCTCTCGGCAGAAACTCTACAAGCCAAAAGAGACTGGGGGCCAATATTCAACATTCTTGAAGAAAAGAATTTTCAACCCAGAATTTCATATCCAGCCAAACTAAGCTTCATAAGTGAAGGAGAAATAAAATACTTTACAGACAAGCAAATGCTCAGAGATTTTGTCACCACCAGGCCTGCCCTAAAAGAGCTCCTGAAGGAAGCACTAAAGATGGAAAGGAACAACTGGTACCAGCCGCTGCAAAATCATGCCAAAATGTAAACATCGTCGAGACTAGGAAGAAACTGCATCAACTAACGAGCAAAATAACCAGCTAACATCATAATGACAGGATCAAATTCACACATAACAATTTAACTTTAAATGTAAATGGACTAAATGCTCCAATTAAAAGACACAGACTGGCAAATTGGATAAAGAGTCAAGACCCATCAGTGTGCTGTATTCAGGAAACCCATCTCACGTGCAGAGACACACATAGGCTCAAAATAAAAGGATGGAGGAAGATCTACCAAACAAATGGAAAACAAATAAAGGCAGGGGTTGCAATCCTAGCCTCTGATAAAACAGACTTTAAACCAACAAAGATCAAAAGACACAAAGAAGGCCATTACATAATGGTAAAGGGATCAATTCAACAAGAAGAGCTAACTATCCTAAATATATATGTACCCAATACAGGAGCACCCAGATTCATAAAGCAAGTCCTGAGTGACCTACAAAGAGGCTTAGACTCCCACACATTAATAATGGTAGACTTTAACACCCCACTGTCAACATTAGACAGATCAATGAGACAGAAAGTTAACAAGGATACCCAGGAATTGAACTCAGCTCTGCACCAAGCAGAATAGACATCTACAGAACTCTCCACCCCAAATCAACAGAATATACATTTTTTTCAGCACCACACCACACCTATTCCAACATTGACCACATACTTGGAAGTAAAGCTCTCCTCAGCAAATGTAAAAGAACAGAAATTATAACAAACTATCTCTCAGACCACAGTGCAATCAAACTAGAACTCAGGATTAAGAAACTCACTCAAAACTGCTCAACTACATGGAAACTGAACAACCTGCTCCTGAATGACTACTGGGTACATAACGAAATGAAGGCACAAATAAAGATGTTCTTTGAAACCAATGAAAACAAAGACACAACATACCAGAATCTCTGGGACACATTCAAAGCAGTGTGTAGAGGGAAATTTATAGCACTAAATGCCCACAAGAGAAAGCAGGAAAGATCCAAAATTGACACCCTAACATCACAATTAAAAGAACTAGAAAAGCAAGAGCAAACACATTCAAAAGCAAGCAGAAAGCAAGAAATAACTAAAATCAGAGCAGAACTGAAGGAAATAGAGACACAAAAAACCCTTCAAAAAATTAATGAATCCAGGAGCTGGTTTTTTGAAAGGATCAACAAAATTGATAGACCGCTAGCAAGACCAATAAAGAAAAAAAGAGAGAAGAATCAAATAGACACAATAAAAAATGATAAAGGGGATATCACCACTGATCCCACAGAAATACAAACTACCATCAGAGAACACTACAAACACCTCTACGCAAATAAACTAGAAAATCTAGAAGAAATGGATAAATTCCTCGACACATACACTCTCCCAAGACTAAACCAGGAAGAAGTTGGATCTCTGAATAGACCAATAACAGGAGCTGAAATTGTGGCAATAATCAATAGCTTGCCAACCAAAAAAAGTCCAGGACCAGATGGATTCACAGCCGAATTCTACCAGAGGTACAAGGAGGAACTGGTACCATTCCTTCTGAAACTATTCCAATCAATAGAAAAAGAGGGAATCCTCCGTAACTCATTTTATGAGGCCAGCATCATTCTGATACCAAAGCCGAGCAGAGACACAACCAAAAAAGAGGATTTTAGACCAATATCCTTGATGAACATTGATGCAAAAATCCTCAATAAAATACTGGCAAACCGAATCCAGCAGCACATCAAAAAGCTTATCCACCATGATCAAGTGGGCTTCATCCCTGGGATGCAACCCTGGTTCAATATATGCAAATCAATAAATGTAATCCAGCATATAAACAGAACCAAAGACAAAAACCACATGATTATCTCAATAGATGCAGAAAAGGCCTTTGACAAAATTCAACAACCCTTCATGATAAAAACTCTCAATAAATTAGGTATTGATGGGAAGTATCTCAAAATAATAAGAGCTATCTATGACAAACCCACAGCCAATATCATAGTGAATGGGCAAAAACTGGAAGCATTCCCTTTGAAAACTGGCACAAGACAGGGATGCCCTCTCTCACCACTCCCATTCAACATAGTCTTGGAAGTTCTGGCCAGGGCAATCAGGCAGGAGAAGGAAATAAAGGGTATTCAATTAGGAAAAGAGGAAGTCAAAGTGTCCCTGTTTGCAGACAACGTGACTGTATATCTAGAAAACCCCATTGTCTCAGCCCAAAATCTCCTTAAGCTGATAAGCAACTTCAGCAAAGTTTCAGGATACAAAATCAATGTGCAAAAATCACAAGCATTCTTATACACCAACAACAGACAAACAGAGAGCCAAATCATGAGTGAACTCCCATTCACAATTGCTTCAAAGAGAATAAAATACCTGGGAATCCAACTTGCAAGGGATGTGAAGGACCTCTTCAAGGAGAACTACAAACCACTGCTCAAGGAAATAAAAGAGGATACAAACAAATGGAAGAACATTCCATGCTCATGGGTAGGAAGAATCAATATCGTGAAAATGGCCATACTGCCCAAGGTAATTTGTAGATTCAATGCCATCCCCATCAAACTACCAATGACTTTCTTCACAGAATTGGAAAAAAACTACTTTAAAGTTCATATGGAACCAAAAAAGAGCCCGCATCGCCAAGTCAATCCTAAGCCAAAAGAACAAAGCTGGGGGCATCACACTCCCTGACTTCACACTATACTACAAGGCTACAGTAACCAAAACAGCATGCTACTGGTACCAAAACAGAGATATAGATCAATGGAACAGAACAGAGGCCTCAGAAATAATGCCGCATATCTACAACTATCTGATCTTTGACAAATCTGAGGAAAACAAGCAATGGGGAAAGGATTCCCTATTTAATAAATGGTGCTGGGGAAACTGGCTAGCCATATGTAGAAAGCTGAAACTGGATCCCTTCCTTACACCTTATACAAAAATCAATTCAAGATGGATTAAAGACTTAAACATTAGACCTAAAACCATAAAAACCCTAGAAGAAAACCTAGGCATTACCATTCAGGACATAGGCATGGGCAAGGACTTCATGTCTAAAACACCAAAAGCAATGGCAACAAAAGCCAAAATTGACAAATGGGATCTCATTAAACTAAAGAGCTTCTGCACAGCAAAAGAAACTACCATCAGAGTGAACAAGCAACCTACAAAATGGGAGAAAATTTTCGCAACCTACTCATCTGACAAAGGGCTAATATCCAGAATCTACAATGAACTCAAACAAATTTACAAGAAAAAAACAAACAACCCCATCAAAAAGTGGGTGAAGGACATGAACAGACACTTCTCAAAAGAAGACATTTATGCAGCCAAAAAACACATGAGAAAATGCTCACCATCACTGGCCATCAGAGAAATGCAAATCAAAACCACAATGAGATACCATCTCACACCAGTTAGAATGGCAATCATTCAAAAGTCAGGAAACAACAGGTGCTGGAGAGGATGTGGAGAAATAGGAACACTTTTACACTGTTGGTGGGACTGGAAACTAGTTCAACCATTGTGGAAGTCAGTGTGGCGATTCCTCAGGGATCTAGAACTAGAAATACCATTTGACCCAGCCATCCCATTACTGGGTATATACCCAAAGGACTATAAATCATGCTGCTATAAAGACACATGCACATGTATGTTTATTGCGGCATTATTCACAATAGCAAAGACTTGGAACCAACCCAAATGTCCAACAATGATAGACTGGATTAAGAAAATGTGGCACATATACACCATGGAATACTATGCAGCCATAAAAAATGATGAGTTCACGTCCTCTGTAGGGACATGGATGAAATTGGAAATCATCATTCTCAGTAAACTATCGCAAGAACAAAAAACCAAACACTGCATATTCTCACTCATAGGTGGGAATTGAACAATGAGAACACATGGACACAGGAAGGGGAACATCACACTCTGGGGACTGTTGTGGGGTAGGGGGAGGGGGGAGGGATAGCATTGGGAGATATACCTAATTCTAGATGACGAGTTAGTGGGTGCAGCACACCAGCATGGCACATGTATACGTATGTAACTAACCTGCACATTGTGCACATGTACCCTAAAACTTAAAGTAGTATAATAATATTAAAAAAAAAAAAAAAGAAAATGGTGACCTGGAAAATGATACTTTTTTTTTTTAATTGAAACAGGAAGGTGGTCAGTTCTGGGGAACCCAATTTCAAAGTCATCTTTTTCCTTTTTAAACACGCTTGCTGCAGTTAAAATTTCATTACAAAATCATAAATATTTATTTAAAAGAACTAAAAGTTAGAAAAGTATAAATAATCAAATTTAAGAAAGTTAAAATCATCCTTAATCCTCTGAGTGAAAGAAAGACGGCAAGAGGTAATACTTTGGTGTTGGCCCATGGAGTACGTCTGTTAATCCTCCATCTATTCATAGATGTATTCAGTAATTCAAAAAACGTGTTTTGAATGCATAGTAATGCCAGATACAGGTCCTCGGAATACCGTAGTGAACAAAACAGATTAAAACAAAACAAAATTTCTGATCTTATATGGATCTAATTGGGACATCCACACACAAATATACCCACACACATATGTACACAAAACATCTTAATACATATTCTGTTAATAATATGCATGTTCAGCATTTTTCATGTCATAAAATATGTAAAATGTTGCATTTTTAAAAATTTAAAATCATACCTAAGAATCTACTGTTAAATCTAAGGACATGAAGATTTATCTCTATATTTTCTTTTAAGAATTGTAGGCCGGGCGCGGTGGCTCACGCCTGTAATCCCAGCACTTTGGGAGGCCGAGGCGGGCGGATCACGAGGTCAGGAGATCGAGACCATCCCGGCTAAAACGGTGAAACCCCGTCTCTACTAAAAATACAAAAAATTAGCCAGGCGTAGTGGCGGGTGCCTGTAGTCCCAGCTACTTGGGAGGCTGAGGCAGGAGAATGGTGTGAACCCGGGAGGCGGAGCTTGCAGTGAGCCGAGATCCCGCCACTGCACTCCAGTCTGGGCGACAGAGCAAGACTCTGTCTCAAAAAAAAAAAAAAAAAAAGAATTGTATAGATTCAGCTCATACATTTAGGTGTTTCATGTATTTTGAAATATATGGGGTCCATAGATTTGGTAGGGGTCCAACTTTGTTCTTGTTCATCTCAAAAATATTATAATCCCCTTCATATTTGAAGAAGAACATTGCTTCTTTCTATATTTTTGTGGTACTTGTACATAATAACACGTATTATTGCTTCATTTATTTTAATGATCGAAAATATTCTATTGTGTATATGTACCACATTTTATGCATCCATTCAATAGTTGATGAACATTTATTTCCACCTTTTTTGCTACGGTGAGTCATGCTGCTATAAACATTTATTAACAAGTAGTTGAGCACCTGTTTTCAATTCTTTGGGGTATATACCTAGGAATAAAACTTCTGGATTATACAATAATTATGTATTTTGAGTAACTATCAAACTGCTTTTTTAGCAACTGCACCATTTTACATTGCCATTAGCAACGTACAAATGTTCTAATTTATCTATATCCCCACCAACACTTATTTTCCTTTGTGTTGTTTTGTTTGGTTTTGTTTTAGTCATCAAAGTGGGTGTGAAGTGGTAACTCATAGTGTTTTTTTTTTTCTTTCACCTGATGACAAATAATGTTTAGAATATTTTCATGTGGTTAATGGCATTTGTGTATCTTCTTTTTCTGAACTTTTACTTTAGGTTCATGGGTTCACACAAAAGTTAATTATATAGATAAACTCAGTATTAGGCCTAGTACTCAGTAGTTATTTTTCCTGCTCCTCTCCTGCTTCCCACCCTTCACCTTCAAGTAGATATCAGTATCTGTTGTTCCCTTCTTTGTGTTCATGAGTTCTCATCATTTAGTTCGCACTTATAAGTAAGAATATGTGGTATTTAGTTTTCTGTTCATGCATTAGTTTTCTAAGGATAATAGCTTCCAGCTCCATTCATATTCCTGCAAAAAAAAATCATGATCTCATTCTTTTTATGGCTGCATAGTATTCTGTGGTGTATATGTACCATATTTTCTTTATGCAATCTATCATTGAGGGGCATTTAAGTTGATTTCATGTCTTTGCTATTGTGAATAGTGCCTCAGTAAACATTTGTGTGCATATGTCTTCATGGTAGAATGTTTTCTATCCTTCTGGGTATAGACACAGTAATGGAATTGCTGGGAAGAATACATACATGCTGTCAACAAGCAAATGAAAAAAAAAAAACAACATTGTGGAAAGCAGTGTGGTGATTCCTCAAAAAGTCTAGGTCTTCTTTGGAGAAATGTCTATGTCTTTTACACATTTAAAAATTGGATCGCCTGTTTTGTTATTGAATTGTAAGAATTTTGCATATATTCTGGATACTAGACCCTTACCCAATATATCCTTTGCAAATATTTTCTCCCATTCCGTATGTGGTTTTTTTTTTTTCACATTCTTTGTAATGTCCTTTGCTGCAAAAAAAATTTAATTTTGATGAAGTCCAAATCATCTATTTTTTCTTTTGTTGTTTATGCTTCTGGTATCATACCTAAGAACCTATTACCAAATCCAAGAACATGAAGATTTATTCCAATGTTTTCTTTTAAGGATTGTATACTTTTAGCTTATATACTTAGGTATTTCATGTATTTTGAAATATATGGGGTCTGTATATTTGGTGGGGGTCACACTTTGTTCTTGTTCTTCTAAAAAATATTACTATTCCCTTCATATTGAAGGAGAGTATTGTTAGTATAGAAATCTTTCATGGCAGTTTTTTTCTTTTAGCAGCTTAAAAATGTTAACTCACTCTATTCTAGCTTCCACGGTTCATAATAAGAACTCAGCTGTTAATCTTATTAAATGTCCCTTATGCATAATGAGTCACCTCTCTCTTGCTGTTTCCAAGACAATCTCTTTGCCTTTGTCTTTTAAAAGCAAATTGATCATAATGTGTCTCAATGTGGATCTTCTTGAGTTTATCCTTATTTGATTTTATTGTGCTTCTGAGATGTGTGGAGTCATAAATTTTTATCAGATTTCAGGAGCTTTCAGCCATTATTTCGTCAAGTATTCTTTTTTTTTTTTTTTTTTTTTGAGACGGTCTTGCTCTGTCACCCATGCTGGAGTGCAGTGGTGCGATCTTGGCTCACTGCAACCTCCACCTCCCGGGTTCAAGCTATTCTCTGCCTCAGCCTCCCAAGTAGCTGGGATTACAAGCACCCACCGCCAAGCCCGGCTACTTTTTGTATTTTTAGTAGAGACAGGATTTCACAGTGTTCGCCAGGATGGTCTCGATCTCCTGACATCGTGATCCACCCACCTCAGCCTACCAAAGTGCTGGGATTACAGGCATGAGCCACCACGCTCAGCCTTCTTCAAGTACTCTTTCTGCCCCTTTCTCTCTTTCCTCTCATTTGAGATTCCTATTACATATACTTTGTACAATGATGCTGCCCTTCAGGTCTCTTAGGCACTGCTCATTTTCTTTGTTCTTTTTTATTCTGCTCTTCAGACTGAGTAATTTCAAGTAATCTCTCTTCAAGCTCACTGATTCTTTTCTTCTACCTGCTATGAAAACCCTCTACTGAGTTTTTCATTTCATTTATTATATTTTTCAGCTTAAAATTTCTGTTTGATTACTTTTTAATAACTTTCATCTCCTTACTGATATCTTGTATTTGCTTACTGGTTGTTCTACTGTTTCCCACTAGATCTTTGTCTATAGTTTTCTTTAGTTCTTTAAGTATATTTAATATAATTAACTTAAAGTCTTTGCCTAGTAAATTCAAAGCCTTTACTTTCTCAAGGATAGTTTCTGTAACGTTTTTCTGTGAATGGGTTATACTTTCTTATTTTTTGCATGTTTCATAATTTTTTGTTAAAAACTGTATATTTGAGTTATATAATTTAATAACTCTGGAAAAAAGATTTTTTTCCATCTTCAGGGTCTGTTTTGTTATTTGCTGTGGGCTATAGCTATTTGTTTACTAAGTAATGTTTCTCTGCTATTTTTGTAAAGTCTATGCTTAGACTGAGAATGTCCTAGATAGGGGCTCCACTGTAAGCCCAAATGCTGGAGTAAGATAACAAGAAAAAGAGTCAGAGTCAACTTATGATAGACATAAAATTTAAGTTAGAAACACACTTTTTTTGTTGTTGTGAGTTATTGAGATTTTAGTGTTGTTTGTTATAGCATTAAAATAGCCACAACTGGCAGATAGTTTGTCCACTCAGGGAATGGCTTACCCCATGCTCAGATAGTAAAAATAGATTTGTGTATTAACACTTATTTGATAATTTCTTAATTTATTTGGTTTTGTCTCCTTCTCACTTGATACCTCATTACTCTTGACCAGAGTAATTTCAATGATCTCACTTTCATTCTTAATATATGCATAGCTAAATATAATTTGCCTTACCAATTAATGATTCATGATCTACAGCTCTAAACTGGGTATAGTTTCTAAAGATTGGTTCCCTGCCTGAATTGCATGATCTGCACATAGGAAAAGTTGGACAAAGATATCTTGATTTCCCTAAGAAACCATAGGAACTATCTCTGATGATTCCATTCATATCAGGGATTTTAGTTCAGCCTAGATGCCCAGGATAAAAGTCTAGGAAAAAAACTTTCATTTTAGACTTCCTAAATTGGAGACACTAAAGAAAAATCTTTGAGTTACAATTGCAGAAGTGAATGTATCATGGGATAGAATCATGTGAATAAATACCTTGAATGAGTTATTAAAATTTGGAGGCAAATGGACAGAAAATCCATTTCAAAATATAATCAGTATCTGTGTGCATTTATTTAAGATGTTATCCAGAGGTAAAAATTTATATGACTTTATCTTAAGAGGCAGGTATTATACATATAAACAGTGAGGTTGGACATCTCTACTCTATCCTCTCTTATATAGGCATTCTGATAGAGTGAAATAAACCATTCCCACAAGAAAAAAAGCCTATAATAGTCAGATTGAATGTTTGAAGATCTGAGTACAGGATGAATTCCACAAACGGAAAGTCAGAAAGTCAATACAAATGATTTCAAGGTGTTTTCTTAATGTTAAATTATCCTCCACAAGCTACCAGAAGATGCCTGGCTATATTCTATTGGAAATTAAAAACTTGAAAACTTTGATGAGATTTTATGGAAAGAACAGTATATTGGAAATTAGATAATCTAAGTTCCAAACCTGGGTCTGTCACACTTAACCTTTGTGTATTTTAGTTTTATTCTCTATAAAATGAAGTTACTTGACTGAATACTTTTGCATGCTGATCTATCTAGAAAACTTGTCTTCTCCCTGAAAATTCCAATGTTTGGTTTAATTTCTAAATTAGTGTTACTTTTGAATGGGAAAAGTCTCAACGGATCACCTAATCTGATATCCTAATTTGAGAGATGAGATCAGGCCTTGGTCTAAGGGATTGCAAATGTGATAACAGAGGAATTTCCTTAGCTCAACTCTGGAGTAGTGAACGCTTACCACCACTACTGATACATCCCTTTTCTTATTAGTTTATTTCTAATAAAGCAAGAACACTGATATTTTCTCCTTTTATATTCTCATTACTGGCTGCAAGACCAGGCTTCTTTCATGAAATATAATGCCTTCTTGGGAAAAGAATGAGTGTAAGAAAGACTTGTGAAACAGCAAAAGACACTGGCAACCTCAACTCGGCTGGCAACTGAGGGAAGAAGGGGGCTGGGAAACCTGTCAGCGTTCACAGCTCTAGTGAATGATACTGAGCATATGCAAGCCTTGCACCACTTCTTATCACTGAGAGGAGAGCTGGTGGATTCAAGTAAACTCAAGCTGTCTCTTTCAGGTAGAGGGGGAGGATATTTATATAACAAACAGAAGTGCTGGGTGCATTTCTCAAGGTTTGGAGTATGGTGTAGGGACCACTTCAAATATATCATTTTTTACTAAACTGGAAAACTGGAGTGAAAATTATAAGGCCAAGTTTGTCCACGCTCTTAGTTCTTGAGAGATTTTAGTTGTTGTCCCTATCAATACAGTAATGTAGGAGGGTAAAAATTATAAGAGAGAGAAAGTGAGAGAGATAAAGGACAATTGAATACAGTTTTTTAGAGCTTGATTGGATGGTTTAAAATCTATATGACCTGCTTTGAAAGAAAGTTCTATCAATGATAACAAATTATGTCTTAGCCAAGTATTTCTGTTAATAATGAATTGTCAGGCAAATACCTCAGAATTCTTTTGGAAACATGCAGCACAGAGCCAAATCTCTCCTGCTCATCAGAGTTTTTTTTATTGGAAATCTTAAGACTCATATATCTTAGAGGCTATCCGATATGATATTTTTCTGAAAATACATAATAGTTTTGGCTATGACTAACAAAGTAAATATTTCTAACAGTATCCCATAAGGACAGGTTTATACATGAATTGTTTCTAACTGCATAGATTTCTTGTGATACAAATAATTTCATATCTTTATAAATAGGTAAGTAATTTCTCAGGAGAAAATTAATTCAATCAACATTTTCTGAGCACCATCTTTGCACCAAGCGTTGTGCCAGGTTTATCTTTTCATACGTTATGACCAGGACTAGAATAGACAAAAATAGCTAATAAAAACTATAGGTAGAAATATTGAACACTTACTGTAGGCCAGCCCTCTTTCTGTTTATTTATATATTTTGCATGTATTACCTCATTTGCTGTCCTCAACAACCTAATAAAATAAGCATTATTATGATCCCCCATTTTACTCATAAAGAGACATAGGTATAGATAATTAAAGTATCTTTCTTAGGATCATTCAATAAGTAAATGCCAGAGAGACTCAAACCAGGACTCAAGTCAACACCTACATTGTAAAATAATCATTTAGAGTATGTGGTATGACTCATTTAGACAATTACATCATTTGTTTCTTAGCATACTGGAATATATTTAGCCATTCTACCCACTGGCAGTGAGGGGGTGACTGAAACTCAGAGGCCTGGGCATGCACATTTGTGTCCAAGAGTACAATGCTATTGCTGGCACACCAGTCCTTGGATTCTATCCATCTGTAGCTGGCCAAGCTCACTCAATTGTTTCTTTGTCCTTCTCCACCTGGTCTCTTTCTCGTCTTGGATCACTTGACTTGCCAGACAAACAAACTTCTCCCAACTTTATCCTTTCTACATGTCTCTTTTGAGGGGGCAGAAATAAGGCTTGGAAGTAAGGGTAAACTCTGGGGAGTTTAATCCTGGAAGTAGATGCAGATACATTATTGAGATTTAAAAAAATGTTAAAAACGACAATAGTATTAGATGTAAAGTGTAGTATCCATTTATTCTTTATTAAAGGCCAAATGAATTATTTCTAGAACCAATTCTAAAGCTTAGGACCCAATATGTAAGGAATCTTATTTTAATTGTTTAAAATATTTCAATAGAAAAAATTAAAACTACATAAAACTTATTAAAATGTAAATAAAGATTATAAATGACACATCTTTTAATATATGCCATGCAACATAATTTAAAACCCCTGGGGGAATTATAATGAGGTACTTCACAGCATGAGTTCTGGAGTTGTCTCATTTTTAAATTCTAGTTTTATCTTTTGTTATACGTATAACCATGAACAAGGTGCATCTTGATACTAGAGTTCATTTTATTCATAAACGAAAATGGAGCCAGGTTAGTGTGTTTCTCAGATCAGTACTGTGAAGGGTTTGAACTATTGCAGTTAAATTGTTCTACACAGTGCCTTGAAGAGAATAATAAAGAGGAAAACTAAGAGAATCCACCAAAAATGATGGATGAAATCACTATCATAAATGATCATGCATATGCTGTAGGCAAGGGTGGTGAAACCCTGCAAGTTATTGATATTTTTAGCAGCCACTTTCCAGTTGTTTGTGAGCATTTTATACCCTAATTAGACCTTAGTGCTGTGCCTCTCCTGAGAAAATTTCCACACCTTGAGCCAAAAAGCCGGCCGACTTTCGACTCTTTACGTTTTTTACAGGGTATGTTATCAAAACCCTAGTGCAAATGAAAAGCTTTAAACATTAGTGTTGTCATGGGTCTACCTGAAAGGAACAGCTGACTTTCAAATAATATTTCTGTAGCACTTTACAATGTCAAGATGCTCTTATTATTTGATACAATAACTCATTTGCTCTTCATAGTTACAGAAGTCCTGAAAGTGTCCATTTTTATCCACATTTTAGAGATGACGTGTCAGAGAAGCTCAGTCCAACTCAAACACCTATCATTCCATTCCAACTTCTTTGCTTCTTAAACTTCACCTAGTCTATATGAGAAATATGTTTTAAATTTGTATCGTTTCAAATAGGTGGTTTAGCTAATATGATAAAAAGGAATACAGAGAACGATCTGAAAGCCCAGATTCTGTGTCCATCCCAAAACTATTTTGAGGCTTCATCTGCATTGAAAATAATCCTATTGGATTTGCCTAATGTGTAAACCCGACTCGCTTATTTCATTGCTATTTCCCCCTTCATAAGTAGCCTGTTGAGGGCAATTTGGGTATAGCAGTGGTTTCGTCCTGCCAACAGATTGGAGAAATACTGAGAGATCATGCACAATCAATCATGCAAATATAACATATGTCCATATGCCCGGGGACCAGGAGAAATCACACCACACCTTGAGCATGCCACACATTCTCGCTAAATATTTATTCTTGATTGATGAATTGCTTAAAATATGACCAGGTCACTGGGAAATCAGGCAATGAGCCAGTAAGAATTTTAATGAGCTTGGCATCCTGCCCACTCATCATAATTTGTGCCCTTCTTTCCCCACTAACATTTAAGGGTGTGAAGTACAAGCTGTCATCAATTCTCCATTTGAATTTCTTTTTTTTTTTTTTTTGCATATACTGAATTTGTAAATAAATTCAGTTATATTGGCTGTCACAGGTAGCTTTTAAACTATAGTGTGCATAAAGGTCACCTTGGGGAGCTTATTAAAAATGCAAATTTCCTGCCTGGTCGCTCCTCAAAGATCTGGTGTGAGACAAAGCAATGTGCACTTATACTTCACATGTATTGCCAAGGGCCACGTTACACGAAGAGATGTCATAGAGGAACCTTTAGTTTTGGGAAGAAACAGAGGGTATTAACAACACATTGTTTGTAATGTTTGTTCTAATAAAATGTATAATCCTTTTTAATAACAACTTGAATACAAATCTTACCATTAATCAAAATAGATCTTTGATGACAAAGAACATTATTGGATGATTTGATTCAATTACAGCACTACCTAATGATTGGACCTACAAAATAGTTGCCAAGTTTAGGTTAATGATAATAATCAGCCTTCATCATTATTAACATGAAGTGAATATTGAGCTCTTTAACAGAAGGAAATATGTAATATAATAATACTGCATACATATTAACTTATCATATTATTTTTATAAATGTTATGTGCATCTTTTCCATGACTCACAAATAAAAAAAAGAAAAAAGAAGGGCAGAGTATGGGAGAAGTAAAAACAAATTCTGTAATTTATTATAAGTATTACAGAAGTTGATTTTAAATAAAATTTAATGAGAATTCAGTTATCTAGTGATAATATTGAGATTATTTGACTCTCAAAGTAGAATATAGCACCCATTAGCGAGTCTCGATATTATCATCTAATGAAATTTGAATTTGAATTGGGCTATCAAATTTGAATATAATACTGCTATACCTTTGATGATGTTAGTGATAGTTGATTGAATTGTATTCTATGTAATTTTTCTTGGTATTTTAAATTATGGGTTAATACACATTTGTATTCTTTTATAGTACATATATTAATAGACATATTTCCTATCCTATCAAAGTTGATTGCATCCACATTTTTTTATTTCAGAAATATATTAAGGTCCCATCCATAAAAAGTTCTTTGTTGTACATGTGGTCATCTACAGCATGTTGTATTTAATTCTTGTCCAGGAACTATTCATCACCCTTATAGGGTAACTACATATGTAGAGTATCTTACACAAAAAAAGCTGGGTTATCTTTTATTCCCCTTTTATCTCACATCCAACTGTTACTGGCAAATTCTTTGCCCTTTCTTCAAAATGTATTCAGAGTGAGATCTGTTTTCACCATCTTTACCACTAGTTTTCTGATCCAAATTCCCACCACCTCTCATCTAGGTTATTGCAATAGTCTCTTCTATTTTTGACCCTCTACAGTATACTCTCATAAAAGCAGCAGACAAATTCTTTAAAAATGTAAAATCCTGATTCCACTGTTCAAAGTTCTGTGACATCTCACCAATTCATTCATATTAAATGTCTAAATAATGTCAATTGCCTACGAAATGGTCTCTCAAACTTGCAAATCAAAATCTCTATCTAATACACGCCAGTACTCCAATAGCCTAATCTTAAACTTGTTAAGTGTTGGTTTTCACTGACTTTCACTGTTTATAGTTACTTTAGGCAAGTCTTCAAACCCGTCTAAATCTCATTTTGCTCATCTATAAATGGGAGTAATGTCTTTTCTTCTACTTTCATGGTATCCTTGTAAGGATCAATATCAGGACAATATGCAGAAGTGCTACACTAAACTATTATCATCAGAAAGTAACACAGATTTTGTACTTTGGTATTCAAATAATAGAAAAACGAGTATGGTATCTAAACAATGCTTCTTTTGGAGTGAAGAAATAATATGAATTCAGTGTTACTCTTTATTGAACTATTGAATTATCTTAAAACTTCAATATATACATGAATTTGAGTGAATTTCTAAGAGAAGTTTACAGTAGAGGATGGAGTAGAACTACAGTAACACATATAGAAAATGATGTGTGCAACCTGAGTGCCAATTTGTTAATATAATATGAAAAAATATTGAAATATACAAATAAGTGTATTATTTTCCATAGACAAAGTGAAAGAAAATGTAATGAGAAGATAATCAAAGGTGATATAATCTGAAGGCAGCTTTCTTTCTCTACTTAGAAATAAAATATGTAGTAAGTCAATGTACAAATTCTAATATACTCTGTAAGTTATTTCACAGATATCTGAATTTAGGGCATCAATAAACTATAATTCTGTCTGTGCTGCTGTTTTGATTCAATAAGAACTATTCCATGGTGTCACATAATGATTGCAAACATTACAGTGCAATACAGTAAGAGATTTTTTAAAAATATGATTGTTTGACATAGTTGGCAAATTTTTATTTGCCTAGTAAGGTTATTTGAAAAAAATACTAGCATGCAATTTTATAAAATAAATTAGGCACTAATATAAAATATTTTAATGACTACTTTTGGCTTTACAAAAATTACTACATTTACCAGTTTAGCATACCTTTCCATTTCATAACTTTATGCATCTCCATGTGGGAATCATCAGTTTGTACTGAACCATTATGATTGACATTCAATAATTCCTCCCCATTGCCCCCATCCCACCATAAGGAAACGGGATTCTTTTGTGTCTCTTCTCCTTCAGTAACTCAGAGAATCTTCCTTTACCAATCAGCTAAAAGCAAATAATCAGGCTTTTACAAAGTGAGAATTTTTGGAAAAGGTATTTTCTGTTTAGAAAAGAAGTTGAACATGATGAACTCACATTGTTCCCTCTTCATGTCCTTATAGAGGACAGACTGACTCAAAAGTGCTGAAACTAGTCATTATAACCCAACCAAAGAAGGTCTGAAGGACAACAGACATGGCTGGCCTTGAAAGGGTCCTGGATGACTGAGGAGCGTCTTCTGATGTAACACAGGGGAGAGGCTGCCTTCATACATCTGGCATCCTTATTCTCAATCCACAGAAGCCTTTATTTCTTCCTTCCAATTTGAGAGATTAGCTTTTTCAGCCTTGCCATAGACTGAATGTTAATATCACCACCAAACTCCTCTATTGAAACCTAATCCCCAGTTGTGATGGTATTTGGAGGTGGGGCCTTTGGAGGGTAATTAGGTCAGGAGAGTGTGGCTCCCATGAATGGGATTGGTGCCTGTATAAAAGAGGCCTGAGAGAGATCCTTCACCATTTCTGCCACATGAGGTTACAGCAAAAAGACAGCTTGCTAGGAAGCAGACATCTAATTTGCCAGCACCTTGATCTTGGACTTCCCAGTCACCATAACTGTAAAAAATAAACTACTATTGTTTTTAGGTCACCTACATTTTGTTATAGCAGCCTGAACATACTAAGATAAGCTTCCACTTGCTACATCAACATGAATTATTAAGGGGAAATAGTCAAGTGAAAGTGACTGATTGGAAATGAGTACATATGGAGAACATAGGGATAAGAGTCTTAAGATGTAGTCAGATGGTGAAAAACCAGTCACATGCCATAAGAAATATTAGTCTTTGTCCTGGAAGAAACAGGCAGAAACTGAAAGTTTCAAGCCATATTTCATGTTTACATAAACAATACCCTGGTGGGTGTAGAGGATAAACTGGTCTGTGAGAGGACAATAGAGGAAATAGGGGACCCAATGAGAAAACTGGAGCAACAATTCATGTTGCAGACAATAAGACTCTGAAATAGGGCAAGAGAGTGAGTATTTGAGAAGAGGGGAAAGAAATGAGTAGTATTTCACTAGATTTAATGATGTAAGAGGTTGGAAAGAAATAAATTGTTGTTGTATTACATAATGGAGTTTAGAAACTTTATTGCTCTAGGGCTAAAACACCAAAACCTAATTAGTCTTCTCCTTCTGGCATTTTAGAACTAATTTAGAAAATGTTTTCCTATATCTATCACTTCCTCTTCATTCTCTCACACATACTCCCCTGATTACAGTGGTGTCAAGATGGGGAAACTCTTTTGCAGAATTACTACCTACTCTCTAGGGATAGTAAGCCTGGTCAACCAGCTATCTGGATTAGTACCATCCCTACTTCCAGCTCGATCTCAGTGTTGTACACTTGCCATTGACTTTCCTGATCTTGCATAATTTGATGGTCTTGTTTAATTACCTGTGCTGCATCAGACCTAAAAAAACTCCTAGTTTTGTTCCCGGACCAAACTGAGCTGCAATTTCTCGTGGCCTAATAACGAAATGCAGATGAACTGGGGAGGAAGAGAGTTTTTATTTCTGTAACCAGTTACAGGGAGAAGGCCTAGAAATTATCGCCAGGCCAACTCAAAATAACAACATTTTCCAGAGCTTATATACCTTCTAAGCTATATGTCTACTTGTAAGTGTGCTCTTATCTAAAGACATAAATGAGTAACTTATTTTAATCTATAGCAAAGGTCTGAGTCTTGAAGACCTTCCTCTGGAGCCCCAGTAAATTTACGTAATCTAAATGGGTCCAGGTGTTGGGGTGATTACCCTTACCTGGTCTTCTGCTAAATCACGGAGGTCTGGGGAGTGCCTTCAGACTCCCAATAGACTTGTTTGTGGAGGCCTGGGGAGTTTCTTCAGAGCCTCAATAAGACTTGTTTAATCATGTTTTAAGGTTCAGGAAATGTCTAGGCAAAACTTTTGGTGGATTTTTGTTACATTCCAGCCTTCGTATAAGGGCACTGGCTTTTAATATTTAACTTAACCACTCAGTCAGTACGGAAACAGTTGTTATGGAGGCCCACGTTATTGAGACCTGGCCTGCCACAGTTTCAATACTCTGAAATGTATCTTAATCCTAGTTCTTCAGGTCAGAATATCTCTAGGTTATTTACAATGTCTAGAATTGCCTTAGATTTTTCCATAACACTTTTCTTACTTAACTTTTGATTATGGCTATTTGTTCCCACCTTTGCTCTGGGCAGTTGCTTTAATTCTTTCTAGGTTTAGTTATTCTTTTGAGGTATGCCAGATGACTTGGGAATGCTGGTGGATACTAGTGTCCTGTTGTACAATAATAATTTCAATTTAGGATGTAGAAAAGACTTGTAGGAGGGGTTCTCAATGCTGATTATGTATCAGAAATACTTGTAAAATTAAAAAAGCTAAGCAAAAAAATAAGAATAGAGGATCAGGAACAATAAATGAATGAATGAATGAATGAATTCCTGGGTGGATATTCTGTTCCAGTTGTTCTAGACAGGACCTAAATATCCTTAGTTTTTTCAAAAGTTCACTAAATGTTTTTGATGAGCTTCCAAGATTGAGAATTTTTCAAAACAGGTGATATAGCTTAACTTCTTATAAAAAGGGAACATGAGACGCAACTACAGTGAGAGATAAAAGTAAGGCACAGAACTCCTCTTTCAGACTAATGTGTTTTATATTGCTAAATCCCTTGTCTTATTTACTGGATTCAAATAATTTAGTAATAATTGATACGTATCTTCTTGTAAAACCTAACCCATAAGTTCTTTCAGTATGGTGGGTCAGCATTGAAACCATATGCTACCACGTATTGCTCAGCCAGATCTTATCACTATAATATTTAATAAAGCCTTATTAACATCAAATCTGGTTATAGTCAGAATAGTGGCAACTATTTACGTAATCAACTAAATGTGCACAGCTAAAGTTTTCTGGAGCAGCCCAATAAATATCATAACAAGGACTCAAGTGTGCAACTGCCATTCTTGCTGATAATTCCTTTTTTTTTTTTTTCAGTGTTTAGAAGTTTGGACTGCTAACAAATGTCTGTTAAGCATTACCCCAACCTGTTTTAAAAGATGTCACAGCATTCATGACTATGGAACTGTGTTCACACCAGATGACAAGAATCTGTTAGCAACCTGTTATGTAGTTTTCAGCCTCTTAGGGTATAATGGGTATAAATACTATAATGGGTATAAATAATAAAAGCAATTGCATGCTTACCTACAGAGTCTGTGTGAGTCTTCCTTTACTCTTGCCTTTATTATTCTTATGTTTGATCATAATTGTTACCGTCACATCCAAAGCAAACATTATCTTTTCTTCCTTTACATGCAAGGTTTTTATTTAAACTAGTTGGGTCTGTGTAGTACTTTCTCCTTGTTGGTGAGGTAGAACAACTCACCTGAAAAATTATGCCCCTATGACAGCATTTTTCACAATCATTTATATCATATAGGTGAGCCATATTGTACTGTGGACAAGTGCCCTTAGATGATTCAGTGAATAAATCTGTTTGACAATCTCTTTTTTTTCCTACATCTTGGAAGAGATGTTATGATTCAAATGTGTTTTACTCTATGATTTTCTCTATTTAAGGCATGGTCCAACTGGACCAGGCTGTCCTCTAGTAAATGCTGTGAAATTGAGAGCTTCTGTTCTGCATGATTAATTCTATCAGGGTATTCTGGGGACTTGCTGTTTGCTGCTTTACTCTGTGGAAAGACCTGAAGACACATAGAAAATATGCTTACTTGAGAATAACTGCTTACCCTCTCTACATACCCCATTTTCCATTATTTAACTAAATTTATAGAAATACGTGTCTGTATATATGTGTGTATATATGTATGTTCCCAGGTGTATATATGCGTATAGGCATTTACATATGCATAAAACTGAATATGAAAGATGATGCACAAAACTGAAAGAAAGATGATGGTTGACTTACAAATACCTAATCAAGACATAGCACGGTTATATTAAAAATTGGATGAAATTCTGGAAGAAAACCACTCATACACTATAATTTGAAGTGTTGCCCAAGGAGAAACAAAAGGAGCACCCAGCTTAACATAACATTGGCTGAGAGTAAACATTATTCAGAAGCAGCTAATCTAGAATGCTCAGACATGTAAAAGAACACCAAAAAATAAAAATGACTCCCGTGGGTGTGTGTGAGGGGTTGGTCCTAACATAGTGGTTAACACCTTAGGATGAATTTGAATATAACATGCTGTGAATCTTGAGGGTAGCTTAACTAAATCCAAAGGAGTGAAAATGTGTGAGTGAGGTTTTATTCCTGAGACTATGCATGTCCAATTCCTCTTTGCTTGATTACCAAGAAATATTACTTTGTATAAACCACCTTTTGAATTTTGGTTTTTGGTACAGAATGTAAGCAGCTTGAAAGTCATCACTACCATTTATACAAGAAGAAAGCTCAATAAGCTGAATATCAACAATTCTTCATAGACCCATAAGATATTTGAGGCCACAAAGCAAACCTATGCCCCCAAAATTAAAGAGAAAGGCAAACACAGATAATCGCAACTTAGCAGAGCAAAAAGTTATGGGCAGAAATCTCCATGGAAACTAGTTCCAAAATAATAAAACCTACAGTGCAATTGGTGAATTGCTGGAGACTGAGTGTAGACAAGTTTAAGAATTAAAAACATTAGGTAGGTCCAGTCTTAGAGGACCACTCACACTTTTGTGAGTTTTACCTATAGGAGCTATACCAGATTCTCACAGTGAAGACTGGAGAATAAAACCTTCTTACTTCTGGAATGGGAGGGGAATAGTAGCTACTTTAAAATACACCAGAGCATTCTATTCTTCTTAACAAGGCCTGCCTTCAGGACAAATTATTTTATCAGAGCCTAACTGGCTTAAAGGAAGGAAAATGCCAAACTCTGGCCCCCTTTAGCCTTATTTCCTCGACAAAGGAGAGCGGTTAGGAGAGCTGATAAGCACTCGTGAAGACTCATTAAAATATTAAAACCTAATCACAAGGCTTCTCATCCCCCATACTTTACCATACCAATAGGGCTCCTGTATAATAGGAGAATACAACCAAAAGAACTGAACAAATTGTATTTTATTTAAGATGTCTATAAGAAATGCTAACTACAACAGAGAGATATAAACAAGAACACTGGTGGAAATGTTAGCCTCTGAAACATACAAATACAGCCAACAGTAAATATAACCTACCTCAAAAAAACCTAAAACCTCACACTAAAGGCCTATATACCTCTGTCCCTTTTATCCAGTATATTATCTCTGGTTTTCAACAAACAACTACAAAACATACTAAGAAACAAAAATCACTGTTTAAAGAGAGAAAGAAAGCAACAGAATCACATTCAGATATGGCAGAGGAGTTGAAATTATAAGACGCAGAATTTAAAACAACTATGATTAATATGTTTAGAGTTCTAAAGGAAACAATGTACAGCATGAAAGATCACATGTGCAATGTAAGCAGAAAGATGAAAACTAAGAAAAGATCAAAAGGAAAAGCTAGAAATCAAAATCATTTTAACAGAAATAAAGAATACCTTTAATTGGTTCATCAATAGCCTAGGCATATCCAAGGAAAAAAAAACAGCAAGCTTGAAATGTCAATAAAAACTTTTAAATCTGAAATGCAAAGAGGAAAATAAATGAAAAAGACAAGAGAATATTCAAGAACTGTGATACAATTGCCTAAGGTTTAACATACATGTAATGGAAATACCAAAAAGAAAATCAAATGAAAAGGGAACAAAAGAAATAATTTGAAACAATAATATCAAGAATTTACAAAAACTAATGACAGACATCAAACCACAGATCCAGGAAACTCATAAAGCATCAATTATATAAATACCAAAAAATCTACACCTAGGCACATCATATTTTAACTGCAGAAAATAAAATACAAAAATAAAATTTTGAAAGATGCCAGAGGATGGAAAGATACCTTACCTACAGAAGGACAATAACAAAGAAAATTAAATTGCAAATGCCAAAAAAGGGAAAAAGGTATATGTATATATTTTTAAAATAAATACATAAATAGATGAAGGGCTCAAGAAGAGTGACTAGAGACAGCGGACATCTGGCCTCTCCAGAATGAAGAACTCATAATATGAATAGGCCAAACTCTAGAATCCAATGGAAAACTCACAGGAAACACCTGAAGCACAGAAGAAGAATGAAGTTGCCAGCTGGGCCAGGATTGGCTGGGAGCCCATAGGGGCTTGGAATTGCAGGGAAAGAATAAATGAAAGAGCTTAGGGAGTCCACATCCCTGCCACAGACTGCTGCAACCCAAACCACAGGAGAGCTCCACTACACACATGAACTCTGACACTACTGTGGACAGTGATTTGGAGACCCCATGAGAGCACTACAGCAGATCGAGAACTTGTGCTGGGTTACTCACCCCTCTTTGAGAACTGAATGACTGCAGTAGGGCAGTATTTTGTGAGTGCCGCTGTACAAGACTGCATTCGGCCCTGGGAATGACTGCTCCCATATCTTCACATCCCAGAAACTCCTGCTGGCATTCCCCAATGTCCACTCAGAGGGCTGCAGCAGCACAGCACAGGCTATACTCAAAGGTGCTGCAAGGTCCCCAGTACTCTAGTCCACAGGGAGCACTACTCCCTGGGGAAAGGATGGTGCAGTTCACCAAAAGGCAGCCCCTGGAACAAAAGAAACAAAAGTGTGCACCCTCTGGAGCCTGAGCACTCATTGTCTGGAACTGTGAGAAGTGATGCTACCCTGAGCAACAGCACAAACTTAGTGCATAGCTTGACAAGTGAAGAGTAAAATCCCCTCATAGGTGGAGTGGTCTCTGTGCTTGAGCTCTTACATAGAGAACAGGACTCCTCATTCCCCTCCATACCGCCAATTCTTCTATCACCAGGGGCTGAGGTGGGCTAGCCAGAAGGCTACCTGTCCAGTGGTGAGTGATGACTGTGACCACACTGGTTGGATATGGTGTGGCCTCGAAATCCAGACTTGCATATGAAGATGATGTCCCTCCTCACTGGTTCTGCAACAGCATTGCTGCCACAGAGAGCAAGAGAGCCTGAGAGTAGCATGTTTAGGGCTGTTGGAGGTGACTCCATACGGCAGTCACTGCCACCAGCAGTTCACACCAACTGGGACCCAGAGGGTGGCAACATCACTGTTAGTGCCATTACCCACACCACACTGGCTTCCCAGAGAGTTAAGAATTCACTCATTCTCTTGCCACTACTGGAATTTGAACAAGCCCCCTGGAGGCCCAAGAATCAGCCTGCCAGTAAACACCAACACAGGTGCCAGAATATATTGCTCAGTGACACAAAAACAGGCATGCTCAGCCTACCACTTCCACCACTGGCCCACCTGGCTTCCCAGTCCCCAGCACAAATTCATATAATTTCCACTATGAAAATCACAGAAAACATTAATGCTGTTTACAGCCAAGGAATCCATACAGAGACTACACTATTGTGCACACGAGGTATCATTGCCAAAGTACCCTACCCAGCCAACATTACAGACACATCTTCAATAACATGTTCTCTGCTATAAAATGAATTCAAAAATAGGAAGAAGTGACTGTTACACCAGATGCACAGATATAAACACAGAAAATATTTAAAAAATTATAAATATGAAACCTGCACAGGGAGAAGAGAAACTGAAAAGATATAAAAATCTATTTAACAAAATAATAGATAAAATTCTAAAGTCTAGCAAAAGACATAGATATTCAGATATCAGAGGAACAATGATTCCCAGTTACAATGCAAGAGGGTCTTTTCTCTAAAGTCAAAGACAAAGAATGAACATTAAAAAACAGAACAAGAAAAGAATCTAGTCACCTTTAAAGGAAAACCCATTAGATTAAGTGGATTTTTCAGCAGAACTCTTACAGGCCAAAAGAGAATGAGATTATATATTCAAAGGGCTGAAAAAATTATCTGTGAGCAAAGACTACTACATCCAGCAAAATTATTCTTCATAAATAAACAAGAACAAAAGTCTTTTCCAGGCAAGCAAATGCCAAGAAAATTTGTTTCCAATAGACCTGACTTAAGGAAAAGCATAAGGGTGTCCTAAACTTGGAACTAAAATGATGACATTTGCCATCATTAAAACACATGAAAATATAAAACACATTGGTAAAGCAATCACACAAAAAGAAAGAGAAAGGACTTAAGTAGTAACACTGCAGAAATCCACGAGACCACAATGACAAACACTAAAAGAAAGAAAAAAAGAATATGTACAACAACCAGAAGCAATAATACAATATGACAAGAACAAGCCTCACATATTAATAATAACCTTGAATGTTAACAGATTAAACTCTCCACTTAAAAATTATAGAATCAGTGAATAGATTTTAAAAAGAAAACATGATGTAACTATATGCTACTTATGGGAAAATCACCTTATCATTAAAGGCACATATAGACTGAAAGTGAAGGGATGAAAAAGATATTCCATGAAAACATAAATCAAAGTGAGCAGGAGTTGACATACTTACATCAGATAAAATAGATTTTAAGAACAGTTATAAAAGATAAGAAAGTTCATTACATAATATCAATCCTGCAAGATGATATAATAATTCCAAACATACATGCACCTAACACTGAGGGTCCAAGATTCATAATGCAAATATTACCAGATCAAAAGAGAGAGACAGGCTGCAATACTATAATAGTGGGGAAATTAAAACACCCCACTCTCAGTATTAGACAGATTATATACAGAAAACCTATTTAAAACAGACTTTACACAAAATGGATCTAACACACATGTACAGAACATTTTATACAACAACTGTGGAGTATACATTTTTTTCTAACAGGACATGGAACATTGTCCAAGATAGACTACACGTTAGGACACAAAGTGAGCCTCGACAAGTTTTAAAAAGTAGAAATATCTAGTATGTTCTTAGATCACAGCAGAATAAAAGCAGAAACTGATACTAAGAAAAATGTTGGAAACTATACAAACTCATGGAAATTAAAAAACATGATGCTGAATGACCACTGAGTGAACAAATAAATTAAGATGGAAATCAAACATTTTCTTGAAACAAATACAAATGAAAATAAAATATATTAAAACCTGTGGATATAGCAAAAAGTAGCTTATAGCAATAAACGTCTACTTCAAAATAGTAGAAAGATTACAAATTAACAAACTAACAACGTATCTTAAGGAACTAGAAATGCAAAAGCAAACCAAACCCAAAATAAGCAGTAGGAAAGAAATAATAAAGATCAAGGCAGGATTACCAAAACAGTGGCAAAAAAAAAAAAAAAAAAAAAAAAAAAACACAAAAGATTAATGAAACAAAAAGTTCTTCAAAAAGATAAACAAAATTGATAAACCACTAGGCAGGCTAACCAAGAGAGAAGATCCAAGTAAACAAAATCAAGATGAAAAAGGAGACATTATAACTGATACCACAGAAATACGAAAGGTCATCAGAGACTATTCTGAAAAACTATACGGTGACAAACTGGGAAACCTAGAGAAAATGGACAAATTTCTGGACACATACAACCTATCAAGACTGAGTCAGGAAGAAATAAAAAACACAAACAGATGAAAAGTGAGTAGTAAGATTGAATCAATCATAAAATATCTCCCCAAAAAGAAAAGCTCAGAATTAGATGGTTTAATGGCCAAATCTACCAAACTTACAAAGAAGAGCTAATATCATTTCCGCTGAAACCATTTTTAAAAAGGTAAGTGGAGGAAATTCTCCGTAATTCATTGTATTAGGCTAGCATCACCCTGATAGTAAAACCAAAAAAGGACCCAACCACAACCACAACAACAAAAACCCTGAAAACTATGGGCCAAAATCCTTGATGAACATAGATGCAAAGTTTCCCCACAAAATACTAGCAAACTAACTCCAACAGCACATCAAAAAGATATTACACCAGGATCAAGGGGGATTTTTTAAAAAATTTAAAAATCAACAAAAACCATATGATCTTTTCAATAAAGACAAAGTATTTGGTAAAATTCAGCATACCTTCATGATAAAAACTCTCAACAAACTAGGCATAGAAGAAACATACCTCAAAATTATAAAGGACATATACAACACACCCATGACTAACATCATGCTGAATGGAGAAAAGCTGAGACCCTTTTCTCTAAAAACCCGAAAAAGATTTCCCTATAATATCACCACTCCTATTCAACATAGGAAGTCCTAGCCAGAGCAATCAGGAAAGAGAAAGAAGTAAAAGGCTTCCAAATTCGAAAAGAGGAAGTAAAATTGTCCCTATTTGCTGATGATGTGTTCTTATACCTAGAAATACCTCAAGGCTACACCAAGAAACTTTTTATAAATAAATGTAGTAAAGTTGCAGGATATAAAATAAACATACAAAAATCAGTAGCAGTTTTATAAAGCAATAATGATGTAGCTAAGAAAGAAATCAAGAAAGCAATCCCATTACAGTAGCTACAACAATAAACTAAGATAAGAAAAAATAAAATAAAATACCTAGGAATAAATTTATCCAAAAAGGTGAAAGATCTCTACAAGCAAAACTACAAAACACTGACGAAAGAAATTGAAGAGGACACAAATAGAAAAACATCACATGGTCATGAATTGGAAGAATATCATTAAAATGGCTGTATTGCTCAGAGCAACGTGTAGATTCAATGCAATCTCTATCAAAATACAAAGGTTATTCTTCAAAGAATTAAAAGAAAAAAATCCTAAAATGTACATGAATCCAAAAAAGTGCCTGAATAGCCAAAGCAATCTTAAGCAAAAAGCGTAAGTCTGGAGGCAGCACATCACCTGACTTCAAAATGTATCACAAGAGTAGGGGAAAAGATAACCAACTTGTTGCAACCAGGAAGTGCTGCTCCCAATGAGAGGGACCAGGATTTTGATTAAACCAACATAGTTTGAACAGATCTTCAGAGAGAAAATGACAAATTCGTATGGAGAGAAGCTGCAAATGCTGAAACTGAAGAGTGAGAAAGCTGAAAACCCCATTCAGGGTGCTCAAATGCTAGTGCTGGCTCCCAGCCTCAAATAGCTCCTGGGGAATGAGTGAGTAAAGAAACTGGAAGACGGCTCACACTTGCTGGGACCTCTGGAATCTTAGTTGCAGGAGACCGAAACCCACCATGGATGTTTAAGCTGGCAAGGGGATCTTCCTGGAGATTTGACAGAGATGGAGCTTCAACAGGTGTGGAGCTGGGGGCCTTTGTTTATGGCACAGCTGTGGTAAAGGCTGGCCATAGGGACTCATTCCCCACGGCCCCCCAGTTCTCTCTGAGAGGCTCTGGCCACTGATAACCACAGGACCAGGAGAATCAGGGACAATTTCCCAATGGGACTGGGGAATCCCTGTCCTGTGGGCCCATCTACCCACCAGCCCCTCCCAGGGCTCCTGCTGGGCTACCCCAATAGCAGTGTGTACTCAGTGCAGCCTCTGCTGCCCAGCCAGGGTGCTTTGCTACACCTGAGTGAATTCCAGCAGGCTGGGAGACAATTCAGTTCACCCAGGGCACAGGGAACCCAACCCCAATGGTCCAGAGGAGGGAGGCATGAGCAGGTGTTGGTACCCCAGGACTTGGAAATGCTAAGCCAGGATATATGCCTGGCACATGAGCTGGGGAGGAGCCCACACTCTCAGAAAACTGAGAGAGGTGAGTCACAGAGGTTCACAGGCTGTTGGGAGAACTAGGCATGCCTTGCTACACAAGGCTAGTCTGGTAAACATGGGGCATATGTCACTTCCAGATCTCTGCTGAAGGGAGCCCTGCAGCCTAAAACACCTAACAACAACAACAAAATCATGGACACAATACCAATGATTGGAAGTGACTTCCCCAAGGCCCAGGAATGAACCTATTGAGGACTCACTACTTTCCCCCTGGCACCACAGAGCACAGCTGCAAATAAATCCAAGGATACACAAAAGAGCCAAGTGGCTGAGTAAGAGCTTATTTACCACCCATTGCTCTTAAGCACCATCTATTGGACCACATCCTAAACAACAATACCAAACACACACACACACACACACACACACACACACACACACACACACAAAACAGACAAAAAAACATTGCTAATTCTCTCTCCTGCAAGGCCAAGGTCAAAAATTCTACAAGAAACACCCTGTACAGAGCCTAAGTCCTCTGAAAACTTTCAGAAATGAAACCAACTGACTATATTCAATTTAAACCACAGCTAAAGGAACACTGACACTACCAGATGAGAAAAAAAAAATAGTGCAAGAACTCTATCAATTCAAAAAGCCAGAGGTTACCCTTACCTCCAAACAAGAATACTAGTCCTCTAGCAATAGTTGTTAACCAATCTGAAATGACTGAAATGACAGACATGGAATTTAGAATCTGGATGGCAAGGAAGCTCATTGAGATCCATGAGAAAGTAGAAATTCAATCCAAGAAAGCCAAGCAATCCAGTAAAACAACTCAAGAGCTGAAAGGTGAAATAGCCATTTTAAGAAAGACTCAAACTGACCTCATCAAGTTGAATAATTCATACAATAATTTCATAATACTATCGAAAGATTAACAGCAGAATAGACCAAGCTGAGGAAATAATCCTAGAGCTCAAAGATTGGTTCTCAGAATCCACTCAGTGAGAAAAAGTAAAGAAAAAAGAACTAAAAAAATGAACAAAACTTCTGAGAAATACTGGATTGTATAAAGAGATGAAATCTACAACTGATTGGCATTCCTAAGAGAGGAGAGAGAATAAGCAACTTAGAAAATATATTTGAGGATATAGTCCATGAAAAGTTCTCCAATTTTGCTAGAGAGGTTGACATGAAAGTTCAAGTAATGCAGAGAACCCCAGCTATATACTATACAAGATGACCATCCCCGAAGCACATAGTTATTAAATTCACTAAGATTAATGCAAAAGAAAAAATCTTAAAGGCAGCTAAAGAGAAAGGTCAGGTTACATACAGAGGGACTCCCATCAGGCTGGCAGCAGAGTTCTCAGCAGAAACCTTACAAGCCAGAAGAGATTCAGAGTTGATTTTCTGCGTCCTTAAAGGAAAGAAATTCTAACCAAGAATTTCATACCCCAATAAACTATGCTTCACAACTGAAGGAGAAATAAAATTCTCCCAGACAAGCAAAAGTTCAGGAAACCTGAATCAACTAGATCTTTCTCACAAGAGATCCTTAAGAGAGTGCTAAATATGGAATTGAAAGAACACCTGTTACCACAAATACTCACACACACAGCCTACAGACACTAAAAAGCAATTACACAACCAGGTTTACATTACAATCAACTAAAAACACAATGGCAGGACTAAAATCTCACAAATCAATACTAATCCTTAATGTAAATGGGCTAAATACACCACTTAAAAGACACAGAATGGAAAGCTGCATAAAAGAAAGACTCAACTGTCTGCTGTCTTCAACAGACCATCTCGCACATAATGACACCCACAGGCTGAAAGTAATCAGTTGGAGAAAGTTCTACCATGCAAATGGAAAACAAAAAAGAGAAGTTGCTATTCTTATATCGCACAAAATAGACATTAAACCTTTAACAATTAAGGAGGACAAAAAAGGACATTGCATAATGATAAAGGGTACAATACAACAAGAAGATATAATTATCCTAAATATATATGTACCCAACATTGAAGCATTCAGATTCATAAAACAAATCCCTCTTAACCTATAAAAATACTTAGAGATTCACACAAGTAAGAGTGGAAGACATAAACAGCCCCACTGACAGCATTAGACAAATCATCAAGGCAGAAAACTAACAAAGAGACTCAGGACTTAAACCCAACATTTGGTCAAATGAACCTGGGAGACATCTACAGAACACTACACCTGACAATGACAGAATACACATTCTTCTCACCTACCCACAGAAAATATTCCAAGATCAACCATATACTAGGTCAGAAAGCAAGTCTTGGTAAGTTCAAAAAAATCAAAATTATACCAAGCGCACTCTCAGATCACAGTGAAATAAAGATAGAAACTAATATCAAGAAGATCTCTGAAAACTACACAAATACATAGAAATTAAACAATTTACTCTTGAATAATTATTGGGTAAAGATTGAAACTAAGATAAAAATCAAAAAATTCTTTGAAATTAATGAAAATAGGGACACAACTTACCAAAATCATTGTATACAGCAAAAGCTGTGTTAAGATGAAAGCTTATAGCCCTAAATACCTTCATCAAGAAGTTAGAAAGATCTCAAATTAATACTTCAACTTTGCACCTAGAAAGAAAAAGAACAAACCACCCCAAAGCTAGCAGAAGAAAAGAGAGCTAAAATTAGAGAACTGAATGGAATTGAAATGCAAAAACCCATACAACAAAAGCAATAAAACACAAAAGTTGTTTATTTAAAATAATAAATTGATAACCCCTAGCTAGATTAACAAAGGAAAAGGAAGAGAAGACCCAAATAAGCACAATCAGAAATAATAAAATCAGTCTTACAACTGATCCCACTGAAATACAAAGATCCTCAGAGACTATTATGAAGAATGCTTTCCACACAAATTAGAAAATCTAGATAAAATAGGTAAATTTCTGGAAGCACACAGTATCCCAAGATAGAATCAGGGAGAGATTAAAACCTTAAATACACCAATATCAACACCTAAAATTGAATCAGTAATAAAGAATCTATCAACCGAAAAATGCCCTGGACCAGATGGATTCACAGCAAAATTCTACCAGACCTACAAAGAAGAACTAATACCAATCCTACTGAAAGTATTCCAAAACATTGAGGAGGAAGGGCTCCTCCCTAACGCATTTTATGAAGCTAACTTCCATCTGATACCAAAATCTGGCAGAGATACAATGAAAAAAGAAAATTTTAGGCCAATATCTTTAGTGAACATAGACACCAAAATTATCAACAAAATATTAGCAATCCAAATTCAGCACCACATTAAAAAGTTAATATATCACAATCAAGTAGGCTTTATTCCAGGGATGCAAGGTTGGTTCAACATATGCGATTCAATAAATGTGATTTAGCATATAAACAGATTCAAAAGCAAAAATCATATGACAATCTTAATAGATGCAGAAAAAAGCGTTCAACAAAATCCAACATCTCTTTGTGATAAAAACTCTCAATAGACTAGTCATTGAAGGAACATAACTCAAAATAGTAAGAGCCATCTATGACAAACCTACAGCCAACATTATACTGAATGGACCAAAGCTCGAACCACTCCCCTTGAGAACTGGAACAAGACAAGGGGATGCCCCCTGTCAACATTCCTATTTGTCATAGTAATGAAAGTCCTAGCAAGGGCAATCAGGCAAGAGAAAGAAATAAAAGCATCCAAACAGGAAAAAAGAAGCCAAAGTATCTGTCTTTACTGATGATATGATTCTATACCTGGAAAATCCTAAAGACTCTGTCAAAAGTTTCCTAGAACTGATAAATAACATGTTTCAAAATACAAAACCAACTTACAAAAATCAGTAATATTCCTGTACACCAATTACATCCAGGCTGAGAGGCAAATTAAGAACACAATCCCACTTTCAGTAGCCATAAACAAAATGAAATACCTAGAAATACAGCAAAGAAGGTGAAAGATCTCTACAAGGAGAACTAAAAAACACTGTTGAAAAAAATCAGAGATAACACAAATAATTTGAAAAACATTCCACGCTCATGAATTAGAAGTATTAATATCTTAAAAATGACCATACTACACAAAGCAATCTACAGATTCAACACTATTTCTATCAAACTACCATCTTTCTTCACATAATTAGAAAGAACTATTCTAAAATGTATATGGAACCAAAAAACAGTTTGAATAGAAAAAGCAATCTTAAGCAAAAGGAACAAAGCCAAAGGCATCACATTACCTGACTTCAAACTATACTATAACGCTCAAGCAACCCAGAGAGCATGGTGCTAGTACAAAAACAGTCACATAGACCAATGAAACAGAATAGAAAACTCAGAGATAAAACTACAAGCCTATCATGTGAACTTCAACAAGGCCAACAAAAACAAGCAATGGGGAAAGGACTCTCCATTCGGTAAATGATGCTGGGATAACTGGCTAGCAACATGCAGAAGATTGAAGCTTGACTCCTCTCATTCACCGTATACAAAAATTAATTAAAAATAGATCAAAGATTTGAATGTAAGACCTCAAACTAAAAATCCCGGAAGACAACCTAGGAAATTATCTTCTTGGCATCAGCCCTGCCAAAGAATTATTGGCTAACTCCGCAAAAACAATTGCGGCAAAACCAAAAATTGACAAGTGGGACCTAATTAAACTAAAGAGCTTCTGCACAGCAAAAGCAACTATCAATAAACAGACAATTTACAGAATGGGAAAAGATATTCACAAACTATGCATCTGACAAAGGCTCAATATCCAGAATCTAAAGGAAACTTATATAAACCTACAAGCAAAAACCAAATAACCACATTAAAAAATGAGCAAAGGACATGAACAGACACTTCTCAAAAGACATACAAGCAGCCAACAAACATGAACAAATGCAGGCTGAAATACTACCTATCAAGTGCTATGCTCACTCCCGGGGTGACAGGATTCATACCCCCAAACCTCAGCATCATAAAATGTTTCCATGTAAAAAACCATGTAGAAAACCTTTTTTTCTAAAATAAAAGTTGACATTTTATAGAAATAAATTTATAAATATTTGTATGTATACTACAAGGCTATAGTATACAAAACAGTATGGTTTGGATATAAAAAGAGACACATAGATCAACGTAAAAGAATAGAGAACCCATAAATAAAGACGCTAACTTACAGCCAACAAATCTTTGACAAAGCTGACAAGAACTTACAATGGGGAAAGAAAATATTCCATAAGTGGTGCTGAGGAAATTGTATATCCATATGCAGAAGAATGACATTAAACCCCATCTCTCGCCACATACTAAAATCAACTAAAAATGGATTAGACTTACACATAAGACCTGAAACCATAACAATGATAGAAGAAAACCTAGGGAAAATTCTGCTGGACACTGGTATAGGCAAATAATTTGTGACTAATACCCTAAAAGCACAGGCAACAAAAAGAGAAATAGACAAATGGGAATTAAAAAAAACAAAACAAAACAAAAAAAAACAAAACAGCTTCCACACAGGAAAATAATCAACAGAGTAAAGAGACAACTTGTTGAATGGGAGAAAATATTTGCTCACTATGTATCCAAGAGGGAATAAATATCCAAAATATACAAGGAACACCACAACAGGAAAAAAAAGCCAAATAACCCCATTAAAAAGTGGGCAAAAGACAGAATATGAACAGGCAGTTCTCTAAAGACATACAAATGAGCAACAGAAATATGAAAAATGCTTAACATGACTAATCATCTGAGAAATGCAAATAAAAACCACAACATGACATTATCTTACCCAGGTCAGAATGGCTATTATTAAAAGGATAAAAAATTATTGATGTTGCCAAGAATGAATAGAAAAGGGAATTATTATACACTGTTTTTGGAAATGTAAACTAGTACTGCCACAATAAAAAAGCATAATGATTTCAAAAAAACAAAAAAACCTCAAGACAGAATGACCATTTGATCTAGGATTCCCACTACCAGCTATCTACCAAAAGGAAAAGGAAAATAAATCATTATATCAAAGAGAGACCTGCACTTACATGTTTATTGCAGTACTATTCACAATCACAAAGATATGGAATCTACATAAATGTCCATTAATGGATGAATGAACAAAGAATGGAATACTATTCATCAACAAAAAATAATGAAATTATGTCATTTGCAGTACATGGGTGGAATTAGAGAACATTATCTTTTTTCTTTTTTGAGACAGAGTCTTGCTCTGTCACCCAGGCTGGAGTGCAGTGGTGTGATCACAGCTTACTGCAGTCTTAACCTCCTGAGCTCAATTGATCCTCCCACCTCAGCCTCCTGAGTAGCTGGGACTACAGGCACATGATATTACATCTGGCTAATTTTTGCATTTCTTTTGTAGAGATGAGGTTTTGCCATGTTGCCCAGGTTGATCATAAACTTTTGGGCTCAAGTGATCTGCCCATTTTGGCCGCCCAAATGGCTGTGATTTACAGGTGTGAGCCATTGTGCCCAGCTGAGAAAATTATCTTAAGTGAAATAACCAAGGCACAAGAAGACAAATATTGCAGTCCTCTCTTATACATGTGAGCTAAAAACTTGGATCACATGGAGGTAGAGTGTGGAAAAACATAACAGAGACGGGAAGGGTGAGTAGGTATGAGAGGGGAAGGTGAAGAGAAATGGGTTAAAAGGTATAAGCATACATTAAGATAGAAAGAATAAATTCAATGTTTCAAAGCATAGAACGGCGATTAATAAAAATTTATTGTACTTGGGAAATGGGTACCCTAAATACCTCACTTGATCACTATGCATTATATATGCATTATATATGTAACAAAATTTCACATGGTCCTCATACATGTGTACAACTCGAGATAAGTAAATAAATAAATATATGTGTATGAGAGAGAAAATCATAAAAATAAATGTAAATATTTGTACTTACAAGTATTAAAACTCTACTAAATGGCACATGTTCACAGAGAAAACATAATGAGAATTCAAGTCTCTCACAGCTATCTAGCACAGTACATTGCAATAGAATTTAATAATGATATAACAAGGTCTTGGGAAGTGCTTATAGCCTGTTCCATGTTTTGACTTTGGCAGTGGGAATCACCCATCATGCTGCTGTTGATTGGCTCTCCTTTTTGTTTGGTTTTTCATGGCGCTCCTTAATTTCTACATTTTTTAAAGAAATTTTTCTTGATATATTAACTCTTTCATCTGAATTTCTAAAATTTTGTCTTTTACTACTTTTAGTCCTTAGTTTCTAGCATTTATTAATTATATGAGGTTTTTTGTTTGTTTGTTTGTTTGTTTGTTTTCCCTTCCTTGATTTGGACTCATTGAGATCAGGGCTATGTCTTATACCTTCTCTTAATCATCAACAATTGTGAGCAACAATTTTGAAATAAGCATGAAAATTAAAAGATTTGATTCCTTATTAGGATTGCAAAGTTTGTGACAAAGTTGCTATTTTGGATGTAAAGGGAAAAATAGACAAATGCCAACATCCTTTTTCTGCATTATCTGCTCTAATAACACTTCGAAAGGTAATCATTGAGTCTTTTTTAGGTCTGGGGCACAATTAAGTCAGGACTTTTTGATATAATCATGTTTCTTATCTCATAAGATGTCACACAGTGTGAAAATCCAAAATAGACTTGGTTTCATGCACGAGTCAAAATTTGAGATTAATTTTGCAGGCCTCTAGTACATCTAAAATACAAATTTAGTACACAAGTAACCTTGGAAACTGGATTAAAGATCATGTGTTAGTAAAACAAGATTAACCTATTTTCACTTTATCAGAGATTTTCTACACTATCCAATAGTTATTTTTAATTGAATGTAGCTATTAGGCAATTGAATGTGTCACAGAAATCCTACAAACGTGCAAGTTTTTCCCAAATCTTACCAAGCAGAGCTTGATAAATAGAAAAAGACTGGGAAGTTGGCTAATAAAAATCCCCATACTTTAAAATGAGTAGCTGACAAGAAATCCAAGCAGCAATGGCAATAACTATGTGAAATAATTTTTTCTGGCTCTGCTGTAAATGCTGTAGTTCACTATTAAAATAAAAGTATTTTTCTGGAGACTAGTTCAAGGAAAAAAGAAACTTGTGCTAAGGGGAACATTTAGTATTAGGACGAATGGTGTGCCTTATGTTAGCAATTTATATCTGCAGGTCTTCTAAAAGAAATAAAACAGTTCAAACTATAATGTTCTGAAATGTAGAAGAGTAGTTCAGTGGTAGTTCAAGTTCTTTTGACCTCACTGGAGACATCCCAGAATCTGACAGTAAACTTGGTGGCTTCGAAGGGAAGTGATCTGGAGGTAGTAATGAATGGTAATGAATGACAAAATTTAAGAAATTCTTCCGTATGTAGATTTTAATCTTCATGTATGTTTTGGATCTGGTGCTAATTTTCATTTACTAAAAACATGAAACATAGTACATATGGTAATTTTAACATATAGTGATATACAAGTTACTAGAAAGTAATGGAGAGATAATTTCTAGAAACTACATTTAGACTTACTGAGTTCTTAATTATGGTAGTCATCAAGAGGTTTTTGTTGTTGTTGTTGTTGTTGTTTTGGTATTTTTGTTGTTGTTGTTTGAGACAGGACCTCACTCCCATTGTCCAGGGTGGAGTGCAGTGGCGTGATCACAGCTCACTGCAGTCTTGACTTCCTAGGTTCAGGTGACTTCCTCACCTCAGCCTCCCAGGTACCTGGAACTACAGGGGTGCACCATGATGCGTGGCTAAGTTTTTCAGTTTTTAGTAGAGATGAGGTTTCTCCATGTTTCCCAGACTGATCTGGAACTCCTGGGCTCAAGCAATCCACCGCCTGGGCCTCCCAAAGTGCTGGGATTACAGGTGTGAGCCACTGCTCCCAGCCTCAAGGGATTTGTTTAATGAAATTAATATGTACCTTAATATATAAATCATATATAGATGGATTTAGTATATTATAAAACATATTAAAAATAATTTAAAAGTTAATTTTATTATATAAACTAAATAAACTAAAAGTTAATTTTTATAGTATGTCTTTTTTCTCACAGACTTTTAAAATATGCAGGTAGTTTCCAAAATAGAATTGAGGAATTTGGGTTGTACTGAGCTAAAACTGGGAGAGATGATCTATAAGCTATCTATTATTTTACAATGGAAAATTGTGTCTGACGCTAATAAAATAATTTATTTAGGATTCTCTTTACAGTCTTTCCCTGTCTCCACGTTTGTTGTAATTTGAAATATTGAAAGCTGAGGGTAAAAATTGAAGGAGGTTTGCTAATGTCAGTATGTGGCAACAACAAGCAGATTATGGGCCCGGTTAGTAATTCTGGAAGTAGAGTTTTGAATGCTCTTCAAGTTTGATTACCCAGCAGTTAGTGGGAGATGCCATAAATTGGGCATAGAAAACAGCTGAGAGTAGGAAAAGGGAAGATTAGGACCTGGGGAAACAGCCAAGCTGGCCATAGATAAAAAAAGGGAAGCTGATCTTATTGATTTGGCTGAACAGCATTACTCTCCCCAAACATCATTTATCTTTTAACAAACATGTATTTGTGCTTTTTCTTGCATCTCAGCTTAAATCATAAAAAGAGAATGGCAACTTATAAACCCAGGGCTGGTGTGTAATATTTATTGAGCATGGATGTGAAGAATATTTTACTGGGTGTGCAGTATCCGAGGTTTAACTAGAAAGCAAGGGGGTTCTTGGGAGCAATGAATGAGCCTGACATTCATACTAGGAAATTTAAATTCCCATCTGGTCAAAGGGCAGATTTTTTAAGCTCTCTTGCATGTGGTTTTCTGCTGGCCACTTGAGTAAAGATTTACTTAGAGACTGAGGTCGTAATAAGTTTGGATGGAAAACATCAGTGGATCCAGCTGTGCAAAGGTAAGAAGAAGGAACTGACAATAATTTTGCCTCTGTTATCAACCTCAATAAATCACACAGGGTATAAGCGTTTGTTATTTTTAGATAGATAACCAGGGACAACCAGAAATAATAAGGAGGTAGCAATAGAACGGAGTTCCTGAAATAGAAGGTAGAAAATAAAAAAAAAAAAAAAAGGTATAGATGCTAATGTGGCCCTATTTAAAATGCTGTGCTACTGGGGAAAAAGTAATTAGGACTTACACAAATTCAGTCAAAGAATCTCAAGAGAGTTTGGACTCCAGGAAAAAGAAATACCTAACTTCATCTAGGTAAGTAAAGGAGTTTTACTAGGGATAATATTTGAAGTACTAAATAGTTGAGAAATGGGAAGAGACTCCCTAACAGAAAAATAGCAAGTGAAAAGAAAAATATGTGGAGACGTAAGAGAGCATGGCCAATTCTGAAATTGGAAGATTCAATACAGGTTAGAATTTAGAAGCGTAGGTATGATGTTCATGGAAGGAAAATGTAATGGAAAAGATTGGATCATGGAGGACTTTGCATGTCGTGGTAAGGCACATAGAACTAATTTTGTAAAGAAGGGCTATATATAGGATTGTTTTAGTAGATATATCATCTAATTGTGTTTGCATTTGGTAATAAGGTTGGTTCTAAACCTGGAGCCCAATTAGGGAGTAATTATAAAAATTCAGGTGGGAAATAATAAGGATTTGAGCTAAGATATTAATAGTTAAGATTAATCTTAGTGACTACTTAATGACTTAATATAAATGATGATGACAAACTAAGGCAATGATTATAAAAATTTAAAGGAAGAAAGACAATGAATTAGATAAGGTGATCCATTGGATGGAGCTGAGGAAGGTGTCTAACATTCATCCACTTTAATGGCTTGGGTAAGTGTTGATGAAAATAACCAGATTTTTAGGTACAAAAAGATATTTGTTTTCTTTTAATATATGAGTTTGGATTTTTAAAATAGGTCTTATTTGGAAAAACATATTTGAGGTTCAATAACATATAACTGAGTAAAAGGTTTAAAAAGACATTTTTGACATTTTTCATACTTTATTTTTTAGGTTCTAAGTATAAACTCTTTGTATTGTGTGTGTGTGTTTATAATTAGTGCTCATCTAAGATTTAATTTTTTGAGTGTTGGAGAAAGAATCACATAAAAAAAGAGGTTTATTTATAAGGTTGGTATTCCCTCCGGAATGAAAGAGAAGACATGTTTTCCATTTCTTCAAGGACTTGATATTACTAGGGATAATGGTAGCTGTGAAATCTCCAAGGGAGAGATGAGATTCTGAAAATCAAATACATTACTTTCAATTTGCATTATTCCCATGAGGTGATCCCTACAGTGCCTGATGCAAAGGAGTATGGTAAGAACTTGCAGCTGCTTTTAGGAATCTACCAGCAGGAAGCCCTCAGCAGCTATTTGTAGGCTACTGTCTGCAATGCTTTAAATCTCTACCACCTCCTTAGGAAAGCATTTCCAAAAACTCAAGAGAAGCTGGGCTTCCCCCAACCTCCTGCAGCACTCCTTATATTCTCCTGTCAGTAATTATCTCAATGGGACCCAGTTTTCTGATTGTATGTCTAGTCTCTGTCCTCTGTCTGGCTCAGAGCTCTTCCTTGTTGGGGACACTCTTATTGCCTTCACAATTTCTAGCTTCCAGTAGAGTGTCTAGCAAATATATTAGGTTCTTCTTAAAATTTGTTTGATTTGTGAATGGAGAGTGAAACTCCATGAAAGAATAGCCAGAATCCCATCTACTTTTGAGGAGAGAAATAACACTTCTCAGAGGGTCAGACTGGCTTTAATTTCCAGCATTGCCAGAAACACCCCAGCGCTCTTCAAACTTCACTTTTCTCACTCAATAAAGGTAAAATAACCTGCTTTTCCAAAAAAACAAACAAACAAAAAAACACACTTACTCTGATGTTTAATTAAACTCGTGTCTGCAGCACATGTGGTTGTGAAAGTTGTTAGAATCAAAATGGAGTCACTTGTGTCAAATCCTGACAAGTAGAGCCAAGGAAAGTTGTGATGGGAGGGTTTTCATGCATATATGCCTGATAAGAACTATCACAAAAGACTATGCAAAAACCACAATCTTGCACAAAGGCCACTGCAACCTTACACAGAAAATACTTCTGCAAGGATGCCTGTCTAGCAGCTAACTGTCCTATCTTGGACTGAGGCCACCCTTGCTATTGATTCTGGTAGCCAAGGATAATTGATTCAGAACAACTTACGTAATCTTCCTCGTGTTGCCTTTAAAAGCTTTCAATTGCCTCAACCTCTTTGAACACACACATAATTTACTATGGCACATGTATTCCCATTGCAATACCACTCTCAAATAAATTTCATTTTAAGACAGTCTCCTGTTATTTAGTTCGATATGGGAAATAGTAACAACGCAACAAAATCTAATTCCTTTTTGTTTTCCTATTCTGCTCTTTACCAGAATCTCAACTTCAGTTCCACACATGAATTCATAGTGCCCCAGATACATGTGTTTCTAGGTATGGTACGTGGGATAGTATGGTACTTGAAAATTTGTTTTTACACCTTTTAGTGCTTTCTCCTTTGTCCTTGTTGACATATGCATAATCTCTAACCAGAATAAACATAATAAAAATAAGTTGTAATGAACTCTAACATGATGACTTCTATAAGTGGCTCATGTGACAATGAATCTGACACTATATATAAATTGAGAAATTATAAGAAATAAAAAGGATGAGAAATTCATTAAATACAATATTTACACATTAACTATGGCATGCTCTAAAACCTTCCAAGACTTTAATATTATTATACTGTTACATGAATCTTTGTTAAATGCCTACCAGAAACCCACATTATCACTTTATTATATTTTTTGTTTGCCTTGATTTCTTAAATGACAATTAGTCAAAATCTAATGTATTAAAGGAGTGACATGAACATGCAGCCTTAGAATATTCCCTTATTACCAAGCAGCCTCTGAAGGCCAATTACTTCGTTCTTATGTTAGCCTTCTACTTCCTCACTGTGAATCCTTGGGCACTTAACCTAGCTTCAATTTTCCCAGACATTAAATATATAGCATAATTCTTTATAGAGTCTGTGTTACAAGTAACTAAGATAACAGACGTAAGGAGTGCCTGGCACATAGACGATGCCTAATAATTAATATACTTCTATCATCTCAAATATAATATTGAATTCTACATATACTTAGTGCCTTGCTTTTTTATAAGTTTTTGTATTATGAATGTGTCTTCATGTTAATATTGTTCTACAATATAATTCTAAATTCTGCATGTTATTTAACACTACACACCATAATTTAACTAACCAATATCCTGCTATTGAGCATTTAGTTTTTTCCATTTTATGAGTCATATCTACCTATCTATACAAAGCACTTTCATGAACATCTTTTTACAGACATTTTTGCACACATCCCTCATAATTTGCTTAGAATATATGTTTAGCATATGAGTTAGTAGGGAAAAGGTATGAATATTGTCAGGATATTTGCTGTCTCAACAGGAGTTTCTCTTTCCTTATTTTTTTCTGTAAAGCACCAGATACCCTTGAGCATATGCTGCTACTATTTTGAATTAGATTAAATCACACTCATTTTTAGTTGATTATTGCTGCATATTGAACATCTGTTGCATTCATGTTTTATCCAGACACCTTATTGACCTCTGTTATTATTACTGTTACAAAATACAATCATCGGTTGCCCAATTCTGACAATGTGACAAACATAACTTGAATATCCTTCAGACATAAACACTATAAACACTTAGAAATGCTGTATGAGTGTTTTTTTAAGTTAATGAGTATAAGAACAACTTGCAAAAAAACAAAGAAAAATTCTCAGGTACCAGAAATAAAGAACTTAAAATGACTGCAATTGCATTAGAATGGAGTTTGAGGGGATTCCTGATCCTGGCAATGTAGGCCTGAGTTTTAATATCCAGGCAGGTAAAATAATAATAATAATAATAATACCTTCAAACTGAGTGAATTGTGGAGTTGGAATTAAGGCCCTTATATGTGTTTGGGACTATCAGAAAGCCTGCATGCATCTTATTTGAACAAATGATATTGAAAATTTTTACTTACCTACACTCGGAGACTGTGTTATTGTAGAGAAAATATTTTGATATCTGCATGGTTAAGGCCTTCTGAACAGAGAAACCTAAAACATGGTTAAAGGGCAGGCCTTGGAATTTAAAACATGATTTCCATCTCTCTGGAGGAGAAAGTTTTCTCCCCGGAGGCATTATTGCTAAGGAGAATGATACCTGGAGCTATCATTTAAATTCCAAAGGATTTACTTACAATAGACAAAGAGGGTTTCCCCCCTCCTTTTCTTGGAGAGGACGAAGAAGTTCTATGACATGTGTCTTATATAAACTCCCAAATTTATATTTCAAGATTCCTCAACCCTACTGCATAACTCAAGAAAAAGGAAGAATTGAAACTGATGCAGTTATTTCTCTAATAAAGATAATCTGTTTGAAGAAACTTTGTTCAATCTCAGATACAAATATAAATATTAAAAAATTATGAGAGATGACAAAAATGTTGCATATATTTGCTTGAGCTCTTGATGTAGAAAAGTCTTCTATGAGAATTTAAAACCTCTAGCATATAACTTAACGAAATTTGGTGTTCCAGTTCATGCAACCTGAGTGGACCTGGAACTTTTAATCTGAGAAATTGATATAGATAGTGATATTAAACCAAACCGATCATGTAAGCATTGATTTGCAGAAAGCAATAAAAATCACTCTAGAGAGATCATCCTGAGGCACAAGGAATTCTAAAACAAAGAAATAAAAGCCCTATAAATGTGAATTTATCATCAGAATTTACACAGTACACAAGAAAGTAATAAACTGGTATAGTAAGCAAATCTTAAACATCAATAATTGAAAGGATCAATATCAGGTAATGAAAAAATAATCTAAAATATAATAAAAATATCTTTTTACAATGGTTAAGAAACTAAGTGTTGGAATCTTGTTTTTTTTTTAAATAAAAGAGTGGTTAGATTTTTAAAAGAGCTAAACCATATCTACATATTTTAAAGATTATAAAGAAACCCAAAAAGCCAGTAGATGAGTTCTACAGTAGATTGGACATTTACATGGATAGAACTCATCAAATCCAAGTTAGATATGAAGAAATTGTAAAGAATGGAGCAGTAAAAATGCTACAAAATAAAAGACAAAGTGAAAAGATCCTACCTGTGAATAATAGGATTTAGAGAAATAGATAAAGAAATTGGGGAAAAGAAGCAATAGAATTTGTACTTGCTGAGAATTTTCCTAAATTGGTGAAAAGTTTTTTAAAAAATCTTAAGCAAAATAATTAAAAATAAATCTCAACTTAGATACATAACAATGAACCTGAAGGACCAAGCCCAATCTTAAAAGCAACCAGAGAATTACTTACAAACCATAAAAACTTGTTGGATATAAATCTACATACAGTGAAAGAAACCCTGATGCTGGGAGGAGGAAAACCGAGGTCAATGAACGGGACACCGAGACCTTTATGGGGTGATGGAAATTCCTATACCTTGATTATCAAAACCCATTAAACAGTATGTATATTATTTACATTAACAAATTGACTCCCAATAACAACATGAATGAATCTCAAAATGTAATGTATAAATGACTCTACCTAAAAAAAAAAGCAAATGTAGTTAAGTTATAAAAAATGCAAACCATATTATCTGTTGTTAAGATACACATATATGTTGGAAAATACAAAACCATGGATAAGAAATACTCAAATCAATTTCAAGATAGTAATACTAATTTGGAAGTAGGGGAAGGGAAAGTGTCCACATAATTTAGGGGTGGAGCTTTAGTTTTACCTGTAATTTTTCATTCATATTTTTATAGATAAGAAATAAGATGACTACATGGCAAAATTTTATAACTATTACATTTTGGTAGTCCATATAATGGAGTTGTATTATCATCAACATATTTTGAATATTTTGTAATTAAAATTTTAAAAACAAAGTAACATTATCTGCAAATAGTGTCACTTTTGACTATTTTAGAATATTCAGAGTTTCTAATTACTGTCTCATTGCAAACCCCGAAACAGTCCTAAAGTCCTAAATAAAGTTGTGCTATTCATGTCCTGTTTTCTAGTTGTAATGAGAATGCTTCTGGTGTTTCCTAGTCCATATGATAGCTCAGCATATTTCTGGCTATTATAATTATTACATATACATTTATTTTTATTTTGGTATTAAGAAAAATTATCCTTATAGTATATTAATCAATGAGATTTGTTAAAATTTTTTGGTAATAAATACTGAATCCTATCAATTGCTCTTCTGTCATGTAAACGTTATAAACAATATAGTGTAGTTTCTAGATCAGAGGCAGACTTCCCTCACTGAAGCTTCATTCAGCTTCACCACACGACTGAGCAATTTACTTGCTCTATGCCTCAGTTTGCTTACATACTTTTTCTACCCACTTCACTGGTAGATGTGGGAATTAACTAGATTAAGCGTCTAGTACAGTGCCTGATAAATAGTAAGCAATGAATAAAATCCTAGCTATTGTTACTTTATATGTATTTTTCCTCCACTTACTGATGATGAAGAGTCATTCAGATAATGTTTATTGAGCAATTGATATAAAATACATACTATTATAGTCACTGGGGATGAAATAATATACAAAGGCAAAATCTCTCTTCTCTCATATAATTTACATAATAAATTCTGTTGGTGTATTTCTTATTATTAGACTCTTTTCCCACTCCCAGAATGAATCTCACTAGTTTATATGTAAGCTTTTTTGGTTAACATAGTTAGTATTTTTGACTCTGTATGCAAAACCAACATTAATTTCCTTGTGTGTCTGTTCTTTCTCAGGTTATATAAGTTTTATAAAATGATTTTAGAGACTCTTAAGATTTTTTAAATCCCTAAGCAGTTAAAATAGAACATAAATGAATTTTCCTAAAACCTAGTATGAAAACTATTTGCATGAGATTACTCTTTTCTGCTTAGTTCTTTGACAACTCTTTCAGTTTCTTGCATTATTATTTAGCTATTACTATTGTACTTAAATTATCCTAACTGTTCGTGAACAATATTTTAAAATTGTAAGTTCCTTCAAAATAGTATAGTTTATTATGGTTTTCAAATTAGCACATTAGAATTATGTTTTAAAAATCACATCTATATCAGTGTTAATATATTCTTTTTTCATACATAATATTTTAAAATTTTGTCTTCCTTCTTGGTGGTGAGTGAACTTATCTGAGTTTGTCTATTTTATTATTTTTTAAATAAATTTGTCTTCCCTTTATCAATTCTCCTTTTTCTATAATTGAATAAACTACATGCTAATTTTATCTTTATCATCAATTACATCCTCCAACATTTATTCCATTTAGCTTATTATACTTTCTTCTTATTACGTTTTCTTGTTTAAATTTTTTGGCTATTAGTTGACATTACACCTTTGCTAATGTGATGTTACTTTTAATAAATGTTATTATTATTAATAATAGTTTGTAATTACTTTGAAATGGCAATTTGCAGTTTTAATTCTTTGCTATAAAAAGACATATTTTACTAACTTCAAAATGATTAGAATCTCTAACTCAGTTATTATTGATTCAAAAAAATCTACCAGTTTCTGAGTAAATCCATTGCCTGGAAGATAATATATACTCAATAAATAATTTTTGCAGTTAAATTAAACCTCTACTAATTGAAGCTGAAGGATATGGTTGATAGAATTGCTAAATTGTGAATGTACTGTAACTTTTCTGGTGCCTAAAATATTATCAAAGCTTATTTTTATTCCAAGGATATATGTAAACCAAAAACATATTCATTAAAGTGCAAATGTTTGATGTAAAATAGGTTTATATATGCTATAGTGTATCTATAGGCATATATGTATATTAGATACAAATATAATTAAATGTTTTTATTATCTTGAACAACGTTTTCATTGAACAATCATCTATATCTCGATATAGCTATCATCAATGTGTGTGTGTGTGTGTGTGTGTGTTTATGTTTGCCTGCTTAGGTAGTCAAAGCCTTAAACACTCATGTAACACTCTGATGTCATGGTGTGTCAAATGGTCTTTCATATTGCAGCAATTTTTGATTTATTTCAATTCACTTTTGAGGGTATACATATGTGGAAGACATTTATAACTTTATTTTTAATTTTATATTTTATAAACAGAACTATATAAAATATTTGTTTACATATGTTTAATATGTAAGGGGAATATATATTTATAAATACATGACTATAAAGATCCTTTTAATCTAGTTATAGATTGTTTATCTTAAAGTATTATATTAGGCCCTTCTTGTATGGTTATGAAGAAATATCAGAGACTGAGTACTTTCTAAAGAAAAGAGGTTTAATTGGCTCACAGTTCTTCAGGCTATATAAACATGGCACTGACATCACTCTGCTACTGGGGAAGCCTCAGAAAGCTTTTACTCATGGCATAAGGTGAAGTGGGAGTAGGTACAGTACATATTTAAAGCAGGGGCCAGAGAGCGGGTGCAAGGAGTAGGTGCCACACTTTTAAATGAACAGATCTCCAGAGAACTCACTACATCTAAGACAGCACCAAGCCATGAGGGAACCGGCCCCATGTCCCAAACACTTCCCATCAGGCCCCACTTCCAACATTGAGGATTACAATTCAACATGAAGTTTGGGCAAATATCCAAACTATATCAAGTATATTTTGTCTGATATTATCATTATTCTTTCCATATTTCCTGTTAATTTCCTTATTTCCTATTAATTTCTATTAATTTCCATATTTCCTATTAATTTCCCATTTTTATTAATTTGCTTATATATGTAATGTGTCTTCATATTTACTTTTTAGAACATTTCTCTACATTATTCTTTCTGTGTGTGATTCTTGATTTTTTTTACAAATATTTCTTTTTATCTTTATGAATTTTTATTTTGCAATTTTTTTTCTATTGAGCTAGAATCTTTCTGAGGAAGATAGAAAATGCAGTAAATCTTCAATTTTTCTCAACAATACTGAATTCCAAATCACTGAAATGATCTGTGATTTCAGATCCCGTTTATTAATTGTTTCATACAGCTTGATATGTTTCTCATTCAAGAATTTCTTAGTATAATTTATTATTTAGGCCGGGCATGGTGGCTCACGCCTGTAATCCCAGCACTTTAGGAGGCCAAGGTGGGCAAATCACTTGAGGTTAGGAGTTCGTGACCAGCCTGAAAAACATGGCAAAATGCCATCTTTAATAAAAATACAAAAATTAGCCGGGCGTGGTGGTGCATGCCTGTAATCCCAGCTACTCAGGAGGCTGCGACAGGAGAATCGCTTGAGCCCAGGAGGTGAAGGTTGCAGTGAGCAAGATCGTGCCACTGCACTCAGCCTGGGTGACAGAGTGACACTCTGTCTCAGAAAAAAAAAATATATATATATATATTATTTAGTAAAAAGTTAACGTTAATTCTTTAAATGCAAACCTTAATTGTATTTTTTCATCAATATTAGCTTTTAATTGAATATGTCTTCCTTATTTTTGGTTTGTGTTTGATTCTTTTAATTTTCTTGATTGGTTGGACTATTTATTTAAGAATTTACTTTCCAGAAAAGGTAGTATGTTTTGTGGTTTATTTGTTTCAACTAATAGCCCATCATATCTTTCTATAAAATTTACATATTAACTATAATTTGACTGAGTGTTAATTTATGCTAAACTATGAAAATATTGAAAATGTTATCTTTCAATATTTAGTATTTGGGAAAGTAAGGCAGAATTAAATGTGTAATTTTTATATTTGTAAGCTATATATTTTTTAATCTGAGTGAATATAAATATTTTTATTTTGAAAATTTAAAAAATAAAATCACATTTTATTTGGTCAGTGTGTCTTTATTTAATATTATCTGGTACTTCAAATGCTCTTTTAAGTTGAAGACACCGATCTTTCCTAGAAAATGCCTTCTAAAATATTTATTTCAATATTTTATTCTTTCCTCTTTATATTTGCTGGTCTCCACTCTTATAAATTTCTATATTTTACAAATAGTATGTCTAATTATCTGTTGCTATGTTGTTTGGTTTAAAAAGTTTATATTATATTATCAATTGTAATTTTTCTAATATAATTTATCAAGTAAGAGATAAAGTTTTAAAAATCATTTTCAGCAAGAATGTTTTAATGAAATATTTTCCCTAAAATTATAAGTCAGTAGTTTATTCTTTGATTTAAGACTACCTATTTTTAATCCTGGTTTCTACCTTCTATGTGAGGAACTTAGATAAGTTACTCTGTCCTTCTAGTACAATGATGTCCTAACCTGATAAACTAGCATAATACTTGTATTTACTTTATTAAGCTATTACATAAATATAATATTTATGAAAGTCTCAGAAATGTGTAATAAATAGCAAACGAATGCCATTTGATTAATACTAGTAAGTTTTATTGCTTAAAAGCACGAATTACAACTTTTGGACTCATTTTCAGGTACTTCCATGTACTCTAACATTTTGCACAAGTTATGTAAACTCTTTTACTTCAGTTTATTCATCAGTAAAATCAAAACAACTGAAATATACCATTTGGTGGTACTTTAAGTAGAAGAAAGTAGTATACACTATATATAACCCATTTAACACATCCAGCATAGAATAATTACTTAAAAAAAAAAATCATTCTTCTTAGAACCCCTAACACATTGTCTGGAACATATTGGCAAATCAAACACTGGCTAAATTAATGAATGAACTTTCTATGTGATTGGATATTTATGTTATTTTCAATTTAACAATGATACAAAATTTCTGTGATTATCCCTCTAGATAGTCACACAAACACCAATATGAATAACTTATTGTTAATTCTAGATGTGAAATTAGTATACAAAATATTGCAATGCATATGTATCTTAATCATCTCCAAAATATTATACCAGTTTGCTTTCTAATTTGCATACCATGGCAGTTCTGAAATCATTGAAGATGATCACTTTTAAAAGTTTGCTGTTATACAATTTGAGAATAACGGTATCTTTTAACAATTCATTTTTTCTGTTAAGCTCAAGCTTTTTTTTCCAAAATGCCTGTTAGTCATCTATATTTCTTTTGTGATTCAATATTTCAGGCCTTGCCTCACTTTTATATTGAGATATTCCATTTTAAATTTTATTTAGAAAATTCTTTTTACAAAGCAAAAATATTAATTCACTGTCTTTCATAAAACTGTAAGCTATTTTTTTCCTATTCTATTAGTTTATTCTTTTGCCATTTCATGTAGTTTGGCTGTGTTCCCACCCAAATCTCAACTTGAATTCTATCTCCCAGAATTCCCATGTGTTGTGGGAGGGACCCAGGGGAAGGTAATTGAAACATGGGGGCCGGCCAGTCTTCCCTGTGCTATTCTCGTGATAGTAAATAAGTCTCACAAGATCTGAAGAGTTTATCAGGGGTTTCCGCTTTTGCTTCTTCCTCATTTTCTCTTGCTGCCACCATGTAAGAAGCACCATTTGACTCCCACCATGATTCTGAGGCCTCCCCAGCCATGTGGAACTTTAAGTCCAATAAAACCTCTTTTTCCTCCCAGTCTTGGGTATGTCTTTATCAGCAGTGTGAAAATGAACTAATACAGTAAATTGACATCAGTAGAGAGAGGAGTTGCTGAAAAGATACCTGAAAATGTGGGAGTGACTTTGGAACTGGATAGCAGGCAGAGATTGGAACAGTTTGGAAGTCTCAAAAGACAGGAAAATATGGGAAAGTTTGCAACCTCCTAGAGACTTGTTGAACGGCTTTGACAAAAATGCTGATAGTGATACCAACAATAAGGTCCAGGCTGAGGTGGTCTCAGATGGAGATGAGGAACTTAGGAACTGGGGCAAAGGTGACTCTTGTTATATTTTAGCAAAAAGACGGCTGGCATTTTGCTCCTGCCCTAGAGATTTATGAGACTTTGAACTTGAGAGAGATGATTTAGGGTATCTGGCAGAAGAAATTTCTAAGCAGCAAAGCATTCTAAAGGTGACTTGGTTGCTGTTAAAAGCATTCCGTTTTAAAAGGGAAACAGAACATAAAAGTTCAGAAAATTTGCAGCATGACAATGCAGTAGAAAAGAAGAACCAATTTTTTGAGAAGAAATTCAAGCAGACTGCAGAAATTTGCATAAGTAGCAAGGAGCCTAATGTTAATCCCCAAGACCGTGGGGAAAATGTCTCCAGGCCATTTCAGAGACCTTCACAGCAGTCCTTCCCATCACAGGCCTGGAAGCCCAGAAGGAAAAAGTGGTTTCATGGGCCGGCCCCAGGGTCCCAGGCTGTGTGCAGCTTAGGGACTTGGTTCTCTGTGTCCCAGCTGCTCCAGCCATGGCTGAAAGGGGACAACAAAGAGCCTGAGCTGTGGCTTCAGAGGGAGGAAGCCCCAAGCCTTGGGAGCTTCCACGTGGTGTTGAGCCCACAGGTGCATAGAAGTCAAGAATTGAGGCTTGGGAACCTCCGCCTAGATTTCAGAAGATATATAGAAACGCCTGGATGCTGGGGCAAAAGTTTGCTGCGGGGGCAGTGCCCTCATGGAGAACCTCTGCTAGGGCAGGGCTGGGGCACTGCCTAGTGGAACTGTGAGAAGAGGGCCACCATCCTCCCTCCTCCAGACCTCCGAATGCTAGATCCACCCACAGCTCGTACTGTGCACCTGGAAAAGCCGCAGACACTCAACGCCAGCCCATGAAAGCTGTCAGGAGTGAGACCGTACCCTGCAAAGCCACAGGGGTGGAGCTGCCTAAGACCATGGGAACCCACCTCTTGCATCAGCGTGACCTGGATGTGAGACCTGGATTCAAAGGAGATCACTTTGGAGATTTAAAATTTGACTGCCCCACTGGATTTTGGACTTGAATGGGCCCTGTAACCCCTTTGTTTTGGCCAGTTTCTCCCATTTGGAATGGCTGTATTTATCCAACGCCTATACCACCATAGTATCTAGGAAGTAACTAGCTTGCTATTGATTTTACAGGGTTATACAATTTCATTCAGCAATGTGTATTGAGTACCTACTATGTGCAAAGCCTTCACCTACATATTAGAATTACAATTGATGTGCAGGACATATATCAGAGTAGTGGAAAGCGAAATTTTCTGACTTATTCATGTGGTGGAGATTGGGTTTCTTCAGACTTGTAATTCCAGGTCTACCTTAATTTTTGTTAATGTCCTTATCAGTTTAGGAGTACCCGTGTCAGGTCACAAGCGCCAAACTTCAAAGCCCCAAAAATCAGATAATGAGTTACCTGTAATTCCCCACTGAGCAGTAAGCATTGCAAACAAAACCCCAAATCTCTACAATTTTTCACAGACTTTGTTATATGTATGTCTCCTGAAGTTAACTAGAACACTGCTGATGCCACAGTCCTGTAGGATAAACTATTGTCTGGATGATTGAATCTTGATACATTGGTAACAGAAAGACGCTTCTCAATTATGATGCAGAGTAATAGTATTAACCAATGGCATTATACTTAGTGGTGAAATAGTATAGGCGTTCTAATTACACTGAGAAACTAGACAAGATCAACTGGTATCACCTCTAAAGCATTTAATAGTGCTTTAGATATTTCAGCTGAAACAAAAGAAAAGAAAAAGAAATGTGAACTATTACAGCCACAACAATCTAATCACTATTTATAGATGAAGTGAGTTTATAGCTAGAAAACTAAAAAGAATCATATGGAAGCAAGTACTTTGTGCAGATAAAAAGTGAATATCAATATTTCCATATACAAATATCAATATTTCCCATAAAAAAATATAGCCCATTAAAATGGAGTCATATTATGTATACATTGTATAAATCTCTGATCAGAATACATTACAACATATCTTATTAAATATTTTACAAAAGTATAGATAGGAAGAATTACAAATGACTCAAATAAATGGACAAGTAATAAAAATAAAACAAAAATCGGGTGTTATAGGCATCTCATGCATCACTGTGGGTTTATATTGTTCTGAGATATAAATAGGCATCTCATGCATCACTGTGGGTTTATATTGTTCTGAGAAGTAATTTATCAACACATAACCAAACATTTAAAAATTCATATACTTATTGACTGGATAATACAGCTTTTCAGAACACATCGTACATGAAAAAAATAAGAATGTGTGCAGAGTCTTATCTAATACATAGAGCTTTATTCTTATACTAAAAATTGGAAGCAGCAGAAATGTCTAGGAGTAAGGGACTGATCGAATACATTATAGGCTTTTAATAAAATAAACTCTAATGCAACATTTGGTGTCAGGATGCAGTAAAATGTTTCTCGTTATGAAATATGAGACATATTTTAAATGGAGAAGTTCAATCACAAAACAGGTACTGTATGATTTCAGTTTAGTGGTGGTGCATGAGGCAGATTTGGATGTCTAATAAACATTCCAAATTTGATGTCACTGAGATAGCAGTGGAGTTGGTTTTCAATATCCATTCTCCATTCTTACTATAGTAATTGAAACCTTGAATTTTAGTTGGTCACTGGCTGCACAGCTAAAGACTGCAGCCTCCCAGGTAACTATTAGTTGTGTCTCTGTGACTAGGTTATGGACATGGGTACACATGTGGAAGCAACGTGTACAGATTCCAAGTCACCACTTTAAAGGAAAGGAGCATGCTGCTTCTTTTTCTCCATCTTGCTTCCTCGTATTTGGTTGTGTTCTTAAGACATCTTCAATGAGGGCAGAGCAAAAATAAATTCTGGTTCCCCAAGGCTTTGAAGCTTCCATTTAAGCCTCCAAATGGTCATGGTTAAACTTTTACAGTAGAAGGTATGCTAGTTATCAATTTATTGCCCCTTAGCTTCAAGTTGTCTTTTCTATGATGAAGAATTTGGACCCTGTAAATATTCCTTCTTTGACAGCCAGGACAATGTAAACTATCAGTAGATGGCGCTAGAGGGACACTTGAAGAGGACAACTTACTTTCTGGTTTTGATGTGTTGCTCTGGCCAGGCTCCTGCACTGCACTGTGTCTAGCAGCAACTAGCGGCCAAGAGCTTCCTAAGCACCTCAAATTGTGTACTTTTAGTAAGTCAGGTATGATCCTAAGATTCCTACCACTGAGAAGGGTTCCCTGATTTCAATGGAGTTGATGAAATCCAGGAGTAGCAGAGGCCAGGCTTAACCACAAAATACAAGAGGGGTATGTCTACTGGAAAGGGAAGCAGGCACATAGCAGTAATCAGAGTGCTTTGGCCTGGAGAGTTATTTGGCAGTTGCTAGTTGATCATGGTGTCTTTACTAATGAAGTAGTTGGACAGCCCTCTGGGGTATTTCTTGAACAATAGAACAGGAAAATAAAAACTCTAGATTTGGTGGCAAAAAAAAAAAAAAAAACTGACCTGAATAATCACAATATTGAATCCCAGCTTCTAATTCAGCTGTCTGATATGGTTTGGCTCTGTGTCCCGATGCAAATTTCATCTTGTAGTTCCCATAAGTCCCATGTTTTGCCTCCATTTTACGTATTTGTTTACTACTCAAACAGAGAAAAGCTTCATAAAAGCAGCAACTTTGTTTTATAAACCACTGAATTCCTAGCATCTACATTAAAGTTTCTACACATCAGCACTAGTGACATTTGGGGATGGATAATTTTTTGATGTGAGAGGATGTCTTGTTATTGTAGGATGTTCTGTACTATCCCCGGCCTCTACACACTAGGTATCAGTAGGCAAAAACTTATCCAGATATTTGCAAATGTCCTATGAAGGCAAAGGTGCCCTGGTTGAGAGCTGCTGATCTAGATTGAACAGAGGTAGCTCTTAATAATGAATGAATTAATTAATTAAAAATATGTACTTACATGCAGAAACAAGATTAGGATAATATATATGGATCTGTTAGTTGTGGGCCACTAATTGTGCATGTGTGCTTTTTGAATTTTGTAAATTTACCTCAGGATTGTTTTACAACTTTCACAGAAAAAATAAAGCCAATTAAATCTTGGAAAAATCAGCTTTGGGCTTCCGTTCTCAGTTCCTCCAGTCTATGTTTAACTCCTCTCTGCCATTAAGGATACTTGGGCTGAAAATTTTGTTTTTGAACTGAAGTAGACAATATGACCTTCTTCCTTTGCTTTCAAAAAGTTCTTCTCATCCCATATGATAGTTTTTCTCAGTTACTCTTATTCCCCAGGAGAAGGTTACAGAAAACTCTATCTGAAAAGTATATGACCACTGTTTCTACTGTTAATGGTTATTAAAAGCCAAAGGTAACTTGGCAAAAATAATTTAACAAGCCAACCTAGTCATTAATATTCACAGAACTAGAGTCCTTTGGCCTTCTTAATGTGAAATCTCAATCATGCAAAATGCAGAATACAGCAATGAGGTGATTAATCTGAACATTATCAGAAGCTAAAATAGATAATGGATAAAATTGAAAGTGGTATCAGTCATTCTTCACTTTCCTTTAGAAATATGAATTAGTCATGAAGGCCATAAAGTGAGTGCCTTGGTCAGAGGCAATGCTGTGTGGAATACCATGATGGTGAATAAGGCATTCCGTGAGTTCATGGATGGTAGTCTTGGCAGAAGCATTGCATGCAGGACAGGCAAACCCATATCCAGAGTAAGTGTCTATTCCAGTGAGGACAAACCTCTGCCCTTTCCTTGATGGAAGAGGTCCAATATAATCAACCTTCCACCAGGTAGCTGGCTGATCGCCCTGAGGAATGGTGCCATATCGAAGGCTCATTGTTGGTCTCTGCTGCTGGCAAATTGGGCACTCAGCAGTACCTGTAGCCAGGTCAGCCTTAGTGAGTGGAAGTCATGTTGCTAGGCCCAGATATAACCTGAATCCCTGCCATGATGGCCACTTTGTTCATAGGCTCATTGGGTGATGACAGGGGTGGCTGGGGAAAGAGGCTGAGTGGTGTCCACAGAATGGGTCATTCTATCCACTTGATTATTAAAATCCTCCTGCCACTGACACCACAAGCACTATTGCATCTGCTGGGTCATATGGCCCAAGTTGCAGAGCAGCTTGAACAGCAGCCTGGACCTGTTGCAGAGCCTTCTCCTGTTCTGGATCACATTCGAAACTGGCAGCCTTTTGGGTCACTAGATAAACGGGCCGGAGTAACACACCCAAATGAGGAATGTGTTGCCTCCAAAATCCAAACAGGGCCACTGGGTGCTGTGCCTCTTTCTTGGTTGTAGGAGGGAGCAAATGCAGCAACTTATCCTTCACCTTAGAAGGACTATCTCGACAAGCCCCACACCACTGGACCCCTAGACATTTTACTAAGGTAGAAGGTCCCTGAATTTTAGTCTGATTAATTTCCTATACTCTGGCACACAAATATCTCACCAATAAGTCCAGTGTGTCTGCTACTTCTTGCTCACTGGATCCAATCAGCATAATGTCATCAATGTAACCAACCAGTGTGATATCTGGTGGAAGCAAAAAGCGATCAAGTTCTCTCCAAATAAGATTATGACACAAAGCCAGAGAGTTGATATACCACTGAGGTAGGAAAGCAAAGATATATTGCTGGCCTTGCCAACTGAAGGCAAATTGCTTCTGTGGGCCTTATGGACAGCAATGGAGAAAAAGCCATTTGCCAAGTGAATGGCTAGATACCAGGTATCAGGAGATGTGTCAATTTGCTCATGCAATGAAACCACATCTGGTACAGCAGCTGCAATAGGAATCACTACATGGTTAAGCTTATGATAATCCACTGTCATTCCCCAAGATCCATCTGTCTTCTGCACAGGCTAAATGGGAGAGTTGAATGAGGATGTGGTGGGAATCACCACCCCTGCATCCTTCAAGTCGTTGATGGTGGCACTAATCTCGCAGTCCCTCCAGGGATTCTACATTGTTTTATTTTATTATATATGTATAAAATATATATTTTTTTAAATAGATTTACTATTTACTATGGCTTCCATTTAGCCTTTCCCACCATAATGATCCTTACCCTACCAGTCAGGGAGCCAGTGTGGGGGTCTTTCAGCTGCTCAGTATGTCCATGCTAATTATGCATTCTGGCACTGGGGAAATGACAGGATGAGTCTGGGGACCCACAGGACCCACTGTAAGTTGGACCTGAGCTAAAACTCCATTAATGACCTGACTTCCATAATCCTCTGCTTTAACTGGAGGACCACAATGACGTTTTGGGTCCCCTGGAATCAACATCAGCTCAGAGCCAGTGTCCAGTAGTCCGTGAAATGTCTGATCATTTCCCTTTCCTCAATGCGCAGTTACCCTGGTAAAAGGCCAGAGATGAAATTGCTAAATCATGATAGTTCTATTTTTAATTTTTTGAGGAATGTCCATGCTGTTTACCATAATGGCTGTACCAATTTATATTCCCACTAACAGTGTACTAGAGTTCCCTTTTATCCACATCCTCTCCAACACTTTTTTTTTTTTTTGCAATAGCCATTCTAACAGGTGTGAGGTGATATCTCATTGTGATTTTAATTTGCATTTTTCTAATTATTAGTTATATTGAACATTTTTTCCTATACCTGTTGGCCATTTATATGTCTTCTTGTGAGAAATATCTATTTAGATCACTTGCTGATTTCTAATTGTGTTTTTTCTTACTTTTGAGTTGTTTGAGTTTTTTATATATTTTGGATACTAACCCCTTATCAAATGTATGGTTTAGAAAGATTTTCTCCTATTCCATATTTTGCCTCTTCACTCTGTTGATGGTTTTCTTTGCTGTGCAGAAGGTTTTCTTGTTGCTGTAATTCCATTTGTCTATTTTTGCCTTTGTTGTTTGTGCTTTCAGATTCATATTCAAAAAATCATTGCCCAGACCAATGTCAAGGAGATTTTCTCCTATATTTTCTTCTAGTAGTTTTACAGTTTAGGCCTTATGTTTAAGCCTTTAATCATTTTGAGTTGCGTTTTGTATGTGGCATGAGATAAGGGTTTAAGTTCATTCTTCTGGATGTGGATATCCAGTTGTTTTAACACCATTTGTTGAAGAGATTGTTTTTTTCCCATTGTGCACTCCTGGCAACTTTGTCAAAAATTAGTTGAACATAAATGTGTGAATGTATTTCTGGTTTCTCAGTTCTTTTCCATTGGTCTATGTGTCTTAGGCCAGTACCATACTCTTTTGGTTACTCCAGCTTTATATCATATTTTGTGGTTAGAAATTTTGATTCCTCCAGCTTTGTTCTTTTTGCTCACGATTGCTTTGTCTATTTGAGGTCTCTTTTGGTTGCCTTCTTCCTTCCTCACAAATCCATGTGCATCCCTCCCCAGACTGTGCAGTCAGTTGAAGAAGACAATCTTCTCTGATAGAAGAGAATTGTTCTTCAGTCAAAGGTACATGTGTAGCTGTGCTCACTTGCTAGAACCTCTAAACAAGCCCTTAGAGCCCCTTTCACTCTGTTATCTTTCATGTGCTGACCAGAGGCAGAAGACTCTGGAATGGTAGGACCAAAAATTGATGGATCCAAAGTCTCTAAATTATCACAGAACGAAAGCCTCTTGCTGACCAGTAACACTTGTATGAGCCCTAAATAGAAATTCACTTACTTTGGGCTAAGATATTTTATTAGTCACAGTTCTCTAAAGAGACAGAATTAACGGGATAGATGAACATATGAAGGGGAGTTTATTAGGAGAAATGACTCACACAATCTCAAGGTGAAGTCCCACAATAGGCCGTCTGTAAGCTGAAGAGCCAGGAAACCAGTCCCAGTCCCAAAACCTCAAAAGTAGGGAAGCTGATAGTGCAGACTTCAGTCTGTGGCTGAAGGCCTGAGTGCCCCTGGCAAATCACTGGTGAAAGTCCAAGAGTCCAAAAGCTGAAGAACTTGGAGTCTGATGTTTGAAGGTAAGAAACATCCATCATGGGAGAAAGATGAAGGCCAGAAGACTCAGCAAGTCTGCTCTTTCCATGCCTGCTTTTATGCTAGCAGCTGATTTTAGATGGTGCCCACCCAGATTGAGGGTCTGTGTCTTTCAGTCCACTGACTCAAATGTTAATCTCCTTCGGCAACACCCTCACAGACACACCCAGGAACAATACTTTGCCTCCTTCAATCCAATCAAGTGGACACGCAATGTTAACCATCACAGATATGAACAATATTTAGTTTACTTGTTATATCAGCTAGCTATTTCACCCCAGGTATTTCTCAAAGGGTACGAAACTTTCAATATGGCTAAGTACAACTACAATAATTATAAATGTAATGATAATGTTACAGTGATCTTTTGATAATTTCTGCTTTGCCTGCTGGGGAATCATTCTTAGAATATTGTTGAAAAAGCAAATACACAAATAACAGAAATGCAACACTCAAAGTAAGCTGAATGACATATATTTTTTGCTAAAAGTTCTTGGGGAGATGAAAGAAGGATCATGTTTTATTTTATGTCAGGGCACTTCTATGCTATTCCCAGTATCTAATCTTTTTGTTGTTGTTGTTGCAATGATCTTACCTCCGCTCTCTCATACCTTTTCTTGACTACTTTGCTCCCTTCCTTTCCTTAAGCATGGGTTCCTTTTCATTTCTATAAATCTGTAAGCAACAATTTCCCAAGCTCAACACTATTGACACTTTAGACTGGCTAATTCATTGTTGTGGAGAGCTATTCTGTGAGTTGTAGGAGGTTTAGTAGCATCCTAGGCTTCTATCTACTAGATGCCAGTGGCTTCCCTCCAGTTTTGACAATCAAAATATCCTTAGATATTGCCAAAACTTCCTTGGGTACAGAATATCCCCTCCTCATTATTATGTAGAGGGCTGCAGATCTTATTCCCTCTCTCTTCTCCCTTTCTCACCATTTTTCAGTTTGCATTTCCAGTCATCAGCAAGGGTTCTCCTTTTTTCAGAACATGTCTGTAATCTGTACATGAAAGGAGCAAAAGCTCACACAATCTGAAAGTCAGCTCAGTTTTCACAATTCCAAAATCCTGTATATATGACTATTTATGTGATGTATATATGATATATATCATAATATACAGAAAATATAAAATGAAAGCAAACAAGCAAAAATTGCTTGATGTATAAAATTATGTATCAAGTTAGATGAGGTCAGTTGAGAAAATGAAGTAGAAATATTCCCTTACAAATAAGATTTCTTCAAATAAGCCAGTGAAAATCTAGAAATTCTCCAATTTATAGCACTAAAAATATTTATCTATGACCTAAAGCCAGGATTCACAAATGAAAAATGGATTACTTCAAGATAAAAGGCAGGAATAAATATGCCACAGAAAAAATAAGCAACAATTTGAAAATGTAGCCATTATATGATCAGCTCAGTATTATTTTCCTGGAATTAAAAAAATGAATAAGGATAACAAAATCGTTCTCTTAGTATGAGAAACGTGGAAGACTAATATAAGAAATCCAGCATTCATGTAATAGGAATCCCAGAACAGAAAAAGGCAGGTAGAAGAGAAACAGTAATCAAAGAAATGAAAAAAATAAAACTTTATTCAGCTAAATGAGGTTATTAATTGAATATTCTAATCTTACACAAAATTTTCATGGAGATACAGTAACATATAAGTTTGTAAAAGTTTGAGCTTTTAATGTGAAAATATTATCCAACAATTACATAGGCAGAAAGATAAGTGAACTTCATAATAAAAAGTAAAAATGTTTGGCATGCAGAAATCATTAAAATTTTTAAACTAGAATAACATGAACAAAGTCAAAAAATAAATTTAACATGCAAGAAACCTTGGTGAAAAAGCTATCTTTTAAATTAGGTATGAATTATTGATAATTTAAATATTAAAGTTATATTTTGGCTCAATATTTCCCTACTATCTGCGGTAGGGGTAAACTTTTAATTTTTTTGTATTATTTCAGATGAAATGAAGCTGGTTTTCTTTAAACTTTCAGGAAAGCACATGATAAAATCTTAGGAGAAAAGATGGATGTGTTCCAAAAAAATTAAGGCATAAAAAAATTAGAAGTGAATAATAGAAAATTCCCAAAAAACTGAAGAAAAAATTAAAAGAATCAATAAAAATATAATAAGTAGGGGCCAGGCGTGGTGGCGCACGCCTGTAATCCCAGCACTTTGGGAGGGCCAGGCAGGCGGATCACGAGGTCAGGAGATCGAGACCATCCTGGCTAACACGGTGAAACCCTACTAAAAAATACAAAACATTTGACTTCCTCTTTTCCTAATTGAATACCCTTTATTTCCTTCTCCTGCCTAATTGCCCTGGCCAGAACTTCCAACACTATGTTGAATAGGAGTGGTGAGAGAGGGCATCCCTGTCTTGTGCCAGTTTTCAAAGGGAATGCTTCCAGTTTTTGCCCATTCAGTATGATATTGGCTGTGGGTTTGTCATAGATAGCTCTTATTATTTTGAGATACGTCCCATCAATCCCTAATTTATTGAGAGTTTTTAGACTGAAGGGTTGTTGAATTTTGTCAAAGGCCTTTTCTGTATGTATTGAGATAATCATGTGGTTGTTGTCTTTGGTTCTGTTTATACGCTGGATTACATTTATTGATTTGCATATATTGAACCAACCTTGCATCCCAGGGATGATGCCCACTTCATCATGGTGGATAAGCTTTTTGATGTGCTGCTGGATTCGGTTTGCCAGTATTTTATTGAGGATTTTTGCATCAATGTTCATCAAGGATATTGGTCTTACATTCTCTTTTTTGGTTGTGTCTCTGCCCGGCTTTGGTATCAGGATGATGCTGGCCTCATAAAATGAGTTAGTTTTGCAGATGACATGATTGTATATCTAGAAAACCCCACTGTCACAGCCCAAAATCTCCTTAAGCTGATAAGCAACTTCAGCAAAGTCTCAGGATACAAAATCAATGTGCAAAAATCACAAGCATTCTTATACACCAATAACAGACAAACAGAGAGCCAAATCGTCAGTGAACTCCCATTCACAATTGCTTCAAAGAGAATAAAATACCTAGGAATCCAACTTACAAGGGACATGAAGGACCTCTTCAAGGAGAACTACAAACCACTGCTCAATGAAATAAAAGAGGATACAAACAAATGGAAGAACATTCCATGCTCATGGGTAAGAAGAATCAATATCGTGAAAATGGCCATACTGCCCAAGGTAATTTACAGATTCAATGCCATCCCCATCAAGCTACCAATGACTTTCTTCACAGAATTGGAAAAAAACTACTTTAAAGTTCATATGGAACCAAAAAAGAGCCCGCATCCCCAAGTCAATCCTAAGCCAAAAGGACAAAACTGGAGGCATCATGCTACCTGACTTCAAACTATACTACAAGGCTACAGTAACCAAAACAGCATGGTACTGGTACCAAAACAGAGATATAGATCAATGGAACAGAACAGAGCACTCAGAAATAATGCTGCATATCTACAACTATCTGATCTTTGACAAACCTGAGAAAAACAAGCAATGGGGAAAGGATTCCCTATTTAATAAATGGTGTTGGGAAAACTAGCTAGCCATATGTAGAAAGCTGAAACTGGATCCCTTCCTTACACCTTATACAAAAAATAATTCAAGATGGATTAAAGACTTAAACGTTAGACCTAAATCCATAAAAACCCTAGAAGAAAACCTAGGCATTACCATTCAGGACATAGGCATGCGCAAGGACTTCATGTCTAAAACACCAAAAGCAATGGCAACAAAAGCCAAAATTGACAAATGGGATCTCATTAAAGTAAAGAGCTTCTGCACAGCAAAAGAAACTACCATCAGAGTGAATAGGCAACCTACAGAATGGGAGAAAATTTTCACAACCTACTCATCTGACAAAGGACTAATATCCAGAATCTACAATGAACTCAAACAAATTTACAAGAAAAAAACGAACAACCCCATCAAAAAATGGGCAAAGGATATGAACAGACACTTCTCAAAAGAAGACATTTATGCAGCCAAAAAACACATGAAAAAATGCTCACCATCACTGGCCATCAGAGAATGCAAATCAAAACCACAATGAGATACCATCTCACACCAGTTAGAATGGCAATCATTCAAAAGTCAGGAAACAACAGGTGCTGGAGAGGATGTGGAGAAATAGGAACACTTTTACACTGTTGGTGGGACTGGAAACTAGTTCAACCATTGTGGAAGTCAGTGTGGCGATTCCTCAGGGATCTAGAACTAGAAATACCATTTGACCCAGCCATCTCATTACTGGGTATATACCCAAAGGACTATAAATCATGCTGCTATAAAGACACATGCACACATATGTTTATTGCGGCACTATTCACAATAGCAAAGACTTGGAACCAACCCAAATGGCCAACAGTGATAGACTGGATTAAGAAAATGTGGCACATATACACCATGGAATACTATGCAGCCATAAAGAATGATGAGTTCATGTCCTTTGTAGGGACATGGATGAAACTGGAAATCATCATTCTCAGTAAACTATCACAAGGACAAAAAACCAAACACTGCATGTTCTCACTCATAGATGGGAATTGAACAATGAGAACACATGGACACAGGAAGGGGAACATCACACTCTGGGGACTGTTGTGGGGTGGGGGGAGGGGGGAGGGATAGCACTGGGAGACATACCTAATGCTAAATGACGAGTTAATGGGTGCAGGACACCAGCATGGCACATGTATACATATGTAACTAACCTGCACATTGTGTACATCTACCCTAAAACTTAAAGTATAATAAAAAAAAACACAAAAAATTATCCGGGCGTAGCGGCGGGTGCCTGTAGTCCCAGCAACCCAGGAGGCTGAGGCGGGAGAATGGCGTGAACCCAGGAGGCGGAGCTTGCACTGTGCCGAGATCGCGCCACTGCCCTCCAGCCTGGGCGACAGAACGAGACTCCGTCTCAAAAAAAAAAAAAAAAAAACAAAAGGAAGAAAGAAAAAAAAAAATATATATATATATAATAAGTAGGAAAGTAACATTATTAAGTTAAAATATCCATAATTAAAATGTGTGTATATGATCTTTATTGAAGACTACCAAATTCTCTAAAAAAATTTAGCTATACGGTGTTAACCATTAAACGTAAAATGAATTGGCACTAAGTGGTTTAAAACAAAGAATGAGTACATATAGGTCAGACAACACTGTAAAAATAAAGACAAAATAGAATTCAAGGAAGAAAACAAAACATGAATGGTACTGATGAGCATGGCGCTGATGGAGAATGGCTCTGGAGCTGTCTGTGTAGGTTTGAGTTCAGGGCAGCTGCCTGGGTGGCTTCCTTGCTTGCTAGCTGAAAGTAACAGTATGTGTTCATTCTTTACACCTGGTCTCTTTTCTGTGAAATGGCAATAATAATAACAACGACAATAATATTATGGACCTAATAGTGATACAGAGAATTTTAACACTGTCTGCAACATTGGAAGCCAGAGTAGATGATACATGTTACCTAGAATTTACCAAAGTTTTACTTTATCAGCACATATAGTAATGACAATTATTTCTGGGCCTAATATGATATTGTTGCAATACATTAAATTAAAAACAAATAACAAAAAACTTGAAATTACACAAGGGAAATTGACAAATCCACCGTTATAATGGGATCTTTTAAATTCACTTATCTCTGAAACTAAAAACATATTTTAAAACAAATTATAGAGGAATTGTAATAAAGCAATTAACCAACATGTAGTCATAGATAGATATTATAAACATAATTTGTATCAAGAAATACAGAAATAAGTTTGTATTCAAACAAATCTAGACCATTTGATAAATCAGATTACATAGTGAGCATGAAAGTAACATTCAATAATTTTCCCAAGGCAAAAAACATGTAGGCTATGTTTCTGACAATTATGGAATAAATTCAAACTTTGCAACAAAGAATGTGACTCTACCCCACATACACACACACACACACACACACACACACACACACACACACACACGTACCCCTTAAGCATGTGAAAACAGACATGCTACTATATTTTTCTTGGTTGACCCAAGAAAAGTTCCCTCTTGATTAAGCAAGAAGTAATGATATGAAGATTAGAAAGTACTTGAAAATGAATGGCCATGAGATCACTGCATATTTAAACCTGGCAGAGTCAAGAATGTCACCCAGAGAAAAGGTACAGCCTTAAATATGTATAATATAAAATGAATATTAAAAATATATCAACTGGATTTCAATTTATGAAGTTAGAAAACAACAAAATAAATTTTTAAATAGAAATAACGTAATTATAAAAGTAAGAAACAATATAATACCAAAAATATAGACTTGGTTAATATAAACACAGTTATTTTATAAGATCTATCGAACATACAAGCCTTGAGGAAATCCAATCAAGAAACATGAAAGAAGACCAAACTAAACAAACCAACCACAAAATTAGAAATGAGAAGAAATATATAACTATAAACAGAGAATAGTTATAAAAATAAAATGCTCCAAGCAAATTTATGCCATTGAATTTGAAATTTAAATGAAATTAATATATTAAAACTATATACGTTAACAAAATTTGTCCAAGGAAAATTAAAATACCTAAATAAACTAATACCTATAGAATTTGAAAAAAAAAATCAAAAAGAGAAGTACTTCTAAAATAGATGTCAGTTCTAGACAGTTTGGAGATGAGTTTTTTCCAGAACTTGAAGAAAGCGATAGTACCTATGTTAGAAATGCAATTAAGAAAAACCAAAATGAAAGAAAAAAAATTGCTCAACTTATTCCTCAAGGCTAAAGCAAATCTGAAATCAAATCTAAACAAATGATGCACATAAAGAAAAATCCATAGAGTAATCCAATTTACAAATACAGAACAAAACTTTTAAATATGATATTCATAAATAGTATCAGGCAGACTTTATCTTAAGAATGAAATAATAGTTTAACATGAGTAATTATGCTGAAGATTAAATTTTTGAAAAGATGATTATCTTAATAGATGTTTAAAAAATGATCACTTTAATACCTGTTGATTTGAGAGAAAATAAATTTCAAAAGATTTAGTAAGCTAAATATAGAAGGACAATTGTTGAACCATGTGTAAGATGTTTATAAGACCCAGAACAACCCATATATATCATTTTCTGTTAAACTCAGGAAAAAGAAGACACAGATGTCCACTTTGATTACTTACATTCAGAATCTCATAGATAAAAATCTGTTAAAGTGATAAAATACATTAATCTTAGAAAGAAAAAGGCAAAATTTCAACTTAACTCAAATACCCAAACTCTGTGAAGCTTACCTTCTTTTAAGCATATGGTAGACAAAATGTTGTGAGGTCGAGGGTCCTGATGTATCATTGCATGATTGTTATGATCCAGTTGCTGGAGTGGAGGGAGACAGAAAAGGAAAATGAGATACAAGACAGAGGCAAATAGGAGATATACATCTGTGTACATCATTAAATAGAATGTCAGATAATCTATATATAGAAATCTACACATCTATACACAGAAATTGCTGAGCTACAGAAGTGGGGAAGAAGAAGATAAGAAATACAAAGAAGCAAATAGTCAAAAAGAGAAACAGAAAAACAGAGATGGGAGAGGTATGAACAGAAGGAGATGACCATTATTTTGACATATTTTAAGAATATATGTAGTAACCAAAATATTTTCCTCTCTGGAAGCTTGTGAAAAAAGCACTTGAGTTCCAATCCCACTCCATCATCCTCTTCCCCACTAAGATAAGTTTAAACTGAGAATTTGTTGTCTTTAATTTTCTAGTTCTTTTTCTTCCATTTTACAGATGTATAACTGGGGCTAAATTCTGGTAGTGAGACCATTATAGTTCTTTCAGATCAAAAGAATATACATCTTCCTCATCAGTCTCTTGTTTTGCATCCATAAGTAGACACTGATTCCTTGCATTTGCTTGATTTTGCTAGCTTGGTTTACTACTAGCATTCTTGGTATTTGTGCCTGCTTATCCTTGCATTTGAGATGTCTCAGGCTTTGTGATTTTCTTTGTACTATTTACCTGACTTTCATTCTTGGCTGAATGATTCTGAAAATGTCAGAGAGCCTTCCTCAGCTCTGGTTTCCTCATCCATAAAATGAGAATTATAATAAGGCTTGTTTTACAGTTTTATCAGTCACTTAAGATAATGTTTTGTAAAATGCTAAACAAATATTAGTTATTTTTAGCATGTTGGGATGTCTTAGTATACTCTGCTCTGCTACCAGGCACAATCACTGAGCTACTATTCATAATTTACCACCAACAATTCAATACAGCTTTCAAGTTTTAGCTGAATAGATTCTAAATTAAATTACAAAAAAAGGAGAAAAATAAAACAACTGACTGATATCACACAATTACTCAACTTTCAATACAAGTCTGGATCTCATATAAAAACAAATATGTCGTCACTTCAACTCTAGAACTCTAGTCTACATTAATATATGTGCAGGTTGCTAGGAAGTGAATATGACACATTACCAAATGTTATCTATATACTCCATGAACATAATTTCTACATTTCTAAATAAAATAGGAAAAAAGATCATGGTTTCATTTAAACTGCTGATGAATCTAACCTTGGATATACCACAGAAGCTAGAAAGAGACTGATGGAACCCAGAACATAAGTCACAACTCTGACAGACCTTTGAGGAGCACGAATTTGGTAGCATCCTCTTAAGAGAAGAAAATGGGGACGCAAGGTGGAGCAAGGCCAAGAGCCAAATGAGAGAATAGGCTGCAGAAGAGGTTTCTGATATGCTCATATCTTTCCTCCAATGCAGTTTGGGTATATCCCTGCTTTCTTGGCTCCTGTCTGGCAGGAAAACACCAATGCCAACTGAAAAAAAAAAAAAAGGAATTGACAGCATAAACTAGTGCTGTCTAACTGAGGGAGAACAAGGCAGACTGCTTGTAAGTGATCTTTCCATCCCTTAGCACAACCCCAGAGGCCTAAAAGTGCTGTCATAAAAGGAGCACTTGGAAAATAGGAGGGCCTAGAGTGCAAGCAATACTGTTCCCTAATAAATAAGTTCATATGATGGGAATGAAGTTGAGACCATGTGGGAGCACCAGAGATTTTTGTCCCTGATGTCTTGCCCCAAAGACTCTCTCATCTTAACTTGCCAGGCATAGTGCAGACCATAGCTTTTGCCATTTCTCTATGTACACGATAAAGCTAAAAAAAAAAAAAAAAAAAAAAAATCACTGATATCCCAAGGGAATAAGAAACAACAGGAAGATATAACAAAGCATGTGAGAACTTGAGATCCATGACAGGAAATGAAAGAATGAACAACCTGTCAGAAAAAAACTAACAGTGGATCACATGAAGTTTGAACTTACACCAAGCACAGTAGTATATTTTCACAGATAAGGGATAGACTTGGTAGCAGACATACAAGCTGTATAAAGAAGAACCAACTGGAGACACTGGTGTGACCAATATAAAATATTAAAGAACTAAAATATAATAAAGAAAAAAATGAGGCCACAAAGCAAGGCTTTACAAATTTAAGATAAGCCAGGCGTGGTGGCTCACGCCTGTAACCCCAATGCTTTGGGAGGCCAAGGTGGGCAGATCATCTGAGGTCAGGAGTTTGAGACCAGCTTGGCCAACATGGTGAAACCCTGTCTCTACTAAAAATACAAAAAAATTAGCCAGGTGACAGGCCCCTGTAATCCCAGCTACTTGGGAGGCTAAGGCAGGAGAATCACTTGTACCTGGGAGGTGGAGGTTGCAGTGAGCCGAGATCTCACCACTGCACTCTAGCCTGGGTGACAGAGTGAGACTCTGTCTCAAGAAATAAATAAATAGGCTGGGTGTGGGGGCTCACGCCTGTAATCCCAGCAATTTGGGAGGCCGAGGTGGGCAGATCACGAGGTCAAGAGATTGAGACAATCCTGGCCAACATGGTCAAACCTCATCCCTACTAAAAACACAAAATCAGCTGGGTGTGGTGGCACACACCTATAGGCCCAGCTACTCAGGAGGTTGAGGCAGGAGAATCACTTGAACCCGGGAGGCAGAGGTTGCAGTGAGCCAAGATCGTGCCACTGGATCCCAGCCTGGTGACACAGTGAGACTCTGTCTCAAAAAAAATTAATAAATAAAGTAAGATTGAAGTAATATCAAGTAACCTTCCTGACCACAATGATAAGAAACTAGAAATCAGTAACAGGAGAAAAACTGAAAAATTCACAAGTATGTGGAAATTAGCATGCTCTTGAGCAAACAGACAAATAAAGAAAACAAAGGGAAATTTTAAGATGTATTGAGAAAATGAAAACGAAAGAACACACAGCATACCAACACCTGTGGGACGCAGCACAAGCAGTTCAAAGACAGAAGTTTATAATGGTAAATGCCTACACTTAGAAAAAGAATCTCAAATAAACAATCTAACTTTATACCTCAAGGAACTAGAAAAATAAGAACAAAACTGATCCCAAGGTTAGCAGAAGGAAGAAAATAACAACGATTACACAGAAATAAAGAAAGACTAGATGGACAATAGAAAAGTTCAATGAAACTGAGGTTTCTTTTGAAAAAATGAACAAAAGTAATCAAGTTTTATCTAGGCTAACCAAGAGAAAAAGAGAGAGGAGTCACTGCCATTTCTCCATGTATACAATAAAGCTAAAAATCAATGCTATCCCAAGGATATAATTTTATCACTGATATCCCAACAATATAATTTTATTTATAAAATTATAAAGAAAAGTGGAGTCATTACAACTGATACCACAGAAATACAATGAAAGGATGGTAGGAGACTACTGTGAACAACTGTATGCCAATAAATCACATAGCCTAGAAGAAAATGTACAAACTTCTAGAAATATACAACCACAGTAGATATAAACCTATGCATATACAAGGCTGACTCATGAAGACAGAAAATCTGAACAAACCCATAATGAATAAGGAGAATGAAACAATAATCAAAAATTTCTTAACAAAGAAAAGCCCAGGATCAGATGGCTTTGCAGGTGAATTCTACCAAATATTTAAAGAAGAATTAACACCAATACTTTTTCAAACTCTTCCAAAAAAAAATAAATAAATAACAGAAGAAGAGGAAGAGAACAATTCCAAACTTCTTTTATGAGGGCAATAAGCCAGACAAGAACACTACAAGAAAAGACAACTACAGGCCAATAGCCCTGATGAACATAGATGCAAAAATCCAAAAATCCTCAACAAAATACTAGCAAAACAAATTCAACAGCTTATTAAAGGGATCATTCACTATGATCAAGTGGGATTTATTCCTGGAATACAAGGATGTGTCAACATACCCAAATCTATAAATGTGATACCAAATTAAGAGAATAAAGGATGAAACACATATGATCATCTCAGTAGATGCAGAAAAAAAATTTGACAAAATTCAACACGCTTTCATGAAAAATTCTCATCGAATTAGGGAATGCACTTCAACATAATAAAGACCATACATGAAAAGCCCACAGTAACATTATCCTCAATTTTGAAAAATTGAAAGCTATGCCTCTAAGATCTGGACAAGGCGACGGTTCCCACTCTCCCCCCTTTTATTCAACATAGGATTGAAAGTTCTATACGGAGATTGGTATAATTAATATTGTACAAATGTCCACACTGCACAAAACTATCTATAGGTTCAATGACAATTTTATCAAAATTCCAATGATAATTTTTACAGACATAGAGAAAACAATCCTAACGTGTACGGAATGACAAAAGACACAATCTTAAGAAATATGAACAAACTAGAGGCATTACACATCCTGATTTAAAAGTATATTACAAAGCTGTAGTAATCAAAACCCTATGGTATTGCCATAGAAACAGACACATTAAGCCAATGCAACAGAATATCGAGTCTGGAAATAAACCTACACATGTACAGCCAACTAATTTTTGGCAAGGATGACAAGAATACACAGTGATGAAAAGATAGTCTTTTTAATAAATGGTGCTGGAGAAACTGAATATCCATATGCAGAAGAATAAAAGTGTGCCCTTATCTTAAACCGTACACAAAAATTAACTCAACATAGATAAAAGACTTAAAGATAAGGCCTAAAACAAACAAACAAAAATCCTGAAAGAAAACATAGGAGAAAATCTCCTTGATATGGGTCTTGGTAGTGATGATTTTGGATATAACACCAAAATCACAGGCAAAAATAACATAAAAAAGCAAAGCAAAACAAACAAATACACAAAAACAAGTGAGGCTACATCAAACTAAAAAGTTTTTACACAGAAAAAAAAAAACAGTCAATAAAATGGAAAGGCTATCTATAAAATGGGAGAAAATATTTGCAAAGCATATATCTGTTAAAGGGTTAAATCCAAAATATATAGGCATCTCATAAAACTCAACAGTACACAAAACAAAGTAACCCAAATAAAAAGTAGGCAAAGAACCTCATGAGACATTTTTCCATAGACGACTTAAAAATGGCGAACAGGTATACTAAAAGGTATTCAGTATCACTAATCATCAGGGAAATGCAAATCAAAACCACAAGATATCACCTCACACCTGTTAGTATAGCTATATCAAAAAGACCAGAGATAACAAGTATTGGTGAAAGTGTAGAGAGAAAACAAACCATTGTGGAAAACAGTAGGCAGTTTTCTTAAAAAAGTGAAAATTGAGCCATGTGGTACAACAATCCTACTAAGTAGTATAAATCCAAAGAAGTGAAATGAATATCTCAAAGGTATATCTGTACTCCCACGATCATTTTGCCATTTACTTACAATACCCAAGACATAGAAACTATGTTAAGTGTTTTTTGACAGATGAACCGAGAAGGAAATATTTGAAACAATATCTAATGTTTTCATTTAAAAAATATGAAAAATGCCTATATAAAACAGAACGGTAAGAGAACACATTTGTATACACTATTATAATATTTGAGATCATTCAATAGAGAGACCATCTTAAAAGCTGCAAGAAAGAATAGTGTAGACAGCCTTAGAAACTACAAGTATTAGATTAAAAATTAGGTTTCTCAACAGCTACACTGCATACCAGAAGGCAATGCAATAATATTTATGTGTTGACAGAAGAGAAATTTGAACATGTTTTTAATCCAGTAAAACTATAATTTAAATATGAGGGCAAAATATTATTCTCAGGCATATGAGACTTTATAAAATTTACTATGCAAACTTTTCGTTGAAAACACTCTTGGAGGAAGTACTCAAACAGAAATAGAAACCAGATCCAGGAAGAAACAAGATATAGACGATCACACTGAATAAATAAGTCTACAAATCTTCTCGTGGTTTAAATAAACAATGTCCCCGAACTAGGAAAACAGCAGAAAAAAGTAGTTTTGGTGAGGTTGGGATTTCAGTATGTAGAGAAAGAGGTGAGAAATAAATGGATATTGATGAAAGAAATGGATATTGTGTATATATGTGTGTGTATACGTATACATATGTGTATACGTATGTGCATCTGTATGTGTATATATATACATACATATGTATATACACACACAGTTAACCCTTAAACAACACAAGGGTTGGGGTGTTGATCCCCCACACAGTTGAAAATCTACATATAAATTTGACTCCCCTAAAACTTAACTATTATTAGCTTACTGTTGAATGGAGGCCTCACCAGTAACATAAACAGCCAAGTTACACATAAATAGACTAAGATCTACATAAATTTTAAAGGATTAATGACATATCTTTTTCTTATTTTTTGATATTTTAGGCAATACAGTACATCTATGAGTTTTTTCAAATTTTCATAAATCTCCAAAACTTATTCCAATATATTTATTGAAAACATCTGCATATAAGTGGACCTATGCAGTTCGAAACTGTGTTGTTTAATGGTCAATTGTAGACTAAAGAAAAATATATTTACCATAATGCAGTGATATTAGAAATTAACAAATTAAAAGACAAATATTTTATAGCTAAAAAGTTCCACATGTTAAAATATAAATATTAAGTAATTCTTCATTGAAGAGGAAATATTTAGTGAAATAATCCATAAAATGAAAGTAATTTAAGAAGTCTGATATACAGCTGAAACTCTGAGAAAAATATTTGTGCAACTTAAGCTGTAAGATGAGCAAAAAAGTAAATGCAAAGTAGCAAGAAAGAATTTACTACAACAGATTAAATATTTAATGAATATACAGATTAGAAGAAAATATAACTATTATATAATTACGATAATAAGTATAGTATATAGGATATAATATGATATGATAATCTTGATATATCATGGTAACAAAGATAATATAAACAGCAATGAATTTGAAACCTTAGAAGAGATGCATTATTGGAAAAATATAAAATGCTAAAATTGATAAAAGAAAAAACATAACAAATAAATGAATATTGAACAAATAAAAATAACCAAAGACACTCTTCCTTACTTCACTCCCTACCATTTCAGAGACAGATAGTTCTATAGATAAATGCTATTTTAACATGTCCTTTCAAGGAACATATAATATATATTGTTAAAGATAGTAAAAAAATGAAAGTTAGCTGCTCCTTTCATTTGTCAAATTAACAGACTGGTATTACAGTAGCAGAAAATAAAATTACATGCTTTGCTATTTATAGGTGAATGTGAAACTTGGAAAGCTAGAAATGTGAAGGGGGTTCCTTGAGCAGTGCTGGAACCAAGACTAGCTACATAACTTACAGGGCTGAGTGCAAAATGAAAATGCGTGAGCCCTTGTTCAAAATCATTAAGAATTTCAAGATGGCGATAGCAGAGCATTAAGCAAGCATGGGGCCCTTTTATGCATGAGGCTCTGTGCAACTATGACTTCACAGGTCTCCAGCCCATGAAGCTGGCCCTGGCTGAGCCACTGAGCCTGGGTTGTGGGATATTTAGGGGGAGTTCATACCTTGGAAGAGGGACTGCCTAGCAGGCACTGGTGTCATAGTTAAAGACTCTGTTGAAAGAGAGACCAGAGGAGAATCATCTGGCTTTTTCCTCTCCTCCTTTCTTCCATTCTCCCATCAGTGCCTCCTATCTACCGAGCCTAACTGGATGCCCAAGAGTATTACAGCATGGGAATTTCATTCATGGAAGGTTAGTTCCCTGTATTAAGAAACAGACCAGTGGAAGAGGAGGAGGAAAAGCAGACCAGTTGGATATTAGAGTTGAGTGAAATACAGTCTCTACAACAGAGAGGAGCAAAGCAGATAGGGGATAGGGGCAGAAATAAAAAATAATAAAAAATAAAAATAATAAGAAAACCTTATCCTTATCCAGACTGTGGCTACTGTCAAGCCTCTGAGCCCAAGCCAAGCAATCGCATCCCCTGTGACTTGCACATATAAGCCCAGATGGCCTGAAGTAAGTGAAGAATCACAAAAGAAGTGAATATGCCCTGCCCCACCTTAACTGATGACATTCCACCACAAAAGAAGTGTAAATGGCCAGTCCTTGCCTTACGTGATGACATTACCTTGTGAAAGTCCTTTTCCTAGCTCATCCTGGCTCAAAAAGCACCCCCACTGAGCACCTTGCGACCCCCACTCCTGCCTGCCAGAGAACAAACCCGCTTTGACTGCAATTTTCCTTTACCTACCCAAATCCTATAAAACGGCCCCACCCTTATCTCCCTTCGCTGACTCTCTTTTCGGACTCAGCCCACCTGCTCCCAAGTGAAATAAACAGCTTTACTGCTCACACAAAGCCTGTTTGGTGGTCTTTTCACAGGGACGCGCATGAAATTTGGTGCTGTGACTCGGATCGGGGGACCTCCCTTGGGAGATCAATCCCCCGTCCTCCTGTTCTTTGCTCCGTGAGAAAGATCCACCTACGACCTCAGGTCCTCAGACCGACCAGCCCAAGAAACATCTCACCAATTTCAAATCCTGTAAGCGGCCTCTTTTTACTCTCTTCTCCAACCTCCCTCACTAACCCTCAACCTCTTTCTCCTTTCAATCTTGGTGCCACACTTCAATCTCTCCCTTCTCTTAATTTCAATTCCTTTCATTTTCTGGTATTTTCTGGTAGAGACAAAGGAGACACGTTTTATCCGTGGACCCAAAACTCCGGCGCCGGTCACGGACTGGGAAGGCAGTCTTCCCTTGGTGTTTAATCATTGCAGGGACGCCTCTGATTATTCACCCATGTTTCAAAGGTGTCAGACCACGCAGGGACGCCTGCCTTGGTCCTTCACCCTTAGCGGCAAGTCCCGCTTTTCTGGGGAAGGGGCAAGTACCCCTCAACCCCTTCTCTCCTTGTCTCTACCCCTTCTCTGCTTTTCTGGGGCAGGGGCAAGTACCCCTCAACCCCTTCTCCTTCACCCTTAGCGGCAAGTCCCGCTTTTCTACGGGGCAAGAACCCCCAATCCCTTATTTCCATGCCCCAACATCTCTGTGCCCCAATCCCTTATTTCCGTGCCACAACCTCGCATCTCTGTGCCCCAATCCCTTATTTCCGTGCCCCAACCTCTTATATCTCTGCACCCCAGTCCCTTAATACCATGCCCCAACCTCTTATTTCTGCGCCCCATCCCTTATTTCCCTGCCCCAACCTCTTATCTCTGCACCCCAACCCCTTTTCCCACTTTTCTGGAAGGTAAGAATGCCCGAACCCCTTCCCTCTGTTTCTCTACTCTCTCTTTTCTCTAGGCTTGCTTCCTTCACTACGGGCAACGTTCCACCCTCCATTCCTCCTTCTACTCCCTTGGCCTGTGTTCTCAAAAACTTAAAACCTCTTCAACTCACACCTGACCTAAAACCTAAATGGCTTATTTTCTTGTGCAATGCCGCTTGACCCCAGTACAAACTCGACAGCAGTTCCAAATAGCCAGAAAATGGCACTTTGAATTTTTCCATCCTGCAAGATCTAAATAATTCTTGTCGTAAAATAGGCAAACGGTCTGAGGTGCCTGATGTCCAGGCATTCTTTTACACATCAGTCCTTTCCTAGTCTCTGTGCCCAGTGCAACTCATCCCAAATCTTCCTTCTTTCCCTTCCGCCTGTCCCCTCAGTACCAACCCCAAGCGTCGCTGAGTCTTTCTAATCTTCCTTTTCTACAGACCCATCTGACCTCTCCCTTCCTCCCAAGGCTGCTCCTTGCCAGGCCAAGCTAGGTCCCAATTCTTCCTCAGCCTCTGCTCCTCCACCCTATAATCTTTTTATCACCTCCCCTCCTCACACCTGGTCCGGCTTACAGTTTCGTTCCGTGACTAGCCCTCCCCCTCCTGCCCAGCAATTTACTCTTAAAAAGGTGGCTGGAGCTAAAGGCATAGTCAAGGTTAATGCTCCTTTCTCTTTATCCCAAATCAGATAGCGTTTAGGCTTTTACATCAAATATAAAAATCCAGCCCAGTTCATGACTTGTTTGGCAGCAACTCCGAGACACTTTACAGCCCTAGACCCTAAAATGTCAAAAGGCCGTCTTATTCTCAAAATGCATTTTATTACCCAGTCTGCTCCCAACATTAAATAAAACTCCAAAAATTAAATTCTGGCCCTCAAACCCCACAACAGGATTTAATTAACCTCACCTTCAATGTGTACAATAATAGAAAAAAGTTGCAATTCCTTGCCTCCACTGTGAGACAAACCCCAGCCACATCTCCAGCACATAAGAACTTCCAAATGCCTGAAGTGCAGTGGCCAGGCGTTCCTCCAGAACCTTTTCCCACAGAAGCTTGCTACGCGTGCTGGAAATCTGGCCACTGGGCCAAGGAATGCCCGCAGCCCGGGATTCCTCCTAAGCCGCGTCCCATCTGTGTGGGACCCCACTGAAAATCAGACTGTTCAACTCACCTGGCAGCCACTCCCAGAGCCCCTGGAACTCTGGCCCAGGGCTCTCTGACTGACTCCTTGCCAGATCTTCTCGGCTTAGAGGCTGAAGACTGACACTGCCCAATCGCCTCGGAAGCCCCCTAGACCATCACGGACGCCGAGCTTCGGGTAAGTCTCACAGTGGACGGTAAGCCCGTCCCCTTCTTAATCAATACGGAGGCTACCCACTCCACATTACCTTCTTTTCAAGGGCCCGTTTCCCTTGCCCCCAGAACTGTTGTGGGTATTGACGGCCAGGCTTCTAAACCTCTTAAAACTCCCCAACTCTGGTGCCAACTTAGACAATACTCTTTTAAGCACTCCTTTTTAGTTATCCCCACCTGCCCAGTTCCCTTATTAGGCTGAGACACTTTAACTAAATTATCTGCTTCCCTGACTATTCCTGGACTACAGCTATATCTCATTGCCGCCCTTCTTCCCAATCCAAAGCCTCCTTTGCATCCTCCTCTTTTATCCCCCACTTTAACCCACAAGTATAAGATACCTCTACTCCCTCCTTGGCGACCGATCATGCACCCCTTACCATCTCATTAAAACCTAATCACCCTTACCCCACTCAATGCCAATATTCCATCCTGCAGCATGCTTTAAAAAGATTAAAGCCTGTTATCACTCGCCTGCTACAGCATGGCCTTTTAAAGCCTATAAACTCTCCTTACAATTCCCCCATTTCACCTGTCCTAAAACCAGACAAGCCTTACAAGTTAGTTCAGGATCTGCGCCTTATCAACCAAATTGTTTTGTCTGTCCACCCCGTGGTGCCAAACCCATATACTCTCCTATCCTCAATACCTGCCTCTACAACCCATTATTCTGTTCTAGATCTCAAACATGCTTTCTTTACTATTCCTTTGCACCATTAATCCCAGCCTCTCTTCGCTTTCACGTGGACTGACCCTGACTCCCATCAAGCTCAGCAAATTACCCGGGCTGTACTGCCGCAAAGCTTCACAGACAGCCCCCATTACTTCAATCAAGCTCAAATTTCTTCCTCATCTGTTACCTATCTTGGCATAATTCTCATAAAAACACACGTGCTCTCCCTGCCAATCGTGTCTGACTGATCTCTCAAACCCCAACCCCTTCTACAAAACAAGAACTCCTTTCCTTCCTGGCCATGGTTGGATACTTTCGCCTTTGGATACCTGGTTTGGCCATCCTAACAAAACCATTATATAAGCTCACAAAAGGAAACCTAGCTGACCCCATAGATCCTAAATCCTTTCCCCACTCCTCTTTCCATTCCTTGAAGACAGCTTTAGAAATTGCCCCCACTCTAGTTCTCCCTGACTCATCCCAACCCTTTTCATTACACACAGCCAAAGTGCAGGGCTGTGCAGTCGGAATTCTTATGTAAGGACCAGGATCGCGTCCTGTAGCCTTTTTGTCCAAACAACTTGACCTTACTGTTTCAGGCTGGCCATCATGTCTCCGTGCAGCCGCTGCTGCTGCCCTAATACTTTTAGAGGCCCTCAAAATCACAAACTATGCTCAACTCAATCTCTACAGTTCTCATAACTTCCAAAATCTATTTTCTTCCTCATACCTGACGCATATACCTGCTGCTCCCCGGCTCCTTCAGCTGTACTCACTCTTTGTTAAGTCCCACAATTACCGTTGTTCCTGGCCCAGACTTCAATCCGGCCTCCCACATTATTCCTGATACCACACCTGACCCCCATGACTGTATCTCTCTGATCCACCTGATATTCACCCCATTTCCCTATATTTCCTTCTTTCCTGTTCCTCACCTGATCACGCTTGATTTATTGATGGTGGTTCCACCAGGCCTAATCGCCACATACCAGCAAAGGCAGGTTATGCTATAGTACAAGCCACTAGCCTGTCTCTTAGAACCTCTCATTTCCTTTCCATCGTGGAAATCTATCCTCAAGGAAATAACTTCTCAGTGTTCCATCTGCTATTCTACTACTCCTCAGGGATTATTCAGGCCCCCTCCCTTCCCTACACATCAAGCTCGAGGATTTGCCCCACCCAGGACTGGCAAATTAGCTTTACTCAACATGCCCCGAGTCAGAAAACTAAAATACCTCTTAGTCTAGGTAGATACTTTCACTGGATAGGTACAGGCCTTTCCTACAGGGTCTGAGAAGGCCACCGCAGTCATTTCTTCCATTCTGTCAGACATAATTCCTCAGTTTAGCCTTCCCACCTCAATACAGTCTGATAACAGATGAGCCTTTATTAGTCAAATCAGCCAAGCAGTTTTTCGGGCTCTTAGTATTCAGTGAAACCTTTATATCCCTTACGATCCTCCATCTTCAAGAAAAGTAGAATGGACTAAAGGTCTTTTAAAAACACACCTCACCAAGCTCAGCCACCAACTTAAAAAGGACTGGACAATACTTTTACCACCTTCCCTTCTCAGAATTCAGGCCTGTCCTCAGAATGCTACAGGGTACAGCCCATTTAAGCTCCTGTATAGACGCTCCTTTTTATTAGGCCCCAGTCTCATTCCAGACACCAGACCAACTTAGACTGTGCCCCAAAAAACTTGTCATCCCCACTATCTTCTGTCTAGTCATACTCATATTCACCGTTCTCAACTACTCATACATGCCCTGCTCTTGTTTACACTGCCGGTTTACACTGTTTTTCCAAGCCATCACAGCTGATATCTCCTGGTGCTATCCCCAAACTGCCACTCTTAACTCTTGAAGTAAATAAATAATCTTTGCTGGCAGGACTATACTGAATCTCCTTAGGCACTCTCTAATCAGATATCCTGAGTCATCCCAATTCTTAGACCTTTTATACCTGTTTTTCTCCTTCTTTTATTCTATTTGGTTTCTCAATTCATCCAAAACCGTATCCAGGCCATGACCAATCATTCTATATGACAAATGTTTCTTCTAACATCCCCACAATATCACCGCTTACACAAGACCTCCCTTCAACTTAATCTCTCCCTCTCTAGGTTCCCACGCTGCCCCTAATCCCACTTGAAGCAGCCCTGAGAAACATCGCCCATTCTCTCTCCATACCACCCTCAAAAATTTTCGCCGCCCCAACACTTCAACACTATTTTGTTTTATTTTTCTTATTAATATAAGAAGGCAGGAATGTCAGGCCTCCGAGCCCAAGCCAAGCCATCGCATCCCCTGTGACTTGCACGTATACGCCCAGATGGCCTGAAGTAACTGAAGAATCACAAAAGAAGTGAATATGCCCTGCCCCACCTTAACTGATGACATTCCACCACAAAAGAAGTGTAAATGGCCGGTCCTTGCCTTAAGTGATGACATTACCTTGTGAAAGTCCTTTTCCTGGCTCATCCTGGCTCAAAAAGCACCCCCACTGAGCACCTTGCGACCCCCACTCCTACCCGCCAGAGAACAAACCCCCTTTGACTGTAATTTTCCTTTACCTACCCAAATCCTATAAAACGGCCCCACCCCTATCTCCCTTCGCTGACTCTCTTTTCGGACTCAGCCCACCTGCACCCAGGTGAAATAAACAGCTTTATTGCTCACACAAAGCCCGTTTGGTGGTCTCTTAACACGGACGCGCATGAAAGCTACCAGAGCACCAAGTGACTTCATGTATCTGAGATAAATTATAATAAAGCAATAATAATAAAAATAATGATATAGAAACTCATATAATAAAATTTTCCAAATTAACCAATCTGTTGTAATGCATGATTAATCATTTTAAATGTGATCTGTGGGTGATCAGAGAAGCAACTGCTCTTCATTTCAATAAATCCACAGTATATCCATGGTATCACATTATTTCTGTTGACCAAAGACAAGACCCAAGTTAAATGCAAAATTTCAGTGATTTGGTTTATATAATCAGCTTGACATTTTGAAATTTTGAAATTATTAATCATTTCTCTGAGCAAAGAAGTGCTCAGAATCCCAATTGTTTAATTAGCTAAAGAGAGAAAGGGAATGATGGAATATAAACACATTCCCAGTGCTCAGCGTGTATCAGGCCCACTTTCATGTGTTAATTCCTTTAGTCTTTCCAACAACCCTATGAGGGAAGAATCAGTGGTAGCCGTAATTTACAGATGAAGAAACTGATGACCAGAATAGTTAAAAGCTTGCCCATGTCACACTGCTAGTAAGTGGTAGATCCAGGATTTGAAGTTGTTCATCCTCTAGTGAAAAATGAATTAGGAAGCTAAGAAACTGAACAACTGATGGGTGACTTTTGCCCTCTAAATTCAATCTCATATTTTCTCTAAGTAAATTGGCTTAATCACATACAAGGGAGGTTGAGAAGGATTCTTCTCTCTTGGCTTAGAGTGGATTCAAGGCACATGGGCAGACTCTTATCTCTGTCAGTCTCCATCCTGGGTCCTGTGTGATTTTCCAAAAGAAGGGATGCCTCAACCCACAATGGAAGGTTGCTTCAGATATGTCCTACCACAGGCTACAGCCAATAATGAGGGTCAAGATAAATCTGAGAACACAGGTTGTTTACTTCATGTTTGTAAATAAATCCTTTAATTCCTTTGACTGAAAACATTACATTCCACCTACATCTATCTTGATAGCTTGGGATTCTTTTTTATGGTTTATGTTCATGAGATGGCCTCTTCCATTAAAACACCTGGAAGGTGGGCATGAATTTCCTGAGCTGTGCATACAAAGCTATTAAAATGTTAAAATTTTCATTATCGTATAGATATTTGAATTGAAAAGACAATCACTAATAAGGTTAAAGTCAATTTTTAAAAAAGAAATGAAAATATTCCAGCTTCTGGTCATTGTCCATTAGTACAGGTTGTCTACATTCATTACACACAAAATTTTTAGAAAACTTATATTCATTTTGAGGCAAATGTGTTTTCTTGATTGACTTGCTCAATGATTATAGGCTGAGCTTTCCAGTAGATCTGAAATCTACTTGCTTCTGCTTTGGTTATTCTGGACGGGAAGGAAACAGCTCCGAACAGAAAGAATCATTCTGGAATAAAACAATGGCTTTACTTCTATATCAATTCTTCAGGAAAAGAACTTGCTTTGTTCACCTCTGTTATTTCAGGATCTGCTTCCCTTACTTTGCTAAATGGCAGTAATTCAGCCTTAGAATTTCTTGAGGAAAATAAAGTTTAAATGTCAGAATCAAGACCAGCGATTAAAAAGAGGTGAGGCCAAGGTGAAGATTCCTTAATCCTCTAAAACAAATCTGTATAAAATCAAAAAGTAACTGAGAATTCTGAAAGGATTGTGCTGTTTGGGGAGGTTTAAATTTGTCAAGAAGATATAAAATAAGAAAAATGCAGTAATTTTCTCCAGTCCCTTTGTTTGTCAGTAACGTGTATCACAGCTGAAATGGCAGAGGTGATATTTGCAGAGAGATATACAGTGTGAACCAGCTCCTCAGGTGCACAGTCAGAACAACAGGCGGCAACCCAGCTGGGCACACATGGTGCTATGGTCTCAATGTTTGCTCTCCCAAAATTGATATTTTAAAATCTTAATTCCCATGGTGAGAGTATTAGAGGGTGTGGATCCTGTGGGAAGTGGTGCGATCATGAGAGTGGAGACCTCATGAATGGAATTAGTGCCGTTATAAGGGGCTAAAGAGAGCAGAGTTGTCCCTTTCTGCTAGATGAGGACATAGTGAGAAAGAGCCATCTGTGAAACAGGAAAAATCCCTCACCAGATGCTGAATCTGCTAGTGCCTTGATCTTAGACGTGCCAACTTCCAGAACTATATGAAATAAATTTCTGTTTATAAGCTACCTAGTTGATGGTATTTTGTTAGAGCAACCCAAATGTACTAAGACACATAGTTAAAGAACAAAGGCAGTATAGAGCCCAGGAAGATATGAGGAGGGAGTAAAGAAGAGGTTCATCCCTAACAGTCATAATCCCACTTCTTATCTCAATGAATGTTTTCTTCTCTTAGGTCCCCACACACATACTATTTGTGGTATCAATTCATTCACATTGGGTTTACTAAATTATTATTTGAAGCATGATATATTTTCAAAAAAGAAAAGGACAAGCTAAAAGCCCAACAAAGTAGCAAACTTAAGCTTCGCAGAGTGAGAGGTAACAATGAACTTTCCTTTCTGTCTCTGGGAATTCTTTTTCTTCCCCCTGCCCAATCTGTGCTGAGAGTAGTAACGAGTGCCCCAGAGCTGGCTCTGACAGACCCTCCCCCTTTGCCCAGACAGCATATCTTTAAAGTTATTTTAGTTACTTGTATAATAATATATTTAATAATTATAATAGTTATGCATCATCATTGAGAATTTGTCAAATTTTGTAGAATTACAATTTTTTGTGATCCATTTGTCCATAATAGCTAATTTACACATTAGATACCCTTTTGTAAGTTTGCATACACACACACTCCATAAACTGGTACCTCACTCAATATAAAACGTGCTCCTCTACATTCTTGACTTCAAGCACTGCAAATATTTTCTCTCACTGTTAAATATTTCTTGAAAACACCATTTACAGCTACTACTTAATGTATCATCACGCAGATACACTATAGCCTCTTTAGCTATTGCCCAATACTAGACATGTTCATTTCTTATGAAGGTCACTTATGTCTACTTTGTAATTTAAAATGGCAAGGAGCTTTTCTCTATTATATACTTTTCTCCCTAATACGGGTGAGTTATTTTCCAATTTTACACCACAAAAGCAACTGAGGAGTCCAGGTCTAGGCAAAATCTTTTGTGTGATTTTTTATGCCTGTCCCTTAGCAACTATAAGCCTTTGCCTGGCAAATCTTATAGGAGAAACCTTGCCCTTCCCACACCAGACGTGGTACACAGCCAGTGCATTAGCGTGTTCTGGAGGGAGTTGCAGTTAAGGACTCAGGCCCCTCCCTGGTGAACATTGCTGTTATGCAGATCTGCATTCTTAGCCCAAGTGTCTCCACTGAGACCACCATAAAGAGTTCTTGGCTTTCAGCCACTCTCACTCAGTGTTCCTCTGCTCCTACGTCTTCCCTTCCCTGTCCCTCTTCCTCACTCTGGCATCCTGGGTCCTCAAAAAAACAGGAGCCTTTTTTTTAATGTTCCTGGGCAGTGGGAAGACTTCTCTCACCTGCACTGCATGCCACCACAATCCTGACCACTGCTGTCCCATGGGGAAAATTAACACTAGGGAGCCGGCGCTTATTTTTGCCCTTGATTACATCATCACAGCAGGTGAACAAAGTCTCGATCGTTAGTTTCATTTCAGCTCATTGTCCTAATGGACCACCTCGACACCTGGCAGCTCCACACTAGTAGGAATTTTCTTCCATCTTACAGATTATAGTTGAGAAGCTTAGTGCTATCTCACTCATACTTTTCAGTCTCCTGAGGAAAGAGGAAAAATAAGTAAATTAAAAATGAAAAAGGGTGAAATTATGAGGTTAACATTGACAGGACAATTTTTCTCATTGAAGAACTGCTTCAAGCATTTTTCGTCTGCATATCACATTCAATTTACAAGTATTTTCTCAAGTAGCCTTCACAAACACCTTATAAGGCGGGTATATATTTACCCATTTCACAGATGGAAAAATTTAGATGTCAAATCAAAATAACAATGTCTTGAAAATATTCTGCTTTTGGTCTGCAGCAATAAATACACACACAAATTTCCTCTTGATGGACAGTGGAATATTTTAGAATAAGGAGAATCTGTATTTCTCATTATATTTAAAAACACTATGTGCAAACAAATACTGAAGATCAACATATATCTGCTCTGAGTTCATAGGGCCAAGTAAAACATCATTCTTCTTGATGTTTCCTCAGAAATATGTTTTTGCCCTTGGGGAGACAAGATTTCCAAAGGAAACAAAGGTAAAAATCCTGACGTTTATTCTCATACAGTGTTTACTTCTCTGGTTGGAGGTGCTTGTCAAGAGAACTTTATTCCTCAAAGGAAATAAAGCATATTTAATTCCTATCAAGTTGAACACAAAAGCTTGGGCATATGGAAAGAACACTGCAGAATAATGTAAGAAATGCACCTGCTTCCTGGTCTCACTTGCTTTACCATTTTCAATGACTCACCCAGGGGAAAATAAAATGCCAATAATAAGATGAAACTTTATTATGCAAGAGAAAATAATGCAAAATAAGACATGATCTCCCTCCTTTAAAAGATATTTATAAAAGGCAAAACAAAAATGTAGAATACGGGTTTTGGAGATGTCAGGGAGATAAAATATAAGATAGATGCATTAATTATGAGCAGGCATGTTTACTAGCCTGCAGCTCTAACAAATGTTTACCTGCATGCTACGTCTTTATGTCCGTTCTTCTATTTTAGAAGTTTATATTTGAAGGAATCTCAGAAAAATGACCAATAAAATGATTTTTATAGCTATTGATGAAAGGAAATTGCTGGTGGTACATAAATTAGGCCTGTGCCCCATAATTCATTAATTAATTTCATAAGTTTGTTTGTCAGTGGTGGTTTGAGTGTGCCTTATTCAAGTATGAGTTAAACTTTTCAGGATCTTGCTGGACTAATTTATTTAGTCTTCATATATTTTTGAGAGCCAATATTAGCTGTGTACTTAGTTAGCTCCTAGGTTCAAGAGATTCTTCCACCTCAGCCTCCCAAGTAGCTGGGACTACAGGTGTGCACCACCACACCTGGCTATGTTTTGTATTTTTTGGTAGAGGCAGGGTTTCATTATGTTTCCCAGGCTGGTTTCCCAGCTAGCTTCTAGAATAATGAATAAGAAAAAAGCAAAACAAACCAGACCTCAAGCCAATGATATAAAATCAGATATTAGAGAAAATAGCTAGAATATAAGAAATTGAAGCCACACTGTTTTATACAGTGCTGTGGAAACATAAGGGAAAAGGGCTGAAACCTCACAAGACAAATTAGGTTTTTCTGCCTCCCTGAGTATCCTGTTGTGGGTTAAAATGTGGCAAAATCAAGAGTGTTCAGATAAGAAAAGTAAAATTGTATGAAATAGGAAAAACTGTCAGAACACTTTTTCAGCATATGAACACTGAAAGGGCATTCAACATAGAGTCTGTATTTGATAGCCAAAGTTAAAATGTTACTTTATATTTTCAACAAATAATATCAAACCATTTATAATTATGATATCAAGGTTAATTATGCTGTGCTTCACAGGAAGGACAGCTGTTCAATCAAAATGATGTATGTTGATATTTATAATTGATAACTCCTGAATGTGATCTTGATTACAGAATGGCTTCTAGGTGAGTTTAATTTACAAACACTAGCCCCATAGTTCAATCTTGTTACTTTTTGGAATACTAGGCATTTTATAGGAAGTATGAGAGAAAAATACAATAACATGTGGCACTTTACTTCTAGTCAGGCCCACAGGAAGTCCCAAGGTAAAAGATTGTCATAAGTTGATATTCTTTCTCAGACACAATAGCTGTGATAACGTCTAGGTGCCTTGGCTCTGCTGATCTTCCCTTGTTTGTTACTTGGATCATTTACATGCAGAAAATGCCAAGGATTCCTGGTGGCTCTTAAACCATCCTTAACAAAGGCAGGTGTACTCTACAGCGGGGGTCCCCTACCCCTGGTTAGGAAGCAGGCAGCACAGCAGGAGGTAGCCGCAGGCAAGCGAGACATCACCTGTATTTCTTTTTTTTCTTTCTCTTTTTCTTTTTTTTCTTTTCTTTCTTTTCTTTGTTCGTTTTTTTTTTTTGTTTTTTTTTTTTGAGGAAGGGTCTCAAACTGTTGCCCAGGCTGGAGTGCAGTGGCAGGATCTCAGCTCATTGCAACCTCTGCCTCCTGGGTTCAAGAGATTCTTCCACCTCGGCCTCCCAAGTAGCTGGGACTACAGGTGTGCACCACCATACCTGGCTATTTTTTGTATTTTTTGGTAAAGACAGGGTTTCACTGTGTTTCCCAGGCTAGTCTTGAACTCCTGGGCTCAAGCAATCCACCCAACTCAGCCTCCCAAAGTGCTGGGATTACAGGAATGGGTTACAGCACCTGGCCAAAGTTTCATCTATATTTACAGTGGCTCCCCATTGCTTGCATTACTGCCTGAGCTCTGCCTCCTGTCAGACGAGCAGGGACTTTAGATTCTTATAGGAGCACAAACCCTGTTGTGAACTGCACGTGTGAGGAATCTAGGTTGTACGCTCCCTATGAGAATCTAATTCCTGATGATCTGTCACTGTCTTCCATCGCGTCCAGATGGGACTGTCTAGTTGCAGGAAAACAACTCAGGGCTCCTACTCATTCTACATTATGATGAGTTGTATAATTACTTCATTATATATTACAGTGTAGTAATAATAGAAATAAAGTGCATAATAAATGTAATGTGCTTGAATCATCCTGAAACCATCCTTCCACCCCAGTCCATGGAAAAATTGTCTTCCATGAAATCAATCTCTGGATCCAAAAAGGTTGGGAACCACTGCTTTACAGCATCAACATCCCTTGACTGACAGTGGCTTTTCTAAGGAATCCTGTGATTCAGAGTAAGGCTAGCTCATCATGTGACTTTGACTCAGAGCCATCACAATAAAGATGGAATTTCTTAATAACTTACTTCTTCCTAATATCTAATTAGAGCAGAGAGAGGCATGGCTCCATGACTTAAATTTAAGAAAAAACATTTTCATAATACTAGAAATTTAAAGGTTTCAATATTTAAATTATTCTGCCAGTACAATATTACCTTACACAAGAGTGTATGTTATACTATTTTAACATCTTAATGTCATTATGTTATTTCACTATGCTTTAAAAGGCAAAATGGTCATATTTGTTGAGAAAATATAAAAAAAGTAGGCTTTAAGATTGTCAACTGAAAGTTAGGTCATCACAATGAAAACTTTAACAATATTCACAAACTTATTTGATATGGATTAATATTTAGTTATAAGCTGTTTCTAAAATGTATGTGTTTTTTTTTTCGTTTTAGGAATGAATAATAAGTGTTAACATTTAATAAAACGAACAGTGGCTGCTACTGGATGGCCAGTTAAGTAGCATAATTTTTACAAAGGTAGTTTCAGAAAAGGACATTAATAGGACTGATAGCAGAAATGCAGAACTCCAAAAGCTTTAAAGGCATCAAAAATACTAAAATTTTCCAAGAAGAGCAGTTAAGAAAATTTGTAACCTAGTACTACTATTAATGTTAGATGCCTTTATATACCTAAGATGTTTTGATATTTTAAATATACAAAATGCAACATGATTTACTTGATTTACTGTTAATATTATTATCATGTTGTGTGTGTTTAAGATAAGAGATATTAGAAAAATATCTAAGTGATTTTTTTCTTTCAGGTGTAAACTAAAAATATCATTGGGTGCGTATGTGTGTGTGCATGTGATTGTGTCTTATCTTCCCTTTGTGTATGAATTTTGTTCCTGCTTTGCCTCTTCCTTTGGCTTCTGCATCTCTAACTAGAAATAAATTTCTTAGATCATGACATAAATTATTATGAGACTTCTTATTTGGTCTTTAATTTTTTTAAATTATTATTATAATTTGAACTCCTGCAGCTCATTTGCTTGGTGAGGTTTTTGCAAAGATGAGCATCATCACACTTGGTAAAAATCACAATGATTAAAAGTTGATGTGTTCCAAAAGCAATAGAAATATATGTTACTTGTCTTTGTTATTATTGATGTTGCTAAAATTGGAATTAGAGGTATAATAATTATTCAAAGAGATGCCACTTCTGTGTGGATAAAATTTGTCTTGCAAAAGTATTGCTCTTAGATAAAATAATTCTAAACTATGCATAAAAGTGTCTTCCGGAATCTTCTATATTTCATTACTTTTATTACTTTTATTCATTTCTAAAATGAAGATCAGCTATGTGTTTTATGTTTATGATGCTTTAGTTTATCAAGCATAATATAAATTCGAAATGTTTACTAATAATATTAACATGGACCTTGCAAAGATGAAGATAGTTTAGCTAATACATTGCTGTAACACTATCAGTCAGTTTTATGTTGCAATGAAATGATCTTTCTGGTATGTTGCCTGGGAAGTGAACTCTCTTTTAAATCATCTCAATTTAGATTTCCACCCCACTCCTTCTCTTTGAAATGCATTTTATATCAGCAACAAATAAACAGCAATGATCTGTGCTTTTGTTGTTCATGCAAATTTTATATGTGACACAGAGAAGAAACAATTCTAATGATTCCTCACAATATATTCATAGAGATACAAATACCAACAACATTTTTTAACCTGTAGTAGTGGCTCACAGAGAAATCACTGGGAGAGTAAAGGTTAGCTCGAAAAAGCAAACAAACAAAAAAAAGAAAGCTGAACTGTAATGGAGCAAATAACTTTACACTAGTGGTAGGAAGAAAAAAGGAAAAGAATACTTGCTGCGCATTTATTGTGTGACAGACAGATTCACAAATATCAGTGTTAAGAGGTCTGAAATGGAGGAAAGAGGAAGTCTGGTAAAAGATAATCATTTAGGTGACAAATAAAAGCCCTATAACTGTGGAAAATACAGTTACAGCACTTTAAAAGTGTAAAAAATAATAAACATATAAAATCAGAATTTTGGAGGAAGGGAAGTAAAAGAAAGTATCAATACACATATTGTCTGTTCTTTTATAGCAGGAAGTTAATATTGGAATTATTGGAAATAGTGATAATACTGGAAATGTTGGAAACATTTGGTGAAAAGATAAACTACAATGATTCCAATCTTTGAGATATTTCAGGACCCTATCTACTCTCATTATTTTATTATTTTATTTTTATTTATTTATTTATTTATTTTGAGAGTCTCGCTCTGTCGCCCAGACTGGAGTCTTGGCTCACTGCAGCCTCCGCCTCTTAGGTTCCAGCAATTCTCCTGCCTCAGCCTCCCGAGTAGCTGACATTACAGGCACATGCCACCACGCCTGGCTAATTTTTTTATTTTTAGTAAAGACAGGGTTTAGCCATGTAGGCCAGGCTGTTCTCGAACTCCTGACCTCAGGAGTCCGCCCACCTCAGCCTCCCAAAGTGCTGGGATTACAGGCATGAGCCACCACACTTGGCCTCTACCCTCATTATTGATGGTAGCAGTGGGCTGTGCGGAGTGGCCAACACACCAGCTGTAGTGGGGAAATGGGGAAGTGTAGCCGGTGGTGGCAGAAGCGGCTGCAGGAGGAGCAGTGGCAGCCGTGGGTCCCCATGTGCCCTGCATCGTCTGTGCCCCATGTCCGAGAGAGAGAGAGAGAGAGAGAGAGAGAGCTCTCACCCCTCACCACTCCACGCCTGGCTTGCATGGCAGGCATGGGATCCAGGCCAGTGGTGCAAGCCAAGAGCAGCCTTCCAGGCCAAGTGGGTGGAAAGAAATCAGTGGACAGAGCAAAACTCGAGCAAAGGCCCAACTGGCCACAGAGATTTTTGGCCGGGGAAATGACACCTCAAGGATCCCGTAACATGATTAGCTCAGAGCAATTACTGTCAAAGAATAATTATCTCTTAAAAAACTATTGAATTTAAGTTCTGCAATATTTTCTCTTCCATTTTAGGTTCATTTTCTCCTCTTACGTTCATGTAAAACTTGATATTAACTAAAACTATCATAAATATTTAAATATGTTTTATTTATCTACCAATCTTTGTACAGCTATCTGTCCATTGGTAAAAATATCTGGAATGCTGTTGAACAAATGTTAATAATTTCTATGGTTTATATTTCTCCTTCACATTTTTAAAGTAATATTATTACTAACAACAATGAATCCATTGCCCTATTTATTTATTATTATTATTAACCACATTTACATCTTATTGAATACCATACTGACAACACTAAGCTAAACTTTAAAATAAGGTGAGATTAAATTTAGTATTAGGTTAATTAGATTCCAATGGCCTCAAACACTTTACATTTCAAAGCAAATTTAATTTCTCATTTATCACTAAGGAATCCAGGATAATAAAGCATATGATTGCTTAAAATTTCAATCATTCAAATAAACATAATTAATAAAATCATGAAAATTAACAGAGGCAAGAAATCAAGCTGAAATACAAATATTGTAGTTTTAAAATTCAGAAAAATTAATAGAATAAATATTACCATTTATTCTGTTTTCTTTCTCCAAAGATGTACCAACCAGTGTCACTTTCTGAAGCATCATTCTCGTGTGTGTGTGTGTGTGTGTGTGTGTGTGTGTGTGTGTGTTCGAAAATAATTATTCTTCCAACCCAAATGTCCAACAATGATAGACTGGATTAAGAAAATGTGGCACGTATACACCATGGAATACTATGCAGCCATAAAAAAGGATGAGTTCACGTCCTTTGTAGGGACATGGATGAAACTGGAAATCATCATTCTCAGTAAACTATCGCAAGAACAAAAAACCAAACACCGCATATTCTCACTCATAGGTGGGAATTGAACAATGAGATCACATGGACACAGGAAGGGGAATATCACACTCTGGGGACTGTTGTGGGGTGGGGGGAGGGGGAGGGGGGAGGGATAGCATTAGGAGATATACCTAATGCTAGATGACGAGTTAGTGGGTGCAGCACACCAGCATGGCACATGTATACATATGTAACTAATCTGCACAATGTGCACATGTATCCTAAAACTTAAAGTATAATAATAATAAATAAATAAATAAAAATAATTATTCTAAGCTGCTTTCATAGTGATAGTGACAAGATAAAATTTTAAAAAATGTATATTTTTATTTTTATTACCTGCTACCACTTTAACCACAAATAGTTCATTGCCCCCAAGGAATATGATATGCTTTCTTCTGTTGTTAATATTTTATGGCACAAAATGTAACATACAATAATAAAACCATTTTTTTTGATGTGTTTTCAATGTGCCTAACTCCTTTGGTTAGGTGTAATGAGACTACCTTTGCACTTTCTCCAGAAGCTACTTTCAGCATCCTGATATAAGAAAAGATCTCAATAAACAGTCAACTGAGAGCATACAAGGGCTTTAAATGCTTGGAGCAAGATGTTTTTTGTTGCTTAGCACCCCTCTCTGCTTCTTCAACTTGATGTCATTCTGAGCATTTTCAGACTACTAGAAAGTTTCAACATGCTGTGGTAGAATGTGGATTTCAGAGGCCTTAATGGAAATCACAAGAGATGATCCCTGAAAATGTAGTTTAAGTATCAAAGTATTGTAGGATAATATTTAAGAACTACTGATAGCTGAATGAGAAAACCTACACCAAGCTAGGAAAGAAGGGTAGGAAAGACTATATGACTAAACAAACATTAGAAAAATGCTTTGTCCTAATAATATAAAAAAATGAAAAAATCACACTAAGATACAATGAGAACAAAGAAACAAGAAATGAGAGAAACTTTCTAGCAATATGCTTGAGTACTTAATGTATATTCAACGAATACTTCTCCAAACACTTTTAACTTACATTATTTCACTTAATTTAATACTTTTTAGGTGCTTCCAAATTGGGAGAAGTTCAGCAAAAAGTACTGACTGACTGATAGGATGAAGCCTGCAGAGCAGATTCACAAGGAGTTATCTAGAAATGACTTGGAAACTGGATCTTGCCTGTGTGATTCATACCTCCCTGTTCATCTTCATAATCTTGCCCCCACATGCCAACTCACTACTTTTTCTGAGACACAATAGCTCTTCTTTATTCTGTTCTCTGGTTTTTTTGAATGTTTAAATATTATTTACTATTATCTTAGATAATTTTTTTCTTCTTCTCATAAGTGTTTGGCCTATGAGCTTTTGGCATCCAGAGGCCTGACATATGTAAGTGGAATATAAGTGATATCCACAAAGTGGCTGCATGGAAAGGTATATACACTGTTGACCAAGTGGCTACAATCTGATCATTTAATGGACAATAGGGACAGGGAATTACTAGGAAGGCCATAAGTACCACGGGCCTGCCCTAAGGAGCAATATTCTTTGATTTATTCAGGTTTTTTTAATGAGAAAGATTTAAAATGATTGCAAGAATTTTATACTTGTTCTACTTCTTAGAAAAGTAGATGTCCTTATTTCTGTCTGTAAGAGAAGAAATGAGGAGTGTGGGCTGTCAGAGGGAACTTTTTCAAGGTAATAAAAATTTTAAGTGCGAAAGCTCTGCTTTCTATCAAGGTTTTCAGACCTACCCTCATTTGATGACCTAATGCTATTTCATTATATCTTAACCTATACTTTAACTACTTGGTTCATTTTGACTAATAATATTATAAGCTCATTTCAAGCAAAGATAATGCCTTACACATCTTGCTTCTATTACACTGCCTATAGGGCAAAGAAAACGAGGTGGATTCCCAAAGAAAATCCATAAATGGTTGTTTTAATGAATTGGCAAAACTGAAGGATCTACACATAACCAAAGCACTCCAAAAGCAAACTCATAATCAGTTATTATTGTCTTCTGTTTTATTTTAAAACCTCCCTTATAGTAACAATAAAAAAGAAAAAAGACAAAAGAAAAGGAATGCTACATTTGAGCCAGACCGGAGGAAGTAAAGTTAAATGAGTTAAAAATTAGAACGGAATTTTATATGTTCAAATCTGTTTATCCTAGTAACCAATAGCCTCTGATAAAGATGGCATTAATTAGATGAGGATATAAGTTATTTTTGAAATATTAAGCTTAGAGAATCAAGAAATTTAATATGAAGAATTATTGATAAAGTTGATCAGCACAATTACTTATATTTAAATCATTTCCTCAACTAACCATAAGGTTCAGAAAGTAATGACACGTTTTAGCTAAATTTCAATGCAAGATAAAAAAAAAAAAAGAAGATAGAATTTGTCATCGAAAATCAATTGGCAACAGCTAGATGAACACCAGCAATCCTGTATTGGGGAGTAATAAACAAGGCTGTATAAAAATATGAATCATGTTAGATTAGTCTAATTTCTTTATATGTGATAGTGACTTAGGAGATGAAGGTGAAGCAATAGATTAAATATATCTTGACGTTAACAAGATTTTCAGTGCTGTTCCATTTAACACCATCAATCACTAACAAATAAGGAAAAAATGTGGCCAAGTCTGTATTTATTAGATGGGTAGGCAGATATTTGAAAAGCCTTCGACATAATGTCAATGGTAGTAGTGGTGGGACATGGGGTCACACCAGTCCCTACCCCATTCTGTGATGGCCTAACACGAAGCAGCACTCACTTAATTTAAATCAGTTTATTTGTCAATAGATCATATTTTCCTTATGTTGACAGAAGATACCAGACATTTTTGCTTCAATATGACTTTAGGAATTTAAGAAAAATAGATTTTTTCCTTAATTTCCTCAGCTATAAAATGAGGATATTACTAGAACCTACTCAAATACTTTTAATAATTAAATGACAATCTAGAATGCTTGTCACAATGTTTGGCATATAGTAAAACTGCAATCAATGATACAATTTACAATCAATATTACTATGATTTCCATGAGTATATAGCTTGGATGTTTTGAAACATGCAAGTTATTTTCTAGATATTGTATGGCATATTCTCACGCTTCATTCACTGGCCACCTGATGTGAGACGGTTTGATTTTATATAGTCTGGCAAATTCAGAGAGTGGAAAAACCTCAGCATAAATATATTACAAATAATAGCTCAGATTAAATTTATGAATTTAAAATAAATTATCCTTGCATATTTAAGCAAAATTAAAATGTAGCAAAGAATCACTGAGAATTACAATTTTACAAAGAATTACTAAGAAAATTATGTATAGCTACTGGCTCCCATTTCTGAGAAGGTTGAACAGATCTATCTCTTCCTCCATTTATCAAAATTGTTCCGCAAAGTTTTGTTTCTAGATATTCATGCATCCTATCAATATTTAGTTTAATTTTCTTTAGGTAACCTGATAATTTACTAGCCCACACTCAAGGAATATTTTTCCAGCTTAAGCTCAATTTCAACTCTAATATTCCTTTGCAGATTCCCATAATACAATGAAATTATTCACGGGAGTAAAAATATTTAATATAGATTTATTTTTGTGGACATAATGCCCATTTTATTTGTTTTCCTATATAGATTCAAGTCAAAATGGATATAAGTTTAAATGTGTTTATAGATTCAGGAAAATAGAATATACAAAATTACTTTCTAAATTCTCTCCAATGAATTTGTGTCTTAATTTGGGCTGCCATAACAAAGTACTGTAGACTTGGTGGCTTATAAATAATAGAAATTTATTTCTCACAGTTGTGGAGGCTGGATGTTCAAGATCAAGGTGCCAGCAGATTTCATGTTCATCGAGGTCCTCTTTCTCATATATAGCCATCTTCTCACTCTAACCTCACATGGCAGAAGGGCTGAGGAGTCTTTCTTGGATCACTTTTATAAGGGCACTAGTCTGATTTGGAGGGCTACACTCCCATGACCTTATCATCTCCCAGAGGCTCCATCTCCTAATACCATCACCTCAGGGGTTAGGATTTCAACAAATGAAATTTTGGCAGGACACAAACATTCAGACCTTAGCATTTACTAAGCCAGTTCTTTCCACTGAAGTTCTTTAAGTAATGCATCCCTGTTTCTGCAAAGAAATCCCTAATCAAGGATAAGAAACCAAGGATTTATCTCTATATATGGGTATGGGTTCAGCTGCCTTATAATTTGAGACCCTACGTAAGTCTACTCCAACTCCTAAAATGAAATCCTCTTCCTGGCTAGACCAAATTCTATCTTCAAATTTCTTCCACTCTTTATGAGACTCTGTCAGCAAGAAATGCAGTTACTTGCAGTAACAGCTTGAATTTTCAGAAACTTTCTCAACCTCAAAGCAAATATCTTACCTTCATGAAAGCAAGGCCCATATAGTGGCATGAAGGATATTTAGAGGTATAAAGGGTAAGAAAATGCTATGTCAGCAGATGTAAATGTTATTGCCACTTGTTCAGGTAGGGCTTAATTCCCAGTCCATTGCATATATTCTTGGTCTGCTGAGCCATGATGGACTATGTTTGGCTTTGGAGAGAATATTAATGCAAGTGAAGATAAAAATACTATGAATGATAATATTATGACTTATTATATTTTAATACTATTAGTATTCCATTATGGAATCAGAGCAATTTGAAAAGTTATTGAAGAATTATATACAAGAATTTTTGATACTTGGTAAAAATCTCCTACCAACAAAAATCAGTCATCACATTGATTGAAAAAAGCAAGTCACCTAGTCACCTTTTTTCATCACATTGATTGAAAAAAGCAAGTAAAAAGGCATGTGATTTCACCATGAGGACATAGCAAGGATGTAGATGCAAAATTTCCAAACAAGAGAGTGAAGAATTGACACCAATAATTCAACTTCCTACATAAGATTTGGTGACACCAAAGCTAACCAAAAGGTAAAAAAAGGCATTGAAAGATTCCACTTGGCATCATCTGTAGGGTTCTAGAATCACTTCCTCACCAGCATTCTTGCTGGTTATCCATATCTGCTCTCCCTTAATGAGACTCCAGCTGTAAACCTCCTGCCCACCACAGATGTTTTATAGTTGGATTAGTAAACTGCATAAATTAATTATTACTCAAGTGTTAAGCACCTACTGAAACTCCTAATGGCTTGCTTAAGGATATTTGCACTTTACCCTACATACTGAATTGTTTACACTAAGTAAAGTGAGCTGAAAACAATTTTGGACTATTTACTTATAGTTTTGAAAAGTAATTAGTACCAGAGTACGTTTCTAGTTATCTTCTATTCAGGATAAATTTAATGAATTTCATTAACATCTACAATGGGTCATGTATTTACTTACAATTCCTGGTCAGCCACCTGTGTCTTCACCTTATGCTTTCTCATTGATATGAATTTGTTACAGTAACCAAGTTACAGTCAATAGCAGGGATTTTGCCAGCCCCAACATAATGATGTTGCCAAAAATGGCAATCACTAAAATATAAGCTTGAATACTAGATAGGTTTATTTATTTTTTTCAGAAGATAATCCAGAGAAAAAGATGTAATTTTTTGAACATACTGTTATATGACTGTGAATAATATAAAATAACTGGATTTTAATGCTAGAAATGACTTTAGAAATCAGTAGTTCCAAATCTCTTATTATTCAGATGAGTAAAAATAGTAAAGTTACTTGCCCAAACCTCTTTATAAATGGCAGAGGTAGGCTTGACTCCATATCATGTCCTCTTTCCATTAAGCCATGCTTATTACTCATAGGTATGACGGATAATCAGTAAAAGGTAATTCATTTATGGATAATTGCTATCTTTACCATGGATGATCAACCTGGGTAATTTTCAGGCAGATATTCTCCATCCTGACTCCCCAGTGCAGCACCTGGTGGATAGTAATCCACTTCACAATTCTCACAGAGCCATTGTCAGGAACAGCTAATGATTGTAAAGCATTTTAGAAAAATATGCCATATAAATGCTTCATAACCAATCTTGTATTCCTAGGGGATCTTTAATGTTTCGACCTAATAAGTATAATCCTTTAGCTAGTCATTCCACGGCTACACTAAGGATGAAGCATTTGTACTGGACGTAAGCAGTTTTTCCATTCTATAAGAAAAGTACTTACTGCATATTTATATTATGTTTGTTTGTTACTTGTCAAAATTCTAAGGGAATTTCATCTTTAGGTTGAATAGTTGCTATTTAACTTGAAAGATAAATACTCACTATTGCATTTTGAAAACAAGCAGAATGAGAATTCACAAAATGGATATTTATTCAACTGTCCAGGGAGCTATTCATAGAAATGGAAAGCATAATGCAAGGTTTGATGCTCTAGGTATATTTCAGCCAGCAGAGTTTTATTACAATAAAATCTTTTTCAAAAATCAGAATATGGTAGTAGAAATGAACTATAAATGATTGGTATCATCCCCAAAGCACTATCCATAGTGGCCCTACTCTGCTATTTTGTAAGGCCAAAAGAAGCAGCTTAGAATTATATAGATTTTTGTTCACCTTTAACCCCTTTTAGTAGGAGCTGTGCCAGGTCTGCTGGCTGAAACATTAGCCAAATGAACCTGCTGGCAGTTTGTCTATTTCTTCTCATTACCCTAATATGGAAAATTAACTAGGAAGCATGCCTTCTCTCCCGTTAGACTAGTGGCACATTTATAAGGACATCATGGGGACTGTTCCTTTTATTCTGTTCCCGGATTCTCTTCTAGGTAGTTGCAGCTCTCTAACCACTTGTAATTTCTCTTCATTATCCTGCAATATGAGGCTATGGAGAGTCTTGTTGCAAGTGGCTATAGACATGGCTGTCACTTTGTCCATTATTAGGTCAGTGGTGTGAGTTTTGAGAAAAAATGTAATGAACATAATAGTAGTTGGTATTAGAGATCAAAGTCACTAAATTATCACAAAGAATCCAGAGAGAGGAGAGATCATTGCCCTTGTTTTCACAGATACATGAACAGATACTGAATGACTTTTGCAAGGTCAAGAAAATCGGCAGTATGTAGAGAGATTAAACAACTTAAGTCCTTACAGCAGCAAAGTTTGTAAGGATAAAAGTTGCAAGTCCTGTTCTTTCTCCCTTTTCCTTTACAAATCCCCCCAGGAAGAATGTGAACTGATTTATCTCCCCCTTTAACTTAAAGTTACATTTTTAATATTGACCACCTTATTTCCTCTTTATAGGCTGCTACTTTTTTTAAAAAAAATGAGAAAATATGCTTTTCCTTGAGCAACTTTCCTGGAAAGAGAGGATTTTACCTCCCACCTTTGTTTTAAAAATCTGCTAGAAAAAAAGTGACTTAGACTTAGACAATACTTTTTTTTTTTCTATTTCCTTTGTTCTGGAATAAATGCATTTAATCTTTAACAGAAAGTATTTCATATGTTCTCCATAAGCTTGGACCACATATGTGGATGATAGCAAAGATGGGAGAGACTTCAAGCCTCTGCACCTCATCCTTGCTCATGATTTCCATGATATTTCTATGGGTACAGTATGCAGTGATGATAGTAATGAACCTTCAAATCACCAATTGACTTTGCCAGCCTGGATGCCAAACCCACTTCATAGGGCCTTGCTTCTGCTGTCTGGCACACTCTCCACCTACCAACTGGCTTGGCTCACTCACTCATCGCCTTCAAGTCTTTTCTCATTCCTCACCTGCTGGATGACGTTTGTCCTGACTGCCTTATTTAACACTGCAATGTCACCCTGCCTTCCCCCTACCAGGCCTCTTTACCCCACTACCCCATCATCATGCCCTAGAATTTATGACGTTCTAACATGGTGTATTATTTGCTTATTTATCTATCCTGTTTATATTTTATCCTCATTTCCTGGCCCTGGAATTTAGTTCTATGAGGGTCGAGTTCCTTGTTTTGTTTGCTTATACATCCAAAAAATCTGGCCAGTTTCTGGAACATAGCTGGTTCTCAATGAATATTTGCTAAAGGAAGAATGAATTTGGGTCTGACTCTGTCACTATACTGTGATTTTCAGTGTGATTTTTAACCTTTCTGGTTTGAAATCTCCTCAGATGTAAAATGTAATTACCTACCTAAGACTGCTATTACATAAGAAAATCTGCAAAATAGTGCTTAAATTTTATATATTTATTTTTGTCATTTATAATTGAATATGTAAGATTTAAATAGCTCAGGAACAAAAAGGTGTGCAGTGGAAATTTTTCCTTCCACTCGTATGAGAGACATACAAACACATTTTTATCTCTTACTTCTAGAGCTAATTTACTTTAATAGATGAGGAAATATACCTAAGTAATATTTTTGTACATGTAAAACTGAGCATTTTATACACCCAGGCTTGAACTTCTTGATGTTATTTTTAAATTTTGCACTTAACAATATATCTTAGAGATGACTTCTTAAAGCTTTTTAAAGAGCATCTTTATTATGAAATAATACATAAAAAATAATATAACATAAATAAAACATTAAGATTAATAAAACATATACCCAAGACTTACCACACAGAGTAAGAAATGGAATATTATTGATATAATTAAAATCCTCTGAGTATCTTTCTTTGAATGCAAATCTCACCAGGCATTCCTCCCTCTCCTCCAGGAGGGGAAATCAAAGACTCCCCTAAATTTTATGTTTCTATTTCCCTGCTTTTTTGCATAGTTCTATTATGCTTGCATAATCCTTAAAACTATGTTGATGTTTTTGAACTTTATGTGAAATTATATAGGATATATACTCATCTTTGATTTGCTTTTTTAATGCATCATTTTATTTCTGAGGTTCATTAAAGTTTATGAATGTGGTGTTATTTCATTCATTGGTCTGCTGCATGATATTCCATTGTGAAACCCAATTTGTTTATCTGTTCTCCTGGTTGATGGATGCTTAGATTGTTTCCAGAATTCTGCTGCTCAAGCATAGCTACAGTTTTCCCTCATGTGAATCCTTCTTAGTGCACAGATTACAGACTTTTCTCTGGACAACATACCTAAGAAGAGAAGTGCTGGGATTTTGGGATATGCATGGCTATGGTTTTACTAGGCAATACCTGTTTATCAACGGTGTTATAAAAATTTACATATTCTGGAGCAGTAGCCAGGAATTCTACATTAGTGCATGATCTCCCAAAACACGGTGATCTTTTCATTTTTGCCAGCGCGGTTTTCATTAAATGGAATGGCGGTGTCGTGTTAGTATGGATTTCCTGAATCCTAATAATGTTTTATGCATTTTCATTTTTATTGGTCAGTTCTGTGACCTCTTTTGTGAAATACCTACTCATGCATTTTGCTCATTCTCTACTGAGCTGTGTCTTTCTTTAAAAATAGAGGAGAATTTGCTTTTATTTTTTTTAAATATTCTGTAAGGATTCACTCTTTTTTCAGTTGTTTGGATCTTATGTTTCCTCTCCCAGCTAGTGACTTTTATTTTCCATTTTTTGAGGTACCTCTGGCATTTAGGATAACTTTATTTGAAATTAGCCCTTTTTGTTTTAGAGTGTGTATGCCTTGTTAAAAATTCTGTATGGACCCAAACTTATAATTGTATCATATTTTTGGGGTAACCTCTTGCTCCTCCTTGGAATTATTATAGTTTACGTTAGAAGCATTCTAATTTGTTCTCAGTGTCATGTATCACTGAATCTATTACATATCGCACTTTGAAATATACATAGGTATTTATATATTATATGATACATATTTATATAAAATATTATATTTAACTTCTAGGCTCTCAAATGTATTCCTCTTCTCTAAAAAGGACTATATTTCCTCCATAAAAATTCATATATGTTTTGCTTATCAATATAAATTTAGAAGTAGCAAAAAAATGGAGTTTTGATAGAAATTACACTGACTAAATATAACAGTCTGGAGGAAACCAATACACTTTTTGCATAGATGACATCTATTTCTTTACCATGATATAACTTTATTTTTAAAAATCTTATCACATAAAGTGGTGAGTTAATAACTATTAGATCTCCAGTAGAATGATTAGTAGAAACAAAGATAATTGCATGCTTGTCTTCCCCCTGATTTTAAAGATAATGCTTCTAACATTTTCATTAAATATTGTTTTGCCATAGGTCTTGATAAATATTTTTCAGACAAAGGTAGTGCTGTTCTATTCTTGGTTGCTGCTATATTTTTATCAAGAATTAGTGTTGTTTTATCAAAAAATATTTTTTACATCATTAATATTATTAATTTGGCTTTTTTGGCTATCAGAATTTCTAAAATAACCCTGCTTTGCACTCACTAGACATGGTCATATATATTGTATTTCTAATTCATTGATGTATTTGATTTTATCTATATTCTCATTTAAAAAAATCAGAGATTCTTAGGGCGTGGGGGCTCACACATGTAATCCTAGCACTTTGGGAGACCGAGGCCGATGGATCATTTGAGGTGAGGAGTTCAAAACCAGCCTACAACCCCCTATGTACTAAAATACAAAAATGAGCTGGGCTTGGTGGCACAGGCCTGTAATCCCAGCTACTCTGGAGACAGGCGAGAGAATCGCATGAACCCAGGAGACGGAGATTGAAGTGAGAGGAGATTGTGTCACTGCACTCCAGTCTGGGTGACAAAGGGAGACTCTGTCTCAAAAATAATAATAATAATTATCAGAGATTCTTGTAAAATTTATTTTTTGTTTATTTGTTGAATTTTTGAGACAGTCTGGCTCTGTAGCCTAGACTGGAGTGCAGGAGCGTTATCTCAGCTCACTTCAACCTCTGCCTCCAGGGTTCAAGCAATTCTCCTGCCTCAGCCTCCCGAGTAGCTGGATTACAGGCACCTGCCATCACTCCTAGCTAATTTTTGTGTTTTTAGTAGAGATGGGGTTTCACCATGTTGGCCAGGCTGGTCTTGAACTCCTGACCTCAGATGATACACCCACTTCGGCCTCCCAAAGTGCTAGGATTACAGGCGTGAGCCACCGCGCCAGGCCTCTTGTAAACTTTAATGTATTTAAAGCAACATATCTTTTCCAGATCAATATTGGTGTGCTATTATGATTTTGAAAACTTAAATATATTGTCTTAATTATTAATTTGAATGTAGTATGTATACTTGTGCATAAATGTGAATGAATGTGAATAGGCCTGTATAATACTATGACTAGATACCAGAAATATCTTTATCAGTATTTAGTTCTATTAATTTAGACAATCATTGTTGATGATTATGTTTCAGGAAGCAGCATGGGTTTTAAAAGAAATACCAAAGTTTTATGTTCAGAATTAGATATCCATGAGTTTAAATACATTTGTGATAAATATTTTTCAGGAAGTTACTCAACCTCTTGATATGTCTTTTGTTAAATGGAGTTGGTGATTCCTTTATGAAATGAGTATTTTGAGGGTTAAATGATATGTTTGAATTTAATAAATAGTGTTATCTTTTGGAGTACCCTTAATTTCATCTGCGAGAGCAATAACTGGCATAAATAACTTTAAAATCTTGGCAGCAATTATGAATTGCATATGCAAATACTCAATTAATACAGACCAGCCCCATGGAGACATGTTTCAATTTAAAGTAGTTTGAGTTAAATTAGAGGAAAATTAGAGAGCTTCTAAATTATAAATTTTAAAAAGCAAACCCTTCACCCATCTCTTATATCAGAATTAATTCTTTTGAAAGTTCACTCAGGTCAAGTTTAATCAGATGCCATCTCCGATGCTTATATTATAACGGAAAGCAACCTTGTGATTTCAATATTCATGAAATTGCACCAATAGGGTATCCTAGTCCCAGGGTTGATATACCCAGTTGTGACTTTTTTCCTCTGCGCTACTGTGGTACATTGTATATAACCCTAAACATGGCACTTTGGTTGTGTTGTAATTATTTGCTTATATCCCTCATTCCCTCTCTCATCCATAAACTTCTTTGGCTGGGACTGTGTCTTATGTCTTTGTTTCGTGGTCTTCTGTGAAGTTCCCAAAGCTTATTGAATAATAATAGTAATAATAATAATAATATCTAATGCTTATATAGCATTTTGTCTGTGCCAAGTACTCTTTCAGAATGTCACATTATTGATTCATTGAAAAGTCACAACATCCCTATGATGTAGGTGTTATCAATATCCTGCTTTAGAGATGAATAACCAATGAGTGAAGGATTAACGTTCTTTCAATTTATTGTACCTTCCATTAGCACAAATGTGTAACTGTACAGCATCTCAGAAGATACATATGGCATCTATGTGGTTCTCTTGCCTAGGTGTTTAATAACTATTGAAAATAACAGTAGCAACACCTATGATTTTTTAACATGTGATGTGCTCCCAACCGTGGCTGTTTATGTTGTTTTAGCTCATTTAAACGCCCTCTTCATTCATATGCAAAGACCACCTATGTGTTCATAAAGAGCTAATGGGGGCCCTTGTCAGTTTCTCAAAAATTTATTCCCATCTACAGTTTACTGGCTTGTTGTAACTCTTTGATACCCTAACCCTCCCAAGTCCACTACCATCCCAGGCAAATCTACCCCACTCCATTCTTATTTGCTTAACATCCTTCTTACATACTAATCAAATTGCCTTCAATTTTATCAACCCCTAACTGTGTACTCTTTGACTTTATGGAAACTCCGTTCTCTATTATCATCCTTTACGTCCTGCACAGAACAGACCCATATCCAGGATTCACCTCATGTGAAAGGGAGGCAAAATACATACTTGAGAACAACCAGTGCCTGGGGTTCAACCTGTCACTTGCCCATGATGGGAAATGTGGTGGCATGAGCTGACACGGAAGCTCCATCTATGTCCTGACTTGTATACTTTGTTTTATTGTACAGGTACTGAGAGCTAGAACAGATCTTGGAATGACTAACTTTGTGATTCTGAATAACTAACTCTTGCCATTTTCTCTGTTGTACTTCCACTATAGTCATTCTTATCCCTGAAAAATGTTCTACATAGGCTTGAAAATTGCACTATGTTCTTTTTAAATTGGTCTGTGAGATACTGAATATACAAACGAACAATGGTCAGATGATATATGATATGATATATGATAATAGAACTCCACCTACAACCTCTGCAGCAGTAAGCCCCAAACAGTCAAAACTTGGTCAACAAGTGCTAGATTCCTCATTTTTTTTTTTCGCCCTGTTTCCAACTTGGGACTAGCCAGAGAAAGGCAATTATATTCCCCGAACCAATCATATAAAATGTAACTTCTAGATAGCTTGTCTCCACCTTCCCTATGACAACAATTTCCAATCAGAGCATGACTGATACCTTCCTTCTCCTAACTATAAAGCTTTCCCACTCCTCTGCCTGCCTTTGAGTCTCCACCAGATGTAAATAATGGTGGCTGATGCCCTTGCAACAGCAAACTCTGAATAAATAGACTCTGCGTGTTCCCTTTTAGGTGGCCTTTATTTATTTCCACATCTTCATAAACAACCATTAAGCTGCATGTCTGTAGGTAAATTGGTGAGTTTTATTACTTGTTTTCAACCGAGAGAAAGTTATGGAAAACTGGATGTCTCATTACTTGAAGACTACACAGTCTTCCTTATGGCTCTGAGACATATAATTGCTAACCCTACCTGCCCTCAAGTACCCATTAACGTTACTCACAGACTTCTGAATTTGCCATAGTTGAAATTCCATTATTTCACTTATCTTTGCATCTTCATTCAGAGGCAAGGATTAAATGAACAGCCTCCATTTTCTGATAATGAATCCCTTAAAAAGATGAAGAAGATAAATTTATTTCTTCCTGCAGATGAAGATCTTTTAATGTTCTAAACCTATCCTTGCTAGTCTAACAGTCTTCTGTCACTGGGATATCTCAGCTCTTGTGTCTCCTGTCTCCAACTGTGGACATTTACAAAGTATTTACAGTGAGCTGAGAGGTAGTATTAGTGAGGTGAGATCCACTAGTTAAAACCCCAGACCGTGCAGCCATGCCACCTATGTATAAAACCCATCCTTTGGCCAGGGGCAATGGTTCACACCTTTAATTCCAGCACTTTAGGAGGCCGAGGCAGGACGATTCGCTTGAGCCTAGGAGTTCGAGACCAGCCTTAGCAACATAGCGAGACCCTATCTCTATAAAAAATTAAAAAGTTAGCCAGGTGTGGTTGTGTGCACCTGTGGTCTCAGCTACTTGTGCTGAGATGGGAGGAGCCCATCAGCATCAGATGCTGATGCTGAGGTGGGAGGAGCCTGAGAGGGTCCAGGCTGCAATGAGCCATGATAGCATCACTGTACTCCAGCTTGGGTGACAGAGTGAGATCCTGCCTCAAAATAAATAAATAAATAAATAAATAGACAAATAAATTAAACCCATCCTTGCTAGTTACTAGTTATTTCATATTTGGGAAATACATGAGTAAATCACTTATATTGTCTCTGCAGCCTCATCTTCAAAAATTATAATAATAATCATACCTAAAGAACAGGGTTATTGTGAGAATTAAAAGAATAAATTTATATGAAGATTCCAGAAGACAGCCTGCCAAAATAAGTTCTATATAAATGCTTATTACAACAGTAGTGATTTTTTTTTCTTGGCTGGCGTCAATTATACTAAATGGGACGAATGTCATCAAGCATCACAGTAGTTATGCAGGTACTATTTTGAAGTATCTGTCATCCCAGCTAGCATTGTCTGACTGCTGTTCTCTACAAAATTTGAGGCAAAAGAAGCATATTATCTTTGTGTGTTTGACCTCAATATTTATTATATGTGACCCCAAATGTTTATATCATGTAAGTGTTATTGGGCGGCAAAATCTTTTTTTTAAATGCCAGCACCCTGCTACACGCATGGAAATAGCTGCCTGTGGCTCATACAACATCATCATTTGCTAAGGGCATTGTCCTGCTGTGTAGAATTATCTAAGAAGGATCAATTTCCAGTGGTGAATACCACACTTCTATTTCGATGTAATTGATGTTGACACTGGCAAAGGAATCCAATTGCGTCTATATTCCATATTAGTTCAAAGACCAATAAGAGCATGTGATCAGTTAAAATTTCTGTTTGCCTTAACAGATAGATCTGCATTTAATTAGGTTAATCATTTTTAAACATGTAATAATGGATAGATAAAGAGAGGACAATCATATGTAGCACCATGCAGAATAGCAATTACACCTGCCATACCAACATGCCTAATTTCCTTTTGGGTCATGTTTTGATGTAGATCATAGTTCACCAGGATTCCACATCTTTGCTCCATTTTATTTTCTTAGGATGGTTCATTTGAACCAGAACTGCAAAATCAGTTCTTCTTTTAGGCTTTAACACAAAAACTTTTTTGTTTGTTTGTTTGCTTTGCCTCACAATCATTCTGCTCACATTTTTGTTTGCTTCACCTATTATTCTCCTTATCAATTTCATTCACTTTCATAGTTTGAAAACTCACATATATAAAAATCTTTAAAAATACAATATATATCTTCAATCCTGATCTCCAAACTTGAATATACAACTACCTGCTGGACATGTCTAATTAAGTAACCATGTCTAGTCATTTAAATAGATATCAAACTCAACGTGTTCAAAAGTGAGTGCATTTTCTCTGTCCTACCTGTAACTGCTCCTGTCTTCACACTCCCTTTATTGTACCCCCATCCAGGCAGCAATCAAGCCAGAAATTCAAGACCCACCCCAGACACCTTTCCAGTAGGCACTAGGTAAAATCCGGAACTTATTTTTGAAAATCATTTTAAAGCCTGCCCCAATCCTATCTATTCCACTTTTCCTTCCATTTCAGACACTCACAATCTTTGATCTGAACAGTTCCTAACTGCTTTCACTGCTTTAAGTCTAACCCTTGTTTTATCATTCTCTACTTTCCCAGTCAGAGCAACCTTTTTTTTTTCCTTGAACAAATGATCTGTTCAGGTATTTTCTGACTATCAAAAGGCCCATGTGACTCCCAAACTTCAAATCCTTTGTCTGTTCCCTTTGTCCTTTCCCTAGAGGATAACGTCTACTGCTCTACTGTGTTTAAAAAGCACTCTGTTATTTGGGCCTACCTAACTGCATGTGATACTCCACTGAGAGCATGCACTGGAAATGTCCCATTACATGAATCCCACATTAATGTACATGCCACAAATGCCACACTGAACATGATCCTCACCACTCTAATACATGAATTGATGCTATCCCATCTATGACTTCTCTTTCTGTATCTAGTTGTTAAAACTGCTAGACATAGTTGAGGCATTTTTTTCTCAAAGATTTTCCTCTTTCCCAAAATGGACATAGTGTTCCTCAGTAGAACACCTGCAATACTTTGGAGAAAAAAATACTAGTAATTTATAATTATTATAAGATTATTAATTAATTTATTAATTGTTATTATAAGATTATTATAAAATTACGATTTTAAAGTACTAATATAATAATTATTATATAATATTAATAATAATTTTAAAAACTGAACACCCAACTATGACAACTACCATAATGACTCTAGCTACCACCATTTATGGACCAAATACCACATTTTAGATGCTTTGCAATCATTTGCTTATTTAATATTTAATATAGGTGAAGAAATTATCTTTTAATTTAAATTAATATTTAAAAAGGTGAAGAAACTGAGGCACAGTGAAAAGAAGTAACTTGTCTTAGACCAGGGATTTGTAAACTACAGCCCTTAGGCCAAATACATCTTATGGCCTGTTTTTATATAGGCTGTGATTTTTACATTTTGAAAGGGTTGCAAATATACACACACAAAATACGGAACAGAGACCATATGTAGTTCATCTAGCCAAAAAATATTTACTATCTGACCTTTACAGTAAACCTCTGTGGATCCTACCTGAGAACGCAAAGCCTGTAAGAGATTGTCCTGGGCTTTGAATGCGGGTCATTTTGACTACAAAACCATGTCCTTGATGTAATGTTTATCTTTGCTATTATTGCACTGGCATCATGTACATATTCCACCTTACTCTTTGCTTATAAACTTCCTAGAGTCCAGCAACCAAAAAATTTATTAAATTAAACTCTGGTTGAAAAATTCGGTGATTGAACATCACATTATCTTTCCTGCTAGTCGTATGACTTTAGGTTAGGATTACTTCCTGTGATGCGTGTATCTTGTTTTGGCACATATCCTTATATTATCAACTGTAAAGCATGCACAATTGACAATCCTTTAAAATTTAGCATAATCAGAGATTTTGAAGAAGGGTCTTTATTTCAGAATAACTCTCTGTCTCATCTAGTTGGCCTATATGTAATGCTGTCCCTGTGTTTTGCATCCCTGTTGGGATTTGCTTTACTTGATTGTTTAATGTAAATGTAATTTGGGTTCCTTGAATTTGTCCCACTGCACATTGATATCTATTTCTCTCACAGCCTTGATTGCCTATTAGCTTGGGGCATAAATACCTTCCAGGTGAAATAGGCTGCCATTTGTAATGAGATACAGATCACTTAAATGGGTTACTTAAGGTTACTTATACAAGAAACAATCATTTACATTCTAAAACATTAATGTCCATTTGTATTGAGACCAGCCCTTTCACTTTTTAAATAAGTATTTAAAGTAATTAAACTCTGTGAAGTTGCTATTTGAAGTTGATGGGTTACATATAGCATCCCTTATGCACTTGCCAAGGAGCAATAGGCTGCAGGATCCGGTAACATCAATCATTAGAAAAGAATGTCTGCTCTACCTGTATAAACCAGGGCACTCACATCTACGTGTTACTGATAGCTTGCTCCTATCACTAAAGAGTATGCCTTCCTATAGGCGTGCTGCAAGATTTATTACTGCAGAATCCTCTTATCTGCTTGAATTCTCCATTAAAAAAGAATTGTGATACAACAAGAACAAAGCAAACAAACAAAAAAAAAGCAGTACTTTCTGGGAAATAACTATTATCACAAATGTTGTGGAGGTAAAACACAAAACATTAAAAAAAATCATGATAGTTTTGGAAACGTGTGAGAGAACCTCTTTTCTCTCTTTCTTTTTCTTTCTCTTATTCTCTCTCTCCCCCTTCCTCCCCTATTTGAATAGAACCATTTCATGATTCTAGTCTAATCATGAAGCTAATTGCAGTGGCTATGGATTTTTTAAGTTTATTTTGTCCTATATTAGTCATTACTGACTGTATAATTTTCAAATATTGGGCTAGTAGTTGGCTAGGATTACATGAACTTTTAGTAGGCCTGTATACTGTATTCATAAATCGTCAAGCAGCCACCTATTGCTATAACAGATTCAAAGCAAGATATATTAAAAAATCAATTCATTCTATTTACTACTACAGAGAAATATTTCTCAATCTGTTCTTCTATCACATTCCTCAAGAAGCTTTTTTTTCCTTAATGACACTTCCATTAAATCTCTTACCACAGAGATGCTACTGCATATCTGTTTATGTAGTATATGTATAACTGTATTTTATATATAAAATAAGTAGAATTTTTTCTACCCCAAAAGAATCAATTTTTGTTCCTTGAGGGTGCTATGATGCCCCACTGGGAATGCATGTTTTAGTCACAAAATCGTTTTCTGGTGATTTAGGCTGGACCATACAGATCTAGACTAAGACCAGAATGAATGGCCTGGCCAACAGCTTTTCCAATGGTTATCCTGTAAATATGTCCCTCTAGGTTAATTTTTTTATTGTTTATATTTAAGGTGTATGGCATGATGTTTGAATATACATAAACAGTGAAATGATTGCTTCAGTCAAGCAAATTAACCTATCCATCACCTTCCATGGTTACCTTGTGTGACTGTGTGTGTCTGTGTGAAGAGCACCTAAAAGCTCTTGGGCATTTTTGTATGGATCTATTTCTGGGTTCTCTATTCTATTCTGTTGTTCTATGTGTCTGTCTGTCCTCCAGGACCACATAGTCTTGATTACTGTAGCTGTATAAAGTCTTGAATTTGGGTAGACTGATGCTTCCCACCTTAGCCTTTTTTTCATATTTGTTTAGCTATTGTAGTTAATTTGCCTTAACCTATAAATTTTAGAATAATCTTGTATATATCTGCAAATAAAATTACTTGTCATGTAATAGGAATTACAGAAAACCTGAGTATTAATCTTGAAAGAATTGACATCTTTACTATGTTGGGTCTTCCAATACATGAATATGGTATGTCTCTCCATTTATATAGATTTTCTTGAAATGCTTTCATCGATGTTTTGTAGTCTTCAGTATGTATATTATTCTCTGTAGATGTTTTGATAGACTTACACCCAAATATTTCTTTTTTATTGAATGATTGTATTTTTAATTTTACTACTCACATGTTCATTACTAGTACATATAAATGTCTTTTTTTGTATATTTATATTCTATCTAGTGATGTTGCTGAACTTATTAGTTCTGAGAGTTTTTGTATAGATTACTTGAGATTTTCTATTTTGGCAATTATGTCATCTACAAATAGTGGCGATTTTCTCTCTCTCTCTCTTTACAATCTGTATCTTTTTTTAAAAAAACTGTTTTTGTTGTCTTATTGCACAGGCCAGAACTTCAAACACTATGTTAAATGAGAGTGGTTGAGAGTGGATATCCTTATATTATTTCCAGTCTTCGGGGGAGAGCATTTGGTCTTTCACCATTAAGTATAATGTTACCTGTAGGCTTCTTATTTAATAAATTGAAGAAGTTCCTTTCTAGCACTATTTTTCCAACAATTTTTATTATGAATAGGTGGTGAATTTTGTCTAATTATTTCTCTGTAGTAATATGGTAATATTTTTCTTCTGCAACCTCTTAATATGGTTGGATTACAATGATTGACTTTTAAATATTGTAGCAAGCTTGCACCCCTGGTATTAATTCCACTTGGTCATTGTGTGTGTGTGTGTGTGTGTGTGTGTGTGTGTGTGTGTGTGTGCCTGTGTGCATGTGTGTATGAAATTATTTACTGAGTCTTTTAAAAATAATTTCAACTTTTATTTTAGATACAGAGGGCTTACATGCAGGTTTGTTACATGGGCATATTGTGTGATGCTGAGGTTTAGGGTATGGATCCTGTCACCCAGGTAGTGAACATAGTACCAAATAGGTAGTTTTTCAACCCACATCTCCCCTTTCTCTCCCTTTTCTAGTAAGCCACAGTGTCTATTGTTCCCATCTTTATGTTCATGTGTACGCAATGTTTAGCTCCCACTTATAAGTGAGAATATGTGGTATTTGGTTTTCTGTTCCTGTATTAATTTAGAGTTATGATCTTCAGCTGTATACATGTTGCTGCATAAGACATAATTGTATTCATTTTTATGCCAGCATGGTATTCCATAGGGTATTTGTAGCATATTTTCTTTATGCAGTCCACCTTTGATGAGGAGCTAGGTTGATTCCATGTCTTTGCCACTGTGGATACTGTTGTTATGAACATATGAGTGCATGTGTCTTCTTGGCAGAACAATTTGTTTTCTTTGGGGATATACTCAGTAATGAGATTGGTGGGATGAATCCTAGCTCTCTTTTAAGCTGTTTGAGAAATCTCCAAACTTCTTTCCACAGTTGCTGAACTAATTTACCTTCCTATCAACAGTATATAAGTATTCTCTTCTCTCTACAGGCTTGTCAGCATCTTTTATTTTTTTGAATTTTTAGTAATAGCCATTCTGACTAGTATGAGATGGTATCTTATTGTGGCTTTGTTTGTGCACTTCTCTGATGTTTAGTGATGATGAGTATTTTTTCACGTTTGTTGACAAACTGTATGTCTTCTTTTGAGAAGTGCATGTTCATGTCCTTTGCCCATTTTTCAGTTTCTTGTTTGTTGCTTGTTGATTTATTTAACTTCCTTATGGATTCTCGATATTAGACTTTCATTCAATGCGTAGTTTGCAAATATTTTCTTCCATTATGTAGGTTCCATGTTTATTCTGCTGATAGTTTCTTTTGCTGTGCAGAAGCTCTTTATTTTAATTAGGTCCCACTTGTCTATTTTTATTTTTGTTGTCATTGTTTTTGGGGACTTAACCAAAACTTCTTGGCCAATGCCAGTGTTGAGAAGGGTATTTCCTATGTTTTCTTCTAGTATTTGTATAGTTTGAGGTCTTATATTTAAATCTTTCCTCCACTTTGAGTTAATTTTTATTACTTTGTGAAAGGTAGGGGTCCAGTTTCATTCTTCCACATATGGCTAACCAACTATCCCAGCACAACTTATTGAATAGGGAACTCTTTCACCATTGCTTGTTTTTGTTGGCTTTGTCAAATATCAGATGGGTTATTTTTTTCTGTAGATGTTTTACAGAATTGTCCAGTGAATACATCTGAGCCTCATAATTTCTGTCTTGGGAATTTTTAAAATTACATATTATCTTCAAATTATGTATTTTATATTAGATGAGTTGTGGTAGTTTATGGTTTTCAAGGAATTGTCCATTCCACCTACATTGTCAAATTTCTGTGCCTACAGTTGTTTATACTATTCCCTTATAAGCTTTTTTGATAACTTCAGGGTCTGTAGTGATTATCCCGTTTTATTCCTGATGCCAGTAATTTATGACCTCTCTTATTTTTCTGCAGTCTTACTAGAGTTTTGTGTATTTTATTGTTCTTTTCAAAGGGCAAACTCTTTGTTTATGGGATTTTTCTCTATAACTTTATCATTGTTGTCAAATTCATTGGTTTCTGATCTTTATTTTCTTTCTTCTGCTTGCTTTGGGTATATTTTTCTCTTTTTTATATTCTTCATGTAGGAACTCAGATTACTTGAGATTTTCTTCTTTTGTAACACATACCTTTAGTGCTATAAATTACCCTTTTAGCACTGCTTTAACTGTATCCTAAAAATTAAGATATGTTGTGTTTTTATTTTTATCCAGTTTAATGCATATATTTTTGATTTCCCTTGACATTTCAATTTTGACTCATGGATCATTTAGAAGTGTGCCTTGTTTAGTTTCCAAGTATTTGTAATTTCCCTGTTTTTTTCTGTTATTAAATTCAATTCTTTTAAATTTGTTGACATTTCTTTTTAAGTTCCAGGATGTAGTCTCTCTTAGTATATGTTCTAAGGACTCTTGAAAATAATGAGTATTCTCTGTTTTTGGGTAGAGCATTTTATGAATGTCGATAAAACTCTCTTGGTTGATGGTATTATTGACTTATTGTATACTCTTGCCAATTTTCTATCTAGTCATTTTATCAATTGTTGAGAGAGGAGTATTGAAGTCTACAACTATAATTATGTATTTGTCTGTTTCTTCTTTTGGTTCAATCAGTTTTTGCCTCACAAGTTTTGTAGCTTGTTGTTTTGTGGAGATCCATATACGATGGCTATGTGTTCTTGGTAGACTGACCCTGTTATCATTAAATAATGTTAATCTCTGTCTCTGGTAAATTTTCTTTGTTCTGACATCTACCTTGTTGATATCAACATAGCCATTTCTATGTACTATAGATTGATGTGTGTTATTGATTATTAATTACTGTTTATATTTGCTGTTTAGTATTTTTACTTTCAACCTGACTCTATAATTATATTTAAAATAACTTTCTTGTAGAGAGCATATCACTGTGTCAAGTTTTTTAATGCACTCTGTCAATATTTTTTTTTTAAGGCCAGGCGCAGTGGCTCACGCCTGTAATCCCAGCACTTTGGGAGACCGAGGTGGGCAGATCACCTGAGGTCAGGAGTCAAAGATCAGGCTGACCAACATGATGAAACCCCGTCTCTACTAAAAATACAAAATTAGCTGGGCATGGTGATTCCAGCTGCTTGGGAAGCTGAGGCAGGAGAATCGCGTGAACCCGGGAGGTGGAGGTTATGGTAAGCCGAGATCATGCCATTGAACTCTAGTCTGGGCAACAAGAGCGAAACTCTGTCTCAAAAAATAATAATACTAATAATATTTTTTAATTTACATACTTAGACCATTTATATTACTGTAATTATACATATATTAGGGCTTAAGTATTACTTTCATATTTTCCTTTCTATTTGTTCCCGGTATTTTTATTTTTCTCTGTCTTCTCACACATCATTAGAATTTTTTAAACTTCATTTTGATTTATTTATAGTGTTTTTGAGTGTATCTCTTTTAACATCTATTTATAGTGTTTGCTATAGCTATAACATTATATGCAAATAACTTATCACAGTCTGCTGGTGTTGCTATTTACCAATTTAATTGAAGTATAGAAAACTTGCCTCCCTTTACATTTTTTTACCTTTCTTGTTCAAATATAATTGTCTTAAATTTTCCCTCTACAATTACTTAGAACCACATCAGACCATGTCCTACACTTTTTCCTCAAGCATCAAACATAATTTAGAAAACACATAGAAGAATGTCTATTATATTCATTCATATTTTTGCATATTATTTTATATCTTCCTAACATTTCGGTATGTTTTCTTTTATATATCTGTTCTGTTTAGAGAAATTCCCTTAGCTATTCTTTCAGTATAGGTCTGCTGGTTATAAATTCTTTTAGATTTTCATTATTAAGAGAGTTTTTCATTATCCTTCATTCCTGAATGATATTTTTGCTGTGCATAGGATTCCAGGTTGATAGTTCTTTTCCTTCAACATATAAAATATGTTGTGATTTCCTTCTGGCCTCCACAGTTCTGATGATAAATCCTCTGTAACTTAACTTGCTTTTGCCATATAGGTAATATGTCATTTATTTCTCTATGCTTTCAAAACTTATTATTTGCCTTTTAGAGATTTCAGTATAATTTGTCTTGGTATCTTAGTACACTCAAGTTGCTATAACAAATTACCTCAAGCTGACTAGCTTATAAACAACAAAAATGATTTTTTCACAATTCTTGAGGCAGAATCTTGAGTCTAAGATCAGGGCATTGGCATGCTCAGTATCTATCTGGTGAGGGCCCATTTTCTGTTACATAGATGATGCCTTCTAGCTGTGTTCTCACATGGGAGAAGAAACAAGACAGCTCTCATGCCTCTTTCATAAGGGCACCAATCCCTTTTATGAGGGCTTTGCCCTCATGATCTAATCACCTTCCAGAAGCCCAACCTTTGAATACTATCCCATTGGTGATTCGATTTCAAAATATGAATTCTGGGGAGACACAAACATTGAGAACATAGCCCTTGACATGAATTTCTTCAGATTTATTGTGTTTTGGGTTTACTCAGATTTTTGAATTTTTATGTTTATGTCTCTTGCAAAATTAGGGAATTTTTCACTCATTATTTCTTAGATTATTTTTCCAAATTCTGCTTTTATCTCTCCTTCTGGAGCATCAATGACACAATATATTGTTATAATCCCACATATCTCTAAGATACTGTTTTTGTTCCTTTTTAAAATATTTTATCTGTATGGTTCAGATTAATTTCTGTTATTCTGTCTTCTAGTTTACTGATTTTTTTACCTTGTTATCTTCCTTTCATTCTACTTTTAAGTTCATCTATTGATCTTTTAATTTCAGTTTTCAGTTCTAAAATTTCCATTTGATTCTTCTTTATATTTTCATCTTCTTTGCTGAAACTTTCTATTTCATTGTTACGACTCTTTTTTTTTTATGTGTTTCAATTATGTTTGTAATTGCTCCTTGAGGCATTTTTATCACGGATTCTTTAAAATCATCAAAAACGTCTAATATCTCCTACTTTTAACATCTATTCATTGTTCTTTCTTCATTCAGTTTGAGATTTTGCTATTTCTTGGTATGATAAATGATAATTTATATTGAAATCTGAATATTTTTATATTATAAGACTGGATCTTAAGCCTTCTGTTTTTGTTGGCATTTATAGTAGTCTGGCAAGGGGAAGGGGGTAGCTTACTATTTCAAGGTGGAGGTAGATGTCCAGCTTCCCTGCTTGGCATCCTTTGACACCTAAGATGGAGCAATTTCTCATTACTCCTGGACAGGGGTGCATTGCAGTTGGGTGAGGATGAGAGTTCCAGCTCCCATGTGGTCTCCATTGACACTCACGTAACACCATAACAGATGTGGCCTTCTTACCCCTAGGCAATGGTACTCTTGACGCTTCACTAGGTCTCCTCTGATACCACATCAACAGAGAGAAGGGTATCTTATTACTATGGTATGGGGTGGAAGTCTAATATCCCCAAAATGATCTTCATTGACACCATAGAGGTGAGGACCTTCCTTAATAGCTGGCAGGATAGAAAGTCCTGGCTCCCTACTTGGCCTTCTCTGACACTATTCCAGCAACTGTATTGAGGTGGCTTCTTACAGCCCTTGCGAGGGTAGACATTTAGGTTCCCCATGAAGCCTTTTCTGGTTTGGATGGGTGTGGTGCACACTTTTTACTGTGGTGTTTGGTTAGAGTAGAGTCATTATCATCTAAGTGTTTTTGTCTTACTGGGATACTTCTTTCTGGAATTTTTGCTAGAGATAACAGGTTTTTGGTGGGGTGGCTTTTTTGTCCCAACTCATAGGCATTTTTGGGTTGCCAGCTTCTTCGACCACAAGTCTGAGATATGTGGAAGAAAAAGAGAATCAATTTACCCTGTGCCATTTCTTAGGTCCTGAGGTCCCTTTTCTTCCCATCTTTCAAAGGTTTCTTATGTTTGTTTAATAAATATTTTCTAAGAATTTTAGTTCTCCTTAGCAGGAGGAATAGGGAAACACATGTCCACATTTGTGTCTTGTATTTTCATCTGTTAAATCTAGCAACTCTATTGTGCAAAGTCAATCAAAACTGTTCATCCTAGACCACACCTCTCACATAAGAAACAACTATGGACATATTTCACTACACTACCTGCCTAGAAGAATAGAGAAAAATAAACAAAAGGGAATGAATACTACATTTTGTCCAAATACATATCCTCATTATCAATTCAGGCTTATTTTTGTGAGTTATGGACAAGGTAGAGAAACACTGAACTTTCTTTGGAACAAAAGTAATGGAAGTACAGGCTATATTAGTCAGTGGTGTGGCTCTTCCCATTACGGGAAAAACTTAGCAAAATATATTTTTAAAGTACTGTTCAATCTTTCAACTGCTCTGAGAGCTTAGGAAAATGGATATGAACCCTCAGATCTTCAAGGCTTTTTATGAATGTATTTTTTTGCCCTGAAATCATGTCAAATCTATCAAAATAGATTATTAAATTTCCCCAAAAGCATATACTCTTATTGAATCTCTCCTGTCCAAATTATAACAATTTCCGCTGCCAAATAGAGTTTTCCAGACAGGGTTATCCAAGTGCATCAAATGAGAGCATGAGTCTCAAAAATAAAGCTCTGAAAATATGCAATGCCTTGAATTTATCTGCACCCTATAAAATTCTAATATGTCACCTCTCCCATCAGTAAGCCCACTGAGTTCCCACTTATAAATTAAATCTAAAATAAAATTAATTTTGTCCTTCTTTCTCCCTAGAGATAAATTTAGAAACAAAATACTGACAAGGCATCCCATCTCCCTCATATTCTAATTAGATTTAGTCCCAATTAGAGGAATCTCCCTGGGATCACAGAGGGTATGTGAATTGTTCTCCAGGGTTGCACTATACAGCAACTAATTTTATATCTATAAAAACTCCTTCAATTTTCTAAAGTTCCTGAGTAATAACAGGTGACATTCCAAGCTTCCAGGTTTTAAATGTCATTTCCCTAACCAAATTCATGCTCCCAAGATCCAATCCTGTAAGACGTACAAGTACAGTAATATTACCAGAGTAGAGAAGAGATTAGTATTATTTGGGACAAAAGTGGTAGACAAAGAAAAAATGAGAAAAGAAAAATAGTGTTAGTTTGTTTTTAGCTTGACCAATGAACAGTAAACTAATCCATACTGCTTTAGAAAAGATCAATCAATACCTCTAAATGTAATACTTAATGGGAGAAATTTACCAAAAGATGAATTTGACACTATGCTTTGAAAATCCTAAGATTAAAAACAACACTACTTAGACTGTCTCTTCTCTCTAAGAAAATAGGTCAAATACACTTGTTATTTTGTGTATGTATAATATATAGAAATTGACATGGCTTTATTGTTCATCCCCTAAATCTGTATGGAGATCACTTCCTCCTTTCAATGTCTGTAGGCAAAATTTAAAACATCCATTTCCTATATAAACTTTCAATTGACCCCCTGTATTTCTTGTACCTTCATGATGAGTAACAAGCCTTGGCTAGAGAGACAACATCCCATCTCTAGGCATATGGAGATTTTCATGCAAATTACAGGCAATTCTCCACGCAAATGTCATGATATTAAATGTCCCACAATCCCTGTTTACTGTCCTTGTTGTTTTTTCATCCCTAGAAATATCCTCAGGCTTTCTGAGCTCTGTGCTGTCATGTTTCTCCCTTGGAGGCTTCTATGTCTGCCTCCTACTGTGGAATTGCTTCGGTCTGGGGATTCTGCCTTGAGGCTGATTGTCTCCTAGTCTCCAAGTTGTTCCTGTTAGAAAATCCTTCTCAAAAGATAGCCAGCTGGGATCTGCTACGTACTACTGGAGACTGTATCTTTGAAGAGCTAATAAGAAACCCTGCATCATGTGGCATGTGGTTCTTTCCTGAACTCTGTTTTGCCAGCTTTTGAAATCTTAAGGCCAGGAAAGTCCTTATTTTTCAACTCTTCATTTCTTTAGAGCCAATTTCCATTTCTCTTTAATGCTCCCCAGTTTCTTTCAAACTAATTGCAAGCGGGTCTCCTTCCTCTTTTACCATATGAAGATACTCATTTTGTTCAGTTTAAATGTGTTCCTCTTTTGCTTCTTTTTTCTCATAAATTTTAAATTTTAGCATCAGAGCCCATTTTAATCTAATCCTATTTCTCTCTGAGTTTTGGATGTCCAAAGCCCAAGCAACTATTGTGATAACATACATAATTGTGAAGGCTTTCTTACTTCTCATTGTATTTTTTTCCTATGCTTCTTATAAAGTGTTCTCAAATGTCTAAAACCTGGATGCTTCCAGACTTCTAAAAGTCACCATTATTTTTCATTTAGCCATGGATTCCCTCATGTCCACTGAGATATTTTTTCCCAAGCAATCTAAGAAGAGAAAACATCATCCACCTGCTGCCACCACCCTCTCTCGATACCACATAGGGAAATAAATGGTCTTATTTCTTTTTATCTTTCTTCTCACAAAGCCACTGGAATTGAGAGAATATTCTAAGTTACCAAAATAGACAACTGTTATAAATGTGCAGTTCCTTGCCAATCTTTCAGTCTTATAAACAATTCAGGGTAAATAAAATAAATTCATGCCCAAAGCGCAATTACTCAAAAGATTGGCACCGTATTTGCAGTGATGGACACACCCACTCAAGCTCTAGAAGTGAATACTCGTACCCTTGCATAAGGCACTGAACTGGGGCTGGGAGTGGGGTTACACCCTAACACTTGGATGCTTGTCTGTGAAAATTTGCTGACTAACCTGCAGTTTGTGGTTGCCTATGAAGTATTCCCTGGCCACATATATAAATGAGGCTAAATTCAGGAGGCACTGTAGACCTATAGGCAGTGACCAATAAGACTTCAATTAAAAGTTTAGAGGAAGGAATTGGGTCTTTTGGAGAATGGATAATAAGAGTAAAACAGGCCTTAGGCTGAATTCCAAAAAAAAAAAAAAAATTACAAATCGATAGTAGATTGCTTGGAGGGAATAAGATGGAAAATTCTTTTTCATAATGTTATACTAAGTGTAGCCTGATGAACAGAGCTAAAAGCAAGTTTTACAGTTAGCCTACAAAGTCAGGGCCACAGTAGCTTAGCTTGGGTTACCCCAAAATGAGAAGCTAAAACAAAGACATGTATTCAGTTTCTTTAATTGAAAGTAGTTCAAGGAAATAGGTATGTAGGACATATGAGAGTAAAAGGAGAAAAATTGAATATAAAGTGTATTTTAAAGGTTTACGGGCAAACTGAGGTGTGATCCCTACTGGGACATTTTGAGGAATATACAGTGACCCCCTCAAAACTGTCTTCCCATGAATAGTTTAGGAAAAGTATTCTCTACCTTGAATCCATCCTTCATTGTTTCAGAATTGATCCCCTTACCATGGCCTTCCACTGCAAAGCTCCCACATTCAACGTTTCCATGTTTGCTTGACAGAAATTCGTTTCTATAGACTGGAGAAGCCCGGGGCAAAAAAACAAAACAAAACAAAAAAATGAGCCCAGAACATGTCAGCATTGTTGAGCAGAGAGTTGAAGCCCACATGAAAGTGCCTATTTGACTCCGGCTGAAATCAGAGCCAAGCTGAAAGATTGTGAGCCTGGCACCAGAAGAGTCCTATACCTATGTGATTCTAAAAAATGGCTTAAAATGAAATGCAAAATTCTACAACGTTGCCATAAAGCTCCTTAAATCTCTGCTGACAAATATCACTTCCACATGTAGCAGTGGTGATTAGTAGTATGGAGATGAGAATTACTTCTCAAAATCAAGAAAAAAGAGTCACCCTTTGTTAATATACGGTCATGTTTTAGAGCCTATTGAGATGTCTGAAGCTCCACAGCTGCCCTCATTTTATGGAGAACTCATTTTATACTTCTTTCTTCCATTTCTCTATCTGGTCACATCATTGATCTAGATGATGTCAGAGAATAAATGGCACTGAGAACAACTGGCCTGACACATAGAATACACTGAGAGATAGAATTTGTTTTAGAGCTGAATGAAATATTTATATTCATGTAGTTAGTCTATTCCACTCATGCAATAGGCTAGCAGATGCAAACAGAGAGAAGTAAACAGGTTAGTTCAAGGTTTTTAGTAATTTGGTACCAGGCTAGTGTTTAGGGAACCACACTGCCCCTTTCTTCTGAATTAAGAAATCTTAGAATACATATATTTTTAATATATTTAGTATATGTTTTTTAATCCCATGACTAAATGGGAAAAAAGTATTTGCTGGAATGCTGGAAAACCACCTAGCATTTTGTACTTGTTTCATGGAAACAACACAGGCTTGGCATCAACATACCTAAACTTAAATCTCTTCCCTAGCATTCCTGAGTTATATAACCGCCTAATATTTTGTATTTATTTTATGTATTTATTCATTGAAACAGAGTGTCACTCTGTCAACCAGGCTGGAGTACAGTGGTATGATCACTGCTCACTGCAGACTTGACCACCCAGGCTCAGGCCATCCCCCCACCTCAGCCTCCCGTGTAGCTGAGACATGCGCATCCATACCTGGCTAATTTTTATAATTTTCTGTAGAGATAGGGTCTACCTATGTTGCCCAGGTTGATTTCAAACTCCTGGACTCAAGCAATCCTCCTGCCTTGGCCTCCCAAAGTGCTGAGATTATAGGCATAAGCTGCTGCGCCCAGCCAGATTTAATGTTTATACACTTAGATTCTTACTTTATTGTAAATAGAGGTAATTAGACTATTATTCCTACCCCCTTTCCCAGATTGTTGCAAAGTCAAATCCTATAATGCATGTAGAAGGGCTTTGTAATCTATGACATAAAAATGACCATATTGAGGGGCATTTTGGTGTGTTATCTCATGTGGTAACATAGGCAGTGAAGTGTGTGTTGTATGGTTCTGCCTCAATTTAACTTTCATTTAATAATATATAGTTACCGTCACATATAATTTGACAAGCAGAACACTATGAAAGGGAGAGCCAGCAAGACAGTTGCCTGGACAGGCTTTCTATACGACATTTTGAAATGTGTTCAAGGAATCAAAATGTCACCAGAAATGTGATCAGCAGCAAAATACAAACTCCAAAACGGACACCTTGGTGGAAGAACACAGCACACGTTTGAAAGGCGCTCTTGATGGGTGTTTAGGAGGAGGATGCCCAGTCATCTACTGTCACTTTATATGCTTCATTTTAATACCTCTTTTTGGAGCATCATTATAGCTTTTCAGAAGTTTAAATTGTTCACTCCCATTTTCAATAATATGTTGCTAAAATTGTCAGAGCAGGGCCATAGAGCTGCTCCATATTTGATCCTTTGTTCTTTCCTCATTGCCTCCAAACATCTTGCAATTATTCTTGCTTCTGGAATCATCATAATATTCTGAGAACACTCTGACATTCCTGGTGCAGGAACGTAGAGTGATCCACTCTCCATGGAGAAAACTATGTCAGAGACCAGTACCTAGGGCCCAGGGAACCCACCAGAGCTCTCGCTGAGCCAGCTTCTGCTAGCCTACTTTGGTGACAGATCTGGAAAATATATTTCTTTTTGGAAGTTGTATTAGTCAGGCTTCTCTAGAGGGACAGGACTAATAGGATACATGCATATATGAAGAAGAGTTTATTAAGGAGTATTGACTCACATGATCATGAAGTGAAGTCCCATAATAGGCCACCTGCAAGCTGAAGAGCTAGGAAGCCAGTCTGAGTCTCAAAACCTCAAAGGTAGGGAAGCCAACAGTGCAGCCTTCAGTCTGTGGCTGAAGGCCCGACAGCCTTTGGCAAACCACTGGTGTAGGTCCAGGAGTCCAAAAGCTGAAGAACTTAGAGTCCGATGTTCAAGGGCAGGAAGCATCCTCACAGACACACCCAGGAACAAAACTTTGCATACTTCAATTCAATCAAGTTGACACTCAATATTAACCATCACAGAAGTATAATTTTACTTTTTAATATTTCTATGATTTCTTTCTTTCTAATTCAAATAACCAAGTTATCATACCCTACTTTTCATAGAATAAGAGGTTCTGGTGTCCACTAAAGTGCTCTACTATTCTGCCAGATAAGAAGTAGATATTATTTTTTGCCTGCCAAGTCCATAAAACCCATCTTTAGTAATGGATTATTCTGTGATCTTCACAACTAAAAATTGAGTTATCTGACTATGATGTGATGAAGATTTCTCTTTAATTATAATAAAAATTATTTACTGTACTAACATAAGTTTGTGAGTGATCAATAAGGGAGTAGGAAAGAATGCAATATTTACCTTAGAAAGGTAATTTGAAGATATATGCAAATTAAACCCAGCCAAGATAGAAAATGACATATAAATGAGTGAACTAATTGCCAACATCCTAATTAAAAACCAACTTTGTTTGCAATTTTAACATACTTCTTTGATTTCAAAGATGAAATAAGTCCTAAAAAGGGAAAGTAGCTGAAAGAAGATGCACCCACGTATATTTAAGAGAATTCCTTGTTTAGAACAATTAAGAACAAACGCAAAAAAGATTTCAGAGTTAATGAGAATTGTTTAAATGCTATTTAATTTGGAGGCTGCTCCTTACAGAAGTTTTTTAATTTTTCTTTGCTCATCTTTTATTACTAGGAAGATTTGCATGGAAATAGGATCTTTGATGCTTGAGGTTTTTGTTTTATTATAATGACTTGATAAAAATAAAAGTTATAATAGGTACAACATTATCTGATTCACCACAGAAAGCAATGCTGTTTTAAAATAGTACAATAGGAGATGAAATTATCTTTTTTCTTTAAGCAAATCACCTTGTTTCACCTTGCCTGGAAGCCTAATCTGATAAATCCCTATTGTGTGCAATATACTGTTTTGTTTGTTGCGGATAACATTTCATCTGGTTCCCCAGCAGTGGGATACCTACAGCTCATTATTTCAATTGCATCATTTACATTCTGATTTGGCTGTGAAAAGGAAATAATGAACAATAAGTAAAAGTATGATTTACTTTAGCTTAGAGACATAAACCCATATACAAATAAGACTACTTATATTTATTTGTCTTATGTTTCATTGTCTTCTGATAATGCTCAGCTTTGAAGTACATGTTTCATGTGCGTTTTTATCTCAACATATTGCTAATAATTTCATTATTTTATTTTTTTTCTGAATTTTTTGGGACAAACGCTTGGTGCAGGAGTGGTCCAGGTAGTGTGACCTGCTTACTCCATTTTTGTGCGTGTGTGTGAAGGCAGCACCTCCTTAAAAAATACAAATACATGAATACGAAATAAGGTACCTAAATGCTTACTGATTTCAAATGAGGAAAAAGAAGCATAAACTTATAAAAATCTGAAAAACACCATCAAATTCCACACAAAAATGATTATTTTATTTTTACCTTTAAAGTATATTTCTATATTTTTGGCAGCTTACTCTGTTATCAGCTATTCATATGACAATAATTTTATATTTTTATAAAGAAAATAGACAAACTGATCTTTCTCTAATTTGATTGGTCAAACATTTTATAGTATAAAAATGCTTATTTTAGCTTCACACTCTTTACGGTAATGTTCTGTAAATTTTAGGATTGTTATCACATTTATGAAAGCCTCTATCAATTTTTTTTTGGGCAGTGACTAAACTTAGACACTTTTTTTTAATTGACTATACTTATTATCAGTTTTTCATTGCTATCCTCAAGTCAAAGGTTGGGGAAGAGTTAGTCCTTGGGGTAGTAGGAGTATTCCTGGAAGCCATTTATGTACTAAGACAGTGACTGACAATTAAATTGAATAAAGAAGTATCAAAAACCATATAAACAGGTCCCAATAAACCCATAGTAAACTGCCTTACTAGCCATGTATCCCCAAGTCAATTTCCCATTAGCCAGATCCCAAAATTGCCCACAGCCACTCCAAAACTATGACAGGGAAGGTGTGTTATGTAGGAGAAATCCAGGTGGAAAGACACAGTGGTCTTAGTAATTTACAATTAAAATATCTTATTTTGGAATGACCATCTGAACAGATTTTAGTTTCCTCAGTAAGGACCCCGGCGGGGGCCCATGTAAGTGAAGAGCCTCAAAACTTAAGCTTCATTAGCTTCAGCGTAAATCTTTTTCTTTCATTTTTTCTTTTTCTTTTTTTTTTGTCTCTGGTTTGAGGTTTGAGGAGTATATATATTATAAAGGCAAGGGGATATTTTGATTCAAAGTTGAGCTTGGTAAGTTAACTTAAATGCAGTCTTAATCATAAATGCAGACATACAAAAAAGATTTAAAAACTAGGATTATCAGACATCTATAATTACGTGACCTGTGACAACTGGAGCACTGCACAGAACTCTTTGTTTGAACTTCCATTATAACTCTATAAACTTAGGAGAAAAGTATTCCCATCTGAAGTCCCCTATTCTCTGTGTGTATGGGTGGATGCAGGCATAGACAGGCGCACACATGCATGCAAGCTCTTGACTGAGCCCATGCTGATTTTATCAAGATGGTGTATGGCAACAGTAAAATGTAGTAGGTTTCCTAGATAGAGAAAAGAATCCTAGTAGCAGCACATGCTAAAAAGTATATTTTATGTCCTACATTGGTTCATGGCTCCAGACAACAGTTAGATAATGAGGAAATGAGTCAATTACACCTTTCAGTTTTGAAAATATACTAGGAACCGGAAATGGGAGTGGAAGCTATGTGCGTTAGCAGCCCTTCAGCTATAGACTGGAACAGGAGGGCCTTCTACTCAACAAAGAGAAAAAAAGTGAACTTGAAGATAATCTAGTCACACTGTTGCTATCAATTTTCAGTATCAATAGATTTCATCTTGTTTTAAAATTAGCTAAAAGCATGAAAGCAAGCCAGGTGCAGTGAGTCCCGCCAGTAATCCCAGCACTTTGGGAGGCCAAGGCAGGAGGATCACTTGAGCCCAGGAGTTCCAGACCAGCCTGGGTTTGAGATGGCTAAACTCCATCTTTTACAAAAATAAATAAATAAATAAAAAGAAAAGAAAAAGCTGGCGTGGTGGCATGTGTCTGTAGTCCCAGCTACTCAGGAGGCCAAGGTGGGAGAATCACCTGAGGCAGGGAAGTGCAGGCTGCAATTAGCCCTGATTGCACCACTGCACTCCATCCTGGATGACGGACTGAGATCTTGTCTCAAACAAAAAAAAAAAAAGAGGAAAGAAAGAAAGAAGAAGGAAGGAAGGAAGGGAAAGAGAGAGAAAGAGAAAAAAGAAAGAAGGAAAGAAAGAAAAAGAAAGAAAGAAAGAAAGAAAGAAAGAAAGAAAGGAAGGAAGGAAGGAAGGAAGGAAGGAAGGAAGGAAGGAAGGAAGGAAGGAAGGAAGGAAGGAAGGAAAGAAAGAAAGGGAGAGAGAGAGGAAGGAAGGAAGGAAGGAAAATGAAAGCAATGCAAGGCCCATATAAAAAAACTTTCAAAGTAAGTGAAAGAGAAAACATATTGTAAAGAATCAGAAGAAAAGGGTAACACTGAAAATAATGCAGAATCTAGAAGAAAATGTCAGGAAGTTGTATGAAATCCCATATACCATGTGAAAAGACATGGCTTCAATGCGGGGGGAGGGGGGAAGAAAAAAGCAGAACTCCAAATAGAAAACAGATTGAGATGAAAAAGAAACAAACTAAAAATTTTTAAATGCCTGATATAAAAAGAAAAATGATGGTGATACGAAGGCTGGAAATTTTAAAATGCAATGATAATCTAGATGAGACTCAAAAACATAACATGTGATATGAATAATTGAATATAGATGGTTCTATATAAGAAAATCTCTTGAGTTTCAAATATAGGCACAAAAAGACTTGAATAATGAAGAAAATGACAGTATACAGCATAAAAATAGGAGTCAAAATAAAAATTATTAGTGTTCCCTGAAGAAGAACAAAACACAAAAGCAAAAATGGAACATAAAAGAGAGGAAAACTTTTGCTAACTCAATATACACAGATAAAAAAGAAATCACTGCATTTCAGAAAAAATACATAAATAATAAAATGGATACCAAGGTATGTTTGCTTAAAAAAAACGATTAACAACAAGCATAAGAAAAAATAAAACTAGCCTACAAATAGCTAAGTTAAAAAATGAATTGATTACAATGAATAAAAATTAAATTGGCCCTTAACTTTTCTTCTAAACTTCAAATATCAAACAAAATTAAAGTAATGCACTGTAATATTTATAAAGAACATGATACTAATCCAGTTTCGCTGTGTTCAGTCAAAGTGTCGTTCATTTACAGAGATATGCTTATATATGCAAGAGTTCATGAAAAATAGCACCTATGCAGTTTTTCTGAAAAATAATCTCTTAAACATTAAAATTGGTTAAGTTAGAGATAATTGTAAATACTAGCATCAAGTAAATAAGCAATAAAGTACTAATATAATTCAATGGTGTATTTTGTTTTAAACACAGTCATAAATATTGTTTCAATATAATAAACCCAGCAATTCAACTGTTGAGAAATCAGCATTCAATGGTTTATAATTTAAATACAAGTTTCATTAGGTATGTGAAATCGATTTTTTGACAAATGTGAAGATTCATAAAAAATCAGTTTAATATTATGCTTAATAAAATCTCTGAAGAAAATTTAAAATAACTAATGAAATAAATGAATAGAAAATGATTCACTTAATAATTATATGCCACTTTGCAGCATAAACATTTATAAACATACATACATATCATGAATACAGCACAGGAGACTTTCAAGCTTTTTAATTGGACTTATCACATGAAAACTCAAGCCAGCCAAATTAAGAAAAAAAAAAAAGGAAAAATTTTAATTTAAAAAATGTAAGACATTCTTAAAGAAAAAAAAATGCTCAAATAATTGATACAGATCCATTAGATACAACTTGGTCACAGGGCCTCCAGAAAATCTCTACATGGCCCTCCCCCTGTTCTGGATGAGGAAGGCTGGGCATGTAGAAAGCTTCAACAGGTCTCTCTGGGTCACTCGGTGGCTGGGAAGGTCAGTTAAGGTGTCCAGTTTATTTCATGTGTTTTATTTTTGGCTCAGACTCCCTATAAAGGCTAGGCTATTTAAAATTGAGTCAAACTGGCTAGAGAGTGAGAGGGATGATTCCCTTGGCCAATGGAACTACCAGCTCCTTCTCTGTGAACCATTTGTGCCTCTTGAGAGGCTTACAGAAGTTTTGCTCCTAAATTTAGGAAAGAGGACCAAAGACAGTAATGGTCTAAGGTGAAGAAAGGGTCCCTTCTTAACACTCAGATTCCAGTCACCCTAGCAATGTCTTTTACACTCAGACCGTTAAGGAAGCTGAACCCGGCCAGTCACGGTGGCTCACACCTGTAATCCCAACACTTTGGGAGACTGAGGCGGGCGGATCACCTGAGATCAGGAGTTCAAGACCAGCCTGACCAACGTGGTGAAACCCTGTCTCTACTAAAAATACAAAAATTAGCTGGGTGTGGTGGTGGACTCCTGTAATCCCAGGTACTTGGGAGGCTAAGGTAGGAGAATCGTTTGAACCTGGCAGGTGGAGGTTGCAGTGAGCTGAGATGTACCCATTGCACTCCAGCCTGGGGGAAAAAAAAATGCTGAACCCAGCCTGGAGGAATAAACCTTCCTTGACTTGGCTGTTCTTCATTCAGTCAAGAATAGGAGACGTGGAAGGGGCTCGCTATTGAGTTATCATCCCCATACAGCTGACTTTAAGGACTCCCCTGGCCCTTTTATTCCATGAACTTCTTAGTCCAACAGTTAAGTGGTTCCCAGAATCTGTCTTTTCCTGCTTCATTCTTGACACAGAGAGAATCTTTATGGGATAGCACAGACAACAGTGTGGAGTTCCAAACTCAAACAGCTCAGAGTCTATATTTCCTCATCTGCTTAAGTGGAGGTAACAGTATATTTTAATGACAACAATTAAATGAGTTTGTGATTAGTTTTCTATTGTCATAATACCCAGGGGAAGTTTCTTTTCTTTACGGCACACACACGTACGTACACACACACACACACACACACACACACACACACACACATTTTTAAGCCAGAAGCACAGAGACCCATACTGCTATTTCAATCACATCATGTCACCAATGGAATAGGATGAAAGGGATGCATGGCTCTGGTGATGAATTTTGCTTACCAGGGGAAAATGGGACTTCTAGTATTCGATGGGCATTTGGAAGAGCATATATAGGCACAGGCACCAGCAAACCTGATCAACTTCATGGAAGACCACCACAACACTGTATAGGCAGGAAACCTTCATGTTAAATACAGACTGAGGGATTTGATTACCAAATCAATTACAAAACCTTCTATTGTAAATAATAGGAAATCAATCAATTAGGAAAATTATTGGAGAGATAACAGGAGCTAACAGATTTGAAGGAAGGCTGAAGGCAAGAATGGAAAATAGGCATGAATCAATGAAGCTTCTGAAGGCCAAGAAAGAAGTTCATCTGTTCTATACCATTGCTCTCTTGATTGACAATAAGGAACTTCATCCTTAGTGAACTTCTGATTGGCCATGTGACTAGAAGAGTGACAGCTTCACTTGTGCGAGGTGAAGCTCTGCTTCTCATCCAAACCATAACAGGTTGGAAATTATCCAGAATTAGAAATTATGCAATAAATGTAGGGAGCCTTCAAAATGACAAATGTCTACTAGAGTCACTTTATCAGGTAAGGAACAGCAGCTAGTCAAGGAGCTCCCTCAAGAGGAACACTGGGAGTGGAGTGTGGAGATGCAGCAACATCAGTACTTACATGAGGACTTGTATAAGACAATATTTTTGCATTGTCTCATTTTCTAGACTATTTTTAATTACTTTTTTCTAAAATACAGTAACTAAAGATGTAAAAAAATCCTTTTTTAAAAATAGAAATTGTCTATTATTTTAGTTAGTTTCATCATCTGATTATCCTTACTAAGTTTGACTTACTACTGAGGGCAGGATGTTGTTGGCTTACTTCTGATTTTCACCCAGTTTGGTGATCCAGTATTAACCTGAGTGTCTTCTGTGAGGTTTCCAGTCAACTAGCACCAAATCAGAGTCAACAATAAGACTGTGGTTTACCTGTCAGCCCATGTTCTTCCTGCTACCAGGTTAGAGTTATACAGAAGTAATTAGCTTTTATTTTGTGTAGGTTATAGCTGGTAGGCTCTGGAATCCAATTGCCTGAGTTCAAATCCCCTCCTGAATTCAAAACCTCTTATTTGTTACTTAACTTTGGACAACCATTTTCTGACTTTGGCCAGAAAATGGATTACGTTATCTGTGAAATAAAGATCATGATGATACCCACTTAAACAGTAGGTTTGACACTTGAGCTGGTCTTTATGTGAAGACCTTCGAACTGTGTTCAGCACAAAGTGCCCACTCAGTATTACCCATGTTTACTATAAAGACTTGGCTGCAGCTCTTGCTACCTCAGTTTACTATTTGATTTGTTATGTTCTATTGTGATTTAATTACAATTAGTAGAGCCCATCAGAGGCTCCATTTTTCTGGAGACATGCAATTGAGCTATGGGATTCAAATCTATTTTTGGGACCCTTTGTTAATTCATCTCTGCAAAACGCTGATGGTCTTTTCTTCTACTTTGTAACTACTGATTATTTCCTCTTGCTTTTGGTACAGTTTTTCTATTTTCTATATCTATTTGGCATACTCAAAATTCTCTTTACCTTCACCCTATAATTATACCCAGAAGAAATATGTGTACATAAATTCATAGACATAATGTATAATGAAGAGAGGCTATTTAACACTTTTAAATAATGATGGGAAAATGTATATTCAAACTTCTTGGATTATAATTAATACACGAAAGGCAAGATTATATATGCCCAAGCATTTTGGTGGTGTTCCTAGTGACTGACATCAATAAAATGCACTTGATTTGTGCTGTGATTTGTTGAGGCTTACAATCACTAGATTGTGACGGTGTGACCAGACTTTGTATAAGAATCTTAAAAATGAAAGAGCTCAGCCACAAAGGTGTGCTGTTTTATAGACATGATCATTACCAACAGGTATCAAGCCAACCTGAACAGAAGCATCTTGGCACATACATGCTAGTCTTTGAGAAGTGTATATCCAGGCTGTAACAGGTGGAGAATTTTACTCAGCTCAGGTTCTGATAGGTGACATTCACTAGCATTCTGGTCTACTGGAAAACTTTATTTGTACCTCTGAGTTAGGAAATGTAGGACTGGGCCACTGATGAAGGGAACCTTCAATAATCTCACCTTCCTTTGTATAATAAAGTTTATACATAAACAAGTTGTGTGACTAGACACCGTTATCAATAAGGCAAACTAATATAAACAAATTTGCTCAAATTCTTTTGAAGTATATCGAGCTTTAAATTTATTGATTAAGCACTTACAACTAATGAAGAATTTGGAGAAGACAATGTAACCATGCTATTTGTGTCATTAAAATATTGTCTATTCTATTTTACCATTATTTCTTCTGCTGAAATGTATGCATTGATGACAGACAAAAGAAAATTGTTTTCACCTCAAATGAATGTGTAAAATATAGTATTGGGTCTTTAAGATTTGAATGCACTATTGGGATGCAATGGATTGAGATTCAATGTCCTTATAGATGTGGAAAAACACTATCTCTTGAATATTTGGTAAACCTGATTCTTAAAAAATTCTTTAATGTCTGCATGATTCAATGTCTTCCATAGATTTATTTTTGAGAGGCTCCCTCACTATTCAGTTCAGGCAGGCACCCCCTCCTCACTTTGCTAAAATTAGATCCCTTCTCTGCAGTAATGTTCAAAACATAGACTTTTTTGTTAAGCATGGGAATAATAAAGAGAATCTAAATGCTGGTTCACAAATATGCACACACATACACAGTCCAAATCCATGTTCACTGCACTTCTCATTATCCACTTCACCAGGCTAGAAATATTTGGTAATTACACTCCTCCTACAACTCCTTTGATAGTGCTAACTGACAAACAGGAGTGGCTGCTACAATAGAACTCCTCTATGAAATGTTCAATAAAGAAAATGATACTGATATAATAAAAAGAGGGAGGAAAGCTTCTTTTAACGCATATCTAACCACTCCCTCTTTGAAGCTGGTTTAAAAATACATCGACTCTAAGATGTGGTATGCTTTCTTCTTCATTTGTATCTGATAAGAGGATTGACGGAACAGTTCAATGAAAGTAAAACAATTCAAGAAGAGTAGGCCAAGTGTTTTGAAAATGATGAGAGTCAGGCCTGGTTCAAAATAGTATTTGATTAGCAACTCTTCATGAAATGCTTAATTAAAACAGTCCACAAACTGTGCAGGAGTTTTTTTGTTTTGTTTTGCTTGTTTGTCTGCCTAAAATTTTACCTAATTTCAAACGTCCATTCTTAGGGAATGACAAAGACTTCATTTCACTTAGTTTGGTTCCTAGCTCCCATTTTCCCTCTGCATTGTGTCAGATTCCCAAGGGGCCTTACATAGTACCCACAAATTAGAGGGTGGGATAAGGGCAAGATATTAGAGGAGGATATCCAATTGTTGCCAATTTTTGGCAACTGTTGATACAGTTACTGCCCCACCTGCTATTTCATTTGGATCTACCCAGGTGAATGACGGATTTTCCTGTATTCTGGCAAATAATAGCCCTTTAAGTTCAACGACTATAAATTCTATGCCACTGTTAGGCACACAAAAAATCATTCTTCTATTCCTATACTGTGCAATATTAAAGGAAACGTGATGCTCTCCAAGCCCTGCTCTTCTATAAATACTTCTATAAATTCTTCTATAAATACTATTTATTTTCTGGGTACTTTCTTTTTAGGGGTCAACCTGAGATAGAAGCCCAGATTCCCTGTGTTCCATTCTCATAAACTTATGCTTGTCATCTCCACAGGGAATGACCAACGAAGGAGAGTTTAGAGGTCCCTTTGAAGGACCCAAACTCTCATTTCTTTGATGTCTCCTTTCTCCATAGTCTTGAGAGTCATTTCTATTTTGATGGTAATCAAAGGTGGTTGATGATGGCATCTTTGCTTTCACTCATCTCGAATGTAGTCTGCCGTGAGTTCTTTCCATTCTACTCTGTGTTGCGGCCTCTAAAACTCAAAATACAAGAAGATACTCCTTTTTCTATTATTTTTTAGACTTATATTGCTTTCCTGAGATAGTGTCCATTTTCTTTGTGATGGAATACTAGGCTCAGATACAGATAAAAGAAAAAATAGTTGGAGAGATAGATAGCTATAGCTATAATATAGATATAGTAAAGGTGTATAGAAAGACACGTTTGAATATATATACATGTATGTGTGTGACTTCTCATTTAAATCTACATTAATCTGTAAATTTGTATTATCATCTTGATTTTATCGATGAGGAAACTGTGGCTGACTGAAGTGGAACATCTGTAAAAATTAGCGTATGACTGAAGTTAAATTGTTAGACTTCAAAACCCACATCTATATGACTCCAAATCCCATGTTTCTAACTTCTAAGTGTGTAATCCTAGAGACATTTTGACATTAGGTTTGTGTGTGTGTGTGCATGTGTATGTGTATATATGTGTGTCTCAGAATAATTTATATTAACCTCTGTTTTAGAATATTTCTATTAGGTGACTTTTTAGATTAGATTAATATTTTCATGTAATGAATTTATAATATCAAGCATTACATCTATTATCTATGTACACTTGATCTGGAATCTAATGAACCCTAATAACATTCCAAATAATTCTGTAAATTAACTGGGAGGTAAATATTAACACTCTTTGGATAAGCCCAATGCATCTTCCTGGCTACCTTGAATGGAGTTGTGAAATGTAGGTACACACTTGGCCTTTTTAATAGGCCTCCAGGACTGCTCCTGATAATCATTTGTTAGTTTCAAAATATTGCCCTCACACCATTGACTAAGCTTTCTTATTTCAACTGACAAAAAGGTTTGCTTCATCTTTCAAATAACAAAACTACAAAGTATTATCAACTGTTTATGAATGATGCTTTTAGTTTATAAAGCTGGACAAAGCCACAGAGTCTGAATAGGAATGCTTTATCCATAGGTAACTTGAGATGGAAATAAACATTTTTCCTGCTTGTTGATTAAAAAGCATTTATAATTTGTTTTCAATATAATCGAGCATTTTTAACAAAGCAGATTACTTAGATCAGCATTTTGTTTTCTTCTTGTAAGACACAGAATTTTAAATTAGTACATTAATTCATAACAATAAATTAGTTAATAGTTTTAAAAGAAACAATAGCCTAAAAATATATTTTGGTGAATTTCCCACTAAACTTTAATTTTATTAAAGCAACTTGAATCTTAGCCTGACGTTAAATATTCCTGCTGAGAATTTCTCTGCCCGGTTTTGCCTTTTTCATCCTCAAAGTAAGGTTACAGTTTTGTGACCAGCAGGATATGTCCCATAGTCATTGGTTCTATGAGTAAGTAATAAGGCATTTTAATTTAACAAAATAACTTTATGAGAAAACACAAATGGAAATCTGATTAGTTTGTGTTTAAAATTAAGGCCCTCTGGACTCCGTGTTTATTTGTTAGTGATTTTCTTCATACACAAAAAATGTGACCTGGAATGCACAATTTCTGTAGAAGGATACTATCCACATGTCAGAAAATTAGAGAAATTATCACGTGTATCTTTGTCCAGTACACTGTCCTTAGCAAAGCAGAATGGCATAATCCAGCATAGAAAAGGAATCAGAGAGAGAAGATGATTTCAAAATCAGATTGTTTTAAGTCTTACTGGATGCTTTTCTCATCAATTTGCTTTAGATTTCTGGGTCACTGAGCCTGCATCAAACACACAGTTTAAGATCCAACAGTTCTAATAACATCAGAGTAGAAAGTGTAGCATCACCTAAGAGATGTAATGTCTAAAGTTTTGGAGACAAAGAGTGTGAAAAAGATAATTAATGACTCAAAGATAGAAAACATGCACATACACAAGATTTATGGCAAAGATAAATAAACATAACTCTCAGGAGGTAGACAAAGAGCACAATTTTGAAAACAAATTATTGCAGGAAGCAAATATATTTTAGATTCCATCTGTTTTAATTTCATATAGAAATTAAAACTGAGGCTAAAAATGATTTAAAATATTTTTACAAATCAATCTGCATAATTATTTGAAATGTTAAATACATAAGATATTGAATCACATAGAAACAGAAAAATAAAATCTGAATATTATAAAAAATTAGACCAACAAAATCTGTAAGTTTGAAAATAAAAGATGTGGAAAAATTAAATTGAGTGCATTTCTTTATCTTAAATATAAATAGGTCAATGAATACTATTTTGTAAGCAATTAATAATTTCAGAAATATAAGGTCAATTCACTTTTTTATGTGGAATTTTCAACCATGACTTTATTAGAATAAAAATAATATTAAAAAATCTGTATCTTCCAAAGTTGAATAAAAAGAAAATGTAAGAAACATAAAAAGAGGTAACAATAAATAGCATATAAAAGTTCCATGTCTGATATTCAGCTAGTACTCATGATACAATAAATGTCTTGAGACCATTCTGAGGTGTTGCTATCTGTGTCACAGAGGTTGTTAAATATTTTAAATAGTATCTCAGTTACTACAGTTAGTGAAATGAACTAAAAATTTCCAAAATAAATAAAAATGAAAACAAAACAAATATGAAACAAAAAAAAAAACAGCAAACATTAAAACAAAACAAGGAGTAAGCATTTCCAATTAAATAAACAGAAGAAAAAACATACATCAAAGTAAGTTCCCAAACCAGGAACTTTTCCAGATATAAGTACAAAAGAAAATGAATAAATAAAGATAGAAGATAGAAAACATGAGAAATTCAGACAACAATCCTGGCTGATTAATAATTGATCAATAGTTGTTTCAAAGGGAGAGAACAAAGAAGACTGGGGAAAAAATTATAAAACAAAACTTTGCCAGAAATTTTGCCAGAATTGAAGAGCATGAATCCTTCTAGATTGCAAGGCCCTACTGTGACTTATGTCGAATGAAAAAAAAAAAAAAAAAAAAGACTCTACACAATACACACAGTAAATATACTATAAAAATTTCATAACAGCAGAAATAGAAACTAAAGGTTTCCAAAGAAAGAAAAGCAATAATATCATGGGATGGATTTAGCAAGATTTCAATAGAAGAACCCCTTCAGATTTTGAGGAAAAACATTTTCCTACCCAGATGTCTGTACAAACTCAAATAGTAATGACATATACGTAGAACCAAGTGACTCTTCAACATACGAGATTTCATCCCATATTGAGCTTTTCTCTGGAATCTACTAAGGTCATAAATTAGAAAACAAAAACATGGCATCCACAACAGAGAAGATTCACACAGAAAAGAATTAAAGAAAATACTTAGGATGCTAGTTAAGGAACGATGTAGTACTATAGCTGGCCAACAGACTTAGAAATTTCCCTGAATTAGCCAAACATGAAGTTAACAGCACAGTCATCCAGACTGCCAAGTTGGCCCGACTTCTGCCACCAACTGCAATGAGTTTGGCTAAAGTGCAAAGTCTGAGGGAACAGTCCCCACAAGACTGACCTCAATTCAAATACCAGCTACAAATTCACTGGTTTTCAGACGTTCTCTCACTTCTGACCAACTGCATATAAATTTGGGGGGTCCTTATGGGCCCCCTTAGGTTCAATAATTTGCTAGAAGGACATACAATTCAGGGAAGTGTTATCTTACTCATATTACTTTTTAACTACTAATTAATATTACTATTAACAACTAATTAATATTAATACCACTAATAAATATTACTTACTAATATTACTAATATTACTTTTAATGGCAAAAACCACAATTACTTTTGCACCAACCTAATAGTCTATTACAGCAAAAGGATATAAAGTAAAACAAGGCAAAGGAAGAGATATATAAAGCAGACTCTGAGAAGGTTCTAAATGTGAAACTTCCAACAACCTCAGGGGTATGTTACCCTCTTAGCCTCAATATGTGGCAATGTTCAGAGTATCGCCAATCAGAGAAATTGTCCTGAGCTTGTTATCCAGAGGTTTTATTGGGATCTCATTACTTAGGCATGACTGAGTCATTATCCATATGCTTAGACTTAATTTCTGTGCCTTTCCATCCTTAGAGGTCAGATTGATATCATGTGGGTCATTCCTCAAACCTCTAATGACATATTTGGCCTTTCTAGCATGGTTACCCTTTAACCTTAGAACTACCAGTGTGCCTGGCCTCATCCTGAGTTAGCTTGTTAGGATAAACTAAAAGGGCCTACCATAATTAACAAAGACATTCCTATTACTTAGAAAATTCCAGGGATTTAGAGATTACCCTCTGTCCCCAGGAGCCTGCTAAAAAGCAGAGCTCTCTTTAGATAAAGCCAAATTTCTACTAGCCAGATGTTAATTATTTTGAAGTGGAAGTAAGGGAGCTTCCAGGAAGGATGTCTTTGGACGTATGGAGTGAGGGATTAATAGGAAGGACTACCTGGTGCCTTTAGCCACTGTAAAAGATTTTTATTGGTTTTTGTTTTGTTTTGCCTTTTTTGTTGTTATTTTGGAAAGTTGTGAGCTGAACTAATGATAATTGCACAGAAACTAAGGCAAAAAGCAAACAAAAAGTTAAGGTATTTATCAACTTTAGGGGCAGAAAAAAGAAATTGTACAAGAAAAGCAGTGTATGCATAGCACCCTTAGTGACTCAGTTATATAGTCATAATAGTTATGTGTTCATAATAATATAAGCATCAAATACTAATTTACCAAATTGCATTATGAATAAACACACTGAAGGAGCAGAAGAGTGTTTAGTGATGAGCATGGAGAGAGCTCAAGGCACGGTAGGTTGGTGTAAGAAAGGTAGTAGAGGGCTGGGCGTGGTGGCTCAAGCCTGTAATCCCAGCACTTTGGGAGGCCAAGGCAGGCGGATCATGAGGTTAGGAGATCAAGACCATCCTGGCTAACACGGTGAAACCCCGTCCCTAATAAAAATACAAAAAATTAGCCGGGCATGGTGGTGGGTGCCCGTAGTCCCAGCTACTTGGGAGGCTGAGGCAGGAGAATGGCGTGAACTCGGGAGGCAGAGCTTGCAGTGAGCCGAAATTGGGCCACTGTACTCCAGCCTGGGTGACAGAGCGAGACTCCATCTCAAAAAAAAAAAAAAAAAAGGTAGTAGAATGGCAGTATAAAATCTATAACCTATAACATTGAAGAACAAGCAGAAATAGTTGTAAAGCTCAATATAGAAATCTGGAATATAAAAAAGAGTATCCATGAGTATTAAAAGAAGTTGCCTCTAATGTGAAGATTTGAGTGGGGCTGGTTCAGGGATATTTTTTTTCCTTATGTCTTTGTACTTTTTGATTTTTCGTACTACATGTTTGTAACCTTAATCGAAAATTTTAAAATGAAAAAATATAAAAATACACTTAAGAAGAAGGATCATAAGTAAAGGCAAATTTTTAAAAATATACATAATTTACCCTGGGAAAAAAAAGAGTTAAAATAATGTGTTCTTTATTCTCTTAGAGATGTTACAAGACATGATTTCCTGAAACAAACAAAATTTGTAAAACAATTCACAAAATAGAGCACAGTTCAAAGGAGAGATTTTGGTAAAAAAAAAAAAAAAGAGGAAATAAAAATAAAAGCAAGTTGGCAAAGTTCAATAAATGAAAGAGAAAAATCAACACTACAGAGAAGAACATCACTTTCAAAGCAACATTAACAACAAAATACAAAACAAATGCTTAGACTCAATAGGCAAGATTAAATAATTGAAATTAAAAAGAGAAAGAAAGCAAAAATTAAAAAAAAGATCGTAGTTAATGGTTGATGTAAGTCACAAGGAATACTAGCTTTAAATTAGTTTGCAAATAAACCTAGCATAGAAATACATTTAAAAATTAGAAAATAATTGAAAGAACATAGCAATGGGAGACTTTAGTGGACATTTACCTTATTTGTCATGGCAAAGTGTGAAAAATACATATGGATGTACAGATATTTAATAATGAAATTAATAGGCCAAGTGTGTCTGTGTTATACAAGTAGAGAAAATTGTTTTATTCTTGTCCAATAACTTTGTGACAACAACAACAAATTGTGTGTGTATATACATATATATATAAAAACCATATTTATAGCAATCCTAGGAAACATATATATACGTTACGTATATGTTTATGTATATATATATATATGTTATATGTTCCCTAGGATTGCTGTAAAAAATGGTCTCCTTAAAACAACAGAAATGTATTTTCTCACAGTTCTGAAGGCTAGAAGTCTGAAATCAAGGTGTCAGCAAAGCTGTTTCCTTCCGGGTCTCTCCTAGCTTCTGGCAGTTATCAGCAATCCTGGACATCCCTTGGCTTTTGGCAGCATAATTCCAATATCTGCCTCAGTCTTTGTACGCCCTTCTCCTCTCTATACTCTTCAACCCAAACTAGAACTGTTTTTGATGTATAGTTAATCGGATCAGTAAGGAAAACACTGAATTTCTCCAGCAATAGGTCGTCCAGCCACACACTTGCACTTCTCTTCAGAGCATGCTATCTGGATCAGCCAAGGATTTTTCAAATCATCAAGTGCTGGTTCCTTTTTGCTTGGCAGTTTCTTCCTAAATGTATTTCCTCCTCTTGCATTTTACCATAAGCAGCAAGGAGAAATCAGAAAGCATCTTCTGTACTTTCTCGGGAATGTCTTCAGATGAATATATAAGATCACTGGCTTACAGATCCTACTTTCCATCCTACAGCAGAACAATTCAGCCAAATCCTCTAACACTTTATAACAAGGATGGCATTTCCTCCAGTATCCATAACATGTTCCTCCTTTCTCTCTGAGACCTCATCTTAACAAAGACCCTATTTTTAAATAAGGTTCTATTCACAGGCACCAGGGTATTCTGGTCAACACCTACATATCCTGTTGTTGAATAACACCCTGAATAATACAAGATGGCCAGACAAATAACAGTCTCCACTGGACAGGTAAGATTGGCAGCAGTTTATTAATGACACTCATAATCTCAGTGAGAGAAACACTGCATACCATTCAGGGCCACATGGAGGTTGCATTTGGGAGCAGAGCGAACCAGTAGGAGTTGTGGGAGGAAGGCTTTCTAGTAACCAGGGAGTGGGGTGCCTGTGTTTCCCGTAAGACCATGTGATTGGTTTCTTTAAATAATTTTACAGGCTGGCAGGCAGCTGAAGACTGTTAGGTTGATAGCCGAGTGGAGTACATGTAGACCAGCTGATGGGCACTAGCAGAGTGGGGAGCCCATCTCACTAAGTAGGGGGTATATCTGGTGAGAGCAGGGGAGCTCTTGGTTAGAACTTTGGGGCCCCATGAGGCTCAAAGACATCAAGGCAGCACATGAATTTTTAGGTATACAAGAAGTTAGGACTTCAACTTATCTTTTTGAATGACCCAATTCAACCCATAATATAAGCCATAAAATGAATCTCGAGCAACTACTTTTAAAAATTATTGTCTGAGGTAAATTAGACTGCAAAAAGATGAATTTGTAAGAAATTCATAAATTATCACACTTAAAAAATAAAGTATAATATACTCTCTTATATAACTGAGTAATCAAAACAGTATGGTATTAATGAAAGAACAAATATATCAACATAAAACAGAAAAAACAGAAATGGATCCAAAAATACAAACAGATACAATGTCAACAGATCTTTGACAAAGGAGAAAGGCAATTCAATGGAAAAAGGATTGTCTTTTCAACAAAGAGTGCTGGAATAACTGGATATTTACAAACACAAAAATGAATGTAGACACTGACCTTACATGTTTCACAAAAACTAACTAAAAATGGACCATTGACCTATATGTTAAATGTAAAACTATAAAACTTCCAGAAGATAACGTAGGAGAAAATATAGATGATCTTGGGTTTGGCGATGAGGTTTTAGATACGACACCAAAAGCATGATCCATGAAAGAATAAATGGATGAGTTAGGCTCATTAAAATTTTAAAAAACAATAACAACAACAGAAAACTGCTCTATGAAAGACAGTATTAAGAGAAAGAAAGCCACAGACTGGGGACAAATATTTGCAAAAGCACATATTTGATAAAGACTTTGTATTTAAAACATAGAACTCTTGAAACTCAACAATAAGAAAGCAATTAAAGATGGGAAAAGATCTGAACAGACACCCTACCAAAGAAGATATACAGATGACAAACATAGGTAAAGATGTTCAACATCAGATGGCGTTAGAAAATTGCTAATTGAAACTACATTAAGAGAGCCTTATACACCTACTAGAACAGCTAAAATCAAAAGCATTAATGATATTAACTGCTGGCAAAAATGGGCAGCAATGGGAACTTTCATTCATTGCTGGTGGAAATGCAAAATGACACAACCACTTTATAAAACAGTTGAGCAATTTCTTACAAAGCTAAATCCAGCAGTTATGCTTCTAGGTATTTACTCAAATGAATGGGAAACTTACGTCCCCACAAAAATTTGCACTTGAATAGTTACAGTAGCCTTATTCATAATTGTTAAAAACTTGAAGCAACCAGGGTATCCTTTAATAGGTAAATGGATACGCAAACTGTGTTCCATCCATACACTAGAATATTATTCCATGATAAAAACAAATGAGCTACTAAACCACAAAAAGACACAAAGATATTTTAAATGCCTATTACCAAGTGAAAGAAGCCCAGTCTGACAAGGCTACATAATGAATGATTTCAATTATATAACATTCTGGAAAAGGCAAAACCATAGAGATAGTAAAAAGATCAGTGGTTGCCAGGGGAGAGGGAAGCAGGAGGAAGGACGAACAGATGGGATGCAGGGGGTTTTTAGGACAGTGAAGCTATTCTCTATGATATTCTGTATGTATGTCAAGAGTAGATATATGGCATTATGCGTTTGTTAAAATACATATAACTGCATAATATAATGAGCAAACCCTAAAATAAACTATGGGCTTTAGTGATTAAAATTGTATCAATATTGATTCCTCAATTGTAACAAATAGACCATACTAATGCAATATGTTAGTAATCTTGGAGAAAAATGAACTCTGTACTATCTTCTTCATTTTTCTGCAAACTTAAAACTGCTCTAGAAAATAAATATTAATTTTTATAAAGAAGACATTGTATTAGATTACAACTTTGGAGTCAAGAAAAAAGCAAATCTTAATCTTTATTCTCTAATTGGCAAGTTCATAGACTTTGCTTTTATTAAAGAATAAATGAATAAGTATTCAACTTAAAAAGATCCATGACAACAAAAACAAAGTAGAATAAATATACTAATATATGAAAATTATATTAATATAGACAAAAACAAACTGGTGAACTAAAAATGAGAAATAACTCATAATAAATTCAAGAAGTTTTTGTTTCAAAAATTAGATAAAAAAGGGAATTACTAGACTATCTAATCAAGTATAAAGAATAAGAGTGTTAATAAATACATAGGAATTATAAATGTGATTAAATCACAGATAAAGAGATGAGAAAATTATGAGATATGTTACTATGCACAAAGAAATATTAAATTGATAATCAGTCCTTTTAGATTGCTTGTCAAAATAAAAAACCAAAATCTATGAAGCTAAACTTAATCTGTTGGAGTTTTTAGAATAAAAAGACAAAGCAGAAATTTCAGGAAACCAAGAGACAAAAAACAATCCAAGGTAATTTTGCTATCTATCCTTTGCTATATTCTTTTTTTAAATTGACAAATAATAATTGACTATATTTATGGTGAACAACATGATGTTTTGATAGATGTATACATTGTAGAATGAGTAAGTCAAGCTAGTTAAAATATCCATTACCTCACATATTTCTCTGTTGATGAGAGCATTCAAAATCTGCTCAGCAATTTTCACAATATGATACATTATTATTAACTGTAGTCACAGTGTTTTTCAACAGATCTCCAGAATTTATTCCTCCTGTAGAACTGCAATTTTGTATTTCCGGACAAACATTTCCCCAGTCCCCACCTGCTCTTGAGACTGTGTTAACCATTATTCTATTCTCTGCTCCAATGAGTTCACCTTTTTTCATTCCCACATGTAAGTGAGACTGTGCAGTATGTGCCTTTCAGTGCCTCAATTATCTAATTTAACTAATGTCTTCCAGGTTCATCCATGTTGTCTCAAATGATAGGATTTCCTTCTTTTTAAGACTGCATACTATTTCGTTGTGTACATATACCACATGTTATTTATCAATTCATCTGTTGATAGACACTTAGGTTCTTTTGATATATTGATTATTATAAACAATGTCATAATGAGTGTGGGAGTCTAGATATCTTTGGAACAGACTGATTTCATTTCATTTGGATATATACCCAGTAGTGAGACTGCTGGATCAAACTGTAGGCCTATTTTTAATTTTTAAAGAAAACGTCCATACAGTTTTCCAGTACTGTTGTAACAATTTACATACCCACTAACAATGTAAAATTGTTTCCATTTCTCTACACCTTTACCAACCCTTGATATTTCTTATTTTTGTGATAATAGCCACCCTAATAGGTGTGAGGTGATAGCTCATTGTGGTTTTAATTTGCATTTCCTTGATGATTAGCGATGTTGAATATATCTGTTGGCTATTTGTGTGTATTCTTTTCAGATTCCTTGCCCAATTTTTAAAGTTAGGCTATTTGTTTTTGTGCTATTGAGTTGTTTGAATTCCTTACATATTTTGAACAGTAACACCCTATCAGGTGTAAGGTTTGCAACTATTTTCTCCTATTTTGTAGGTTGTCTCTTCACTCTGTTGTTTCCTTTGCAGTACCGAAGCTTTTTAGTTTGATGAAGTCCTATTTGTCCAATTTTGCTTTTGTTTCTTGTGCTTTTGGGTAATAACTAAAAAATCCTTGTCCAGGCCAAGGTCAAGAAGCTTTTCTCCTGTGTTTTCTTCTAGTAGTAGTATAATTTCAGGCCTTACTTTTAAGTCTTCCATTCATTTGTCACTATATTCTTTATCTAAAAATCATTCTACTTATTATTGCTATATAACAAATTATCCCAAAACTTAGTCACTTGAAATAACCATTTTACTTTAATCATGACATTGCAGTCATAGCAGGAATTTGAAGAGTGCTTGGTAGGACAGTCTTTATTTACAACCTTTTGTAAAGTTGCTGTCAGATGTCCACTGGGCTACAATCATCAGCAAGCTTTGTGGAATGGGCATCCAAGATAGCTCCCTTGCAAGACTGGCAGGTACTGTTGGTTTCCTGCCTGGAGGTCAGCTTGGGATTCTACCATATCCCCTGATTGAGACATGAAGGCCTCTTGGTAGTTACACTTCTTACATAGCAATTGGATACTCCAGAGGTAGCATGCCCAGGGAACCAGTCAGAAGCTGCTTGATGTTTTCTGAACCATCCTCAGAAGTAATGCATTATCACATCTGCTACATGCTATTTCCCTGTGAACCAGTCACAAAGATTAGTACAGATTCAAGGGGAGGAGATACAGACAGCGGCCAGAATATTACAAAACATTCAGAGACATCCTCAAAAGCTTGGACCTCATCTGTGAAATTAGTTCTGTTTTAATATTCTGAGTAAATAATACACATGCACACAATGCTTGGACCCAGAGACTTTTGCCTGCAAGTGGGCCTCTCTTTTTCAAAATAGGAAAGTTGCTCTGGATGATTTATATACTCTCCTGAGGAATAAAACAGGCCATGCTAACATCAGTCACAACACTATTACCTCTGTGAAGGCAGATTTGATGGGCAGGCATCAAATTTATTAGTAAATTTATTAGCAATAATAACAGCCAGCCGGCACAATTTTTGGATGAAAGAAATATATAGGAATTCTTGCATTATGAATTCAATTTTTTTGCAATAATCTGGGATGTATCTTTCTGAGAAATATACACGGATTTATTTGGAAAAAAAGTTAACAGTCACAATTTGTTGTATATATCTATCTTTCATTGAAGAAAAGAAAAAAAAAGTGGCAAGCGATCAAATATTTTAAAAGAGGTTTGGACCATATAAAGCCTGAAGAACTTGAACAAAGATCAGATAATGCACTTAATTTTTTTAAGGGAAAATAAATTACCGCATTGACTAAAATAGAGTTAAAATATTACACATAAATAAAAATAGGGGAGAAAATCAAAGAAGGTATTGGAAAGCTATTTCTGAAAAGGTAATAATAAAGAGCATTTTGTGAGTTATTTCCTTTGACCTTCCAGAAAGAGATACTAGCATATTACACTCCAGAGATTAAAAAAGGTTGAAAGTCTTGAATTGAGCTATAACACAACCTTTATACCAAAAGTTGGGAAACAGCTATCAAAAAATTACAAATATAATTCAAAATTCTGAAATAAAGTCATATAAAGGCAAGATAAAATCTCAACCTCCACTATTTATGTTTGATTTCTAGCTCCAACCAAGACTTATTCTCTGTGTGAACATGGACGAGTCATTTAATCACTCTGCCCCAATTCTCCCGTCTTGAAAATGAGAGTACTGACAAAACCTATCATATGCATTAACTGAATAATACATGTAAAATACTTTTGATATTCTGCTACTTATTCATATAAGAATGCATAGTAAATAGTTTTCCTTGTCAGTTTAGCTTTTAGTTAAGTAGACTATTCCATCTTTTTGAATAGATAATTCCATTGTTTGATATATCCTCATTCATTTAACCAATTCCTTAATACTGGACATTTAAATTAACTTTGATTTTTTATTTTCTTAAGTCACTGATACCAAAAATTGGCTTCATCTTGCTCATTATGTACTCCTGTATATAAACCAATAAAGGAATCATTTAGAAAAAGGGAATGTAAGCTTCTCAGTTATTGCTAGATATTTCTCAATTATTGATGTGTATGTTTTGATATCTCTGATTCCTATGCAATAATTAATGTTTTTGTTTTCCTTTTTGTGATAAATCTCTGTTGTTTTGATAAGATATGAAGATATATCATTGTTGCATCAATTTTCACTTTTTAGAGTGAAGCTAAGTAATTTTTAAATGATCATGAATATTGAATATTTTGTCATTTATTTATGTGCTATTTCATTTTCTAATGAAATGTTTGACTTTTTCTTTTAGGTATGAGAGAGCTTATCAAATATAAATTAAAATCTTCAATTCATTGTCTTGTGTATTGCAAATAATTTTTCCACTTTAACATTTTCAGTGTTTAAGATTTATTTTTAACGTATCTTTTGACTTGTACCCCATTTATGTCTATCAATTTTGACTTTAGCCTCATGTTTAGGAAAACTTCACAATTGAAAAATTATATAAAATATAATTTGTATTTCCTATAAAATTTAATTTCTGTTTGTTTTATATCAGTATAGTTAATTTACACAACGCATTTTGGTATATGATGTGAGGTAAAGTCTATTATTTTTTCCAAAACAATAATATCTATTTCTTACTGATTGGAGGTTTTACCTTTATTAAATGCATATTTATCCATTTAGGTATGTTGCTAGATTTATTAGTCTGGTCCATTTACTCAATAGTTTGTTCTGTGCCTGGAACACAATGGCATTTATTATTTTGTACTACCTAATTGAATAAAAGCTTCATTTTTGCCATTCTCATAAAATGTTCTTGTGTCATTTTTATTTTATAAAAATGTATCATTTCTATTTTCCTTAGCGACCTGTAGCATCATTATCTTGGTTTGTACTTTTATAGAAATGTACTATAAAGTGTTAGAATTTTAAATTTGTAAAGCAACAATTAAAATTTTTGCAGCATTATTTTTTCTGTCTATGAACTACATTATCTCTCTTCATTTAATCTAGTCCTTGTTTTCGTCTCACAGAAAAGGCTTAACTTTTCTTTTTCTAGGTGCTCACTCATTTCATTTGTTCCTATGTGATTTATGATTTTGTTCATTTTGTGAGTGGGGTCATTGTTTTGTTCCCCATTTTTTTCTTTTGCCTATCACTAAATAAAATACCTATTGCCCCTTAATGTTTTCCTTGAGACTAGTCACCTCCTTGGAATGTCTATTTAGGTTCAAAAGAATTTTTCATTGATTCTCTTAAGTTTTCCTGTTAGATGGTATATCATCAGATTCCAATGAGAGACATGAAAAAACATATACACGTAGAGGGATTTAACCTTACACAGTTGGAGCTGGTTAAGCAATCTCTGTGAAGCTGTTGTCCTCAGGTTTTATGCTGGAGCTTGATATCCACAGGGCAGGCAGATGGGAAGGGAAAATGGATGTAAAGTGGGATAGAGCAAAAAGAAGCTGAACCCCACAAATGAGCTGAGGCCTGCAACCACAGAAAGAAATCCTTGTCAGTTCTTGTTGCGTCTAACTTTGATGATATGGTATCCTGCAGAAGCCAAAACTCTTCTTGATCGCTTCTGGCCCATGTATCCTAGAAGCTAATATAATGTTCAGGGGACGGTAGAGCAAGCAATTACAGATCCAACAAGATGAGTCAGCAGACAAACAGTGACGTGTGTAGGTAACAAAATGCCCGATGTTTTATTTCTGCCCTCTAAAGCTGTCACAGAAATTTCTCTGGTGGATCCCTCTAACTCGAAACCTATAGGCAAGGGAATTCTGGGAAATGTAATCTGGCCTGACCAAGATGATATATTAAAATATCACCATAGATAGACATATTAACCATTAAAAACGTTAACACAGTATCTTTTTGCTGTTTTTTTTTCTTACATTTCTCTTCTTTTTCTACTCTTATTTTCTTGTCTAGAAAGTATTCAAAAATTATACTGGATTATTTTATCCTTTCTTAAGTTGAATGCCTACTTATCAGAATTCCATCTGATAATAGCACGTGTTGGTTTAACATAGATGTGGTTAAATCATAGTATTATTAATTCTATTCCTCTCTTTTCAAAAAGATTGCAGATTTTTATGATTTTCAGTGTTTCTTGTGCTGATGTTTTCATTAATGCCTTTGTTACTTTAATGATTAGTTTCACTGATGAAGTTTCAGATTTTCAGTCATCCCCTTCTTTCTGTAATAGCCCTGCTTGTTAACTTTTTTTAAGATTGAGGTTAAATTCCTTTCACTGTTATTTTATTTTATTTTTCATGCAGTGAGAACTGAATGGATTTATACTTTTCTTTTTGTGCTCTATTTTTTCCAGATTTTGATATCAAGGTTATTCTAGAGTTAACAAACGAATTGAGACAATTAATATGAAATAGGTTAAATAGCATGGGGCTTACTTTTAAAATAACAATTAGCTAAATCTAAGTTTTAAAAATGTACCAGCAAATTTTCACTAGTAGTTTTGTTTAAACTCCATTCTTATTCTTTTTAACAAAAGATCTCTTTTTTTTTTTAGACATAAAAAACTTCTCTGAGCAAATATATTCTCCCGGCATTTTGCACTCTCAAGATTTTCCAATGAATTGAATAATAGAGTGTTCACATAATTATATATTTAGAAGTAGAAGGGCCTAAAAATCATCACAAATGACACCATAATGCTTCTAGAGAAGACAAGTAAAATTGTACCACATTTTGTACATGAGCTCATAAACAATCAAGGATGAAAGATTTCACCCAAGGTTACAGAGAAACTTCAAGGAGGTAGAAACTTATAACCCTGCCACCTTGTTTCTCTGGGCAGTCCTCATTTTACCAGACCATGGTGAAGCTCTGATCTGCAGGGTTGGCAGGCAATTGATTGCTGTGATCAGGAGTATGGATTCTGGAGTCCACCTGCCTCATTTAGAACACTAATGAGATAACACTTCCCTCTGTACTCCACTTTCCTCATCTGTAAAATAATTACGCTTCTTTGGGAACTGTGAAAATTAAATGAAATTTTTACATGTAATACACTTAGAACAGCACCTGACACATCAGAAGCCCTAAACACATCTTTGTCATTATTTGATGGGTTGAAAGGAAAAAAACCCTGAATGGACTCCTCATTTCTTTTTAATTTTCCTCTAAAAAAGGCAATGGGGACTTTCTGAAACAGGACTTTTCTAGTTCTTTCCTTTTCCAGTTTATACTGGCATTTAGAGGTCACAAGATCATTGATTACCTCAATAAAAAATTAAGACCGTATTGCCCATCTAAAGCTCACTAGATGTCAACACCAGACATAAGAAAATGGGCAACAAAATAGCCTTTAAGCAGTTATACATAAATTAATCCTCCCTGGAAGATCTTGGAGAAATAATAAAATGGCTATTAAACTAGATAATAGTCTATGCAGTTTCCACATTACATAGAGAAGAATTTCAATGAATTTTAATTGTAGATATTATCCAAACAATTATAATAATTTGAACATATTGAAGAAAATGATTTTTTATTTTTATTCTACATATGATTTTCTTAATATTTATGTTCTTACTAGCATTACTTTTATCCATTTTTAAAATTAATAATTACATAATCAGAAAAATTGCAAATTTAGGAAAAGTATATAAAAAAATAAAGTTACTCACACTTTCACATCCAATGATTAAATCAACATTTTTAGCGTGTTTTGCAGTGTGTAGATGCATGCATACACATATATATATATGTTTCTCCATGTACATTAATGCATACATACATAGTCACATATATTTATACATATACATAAATTACATATATATTACTGATATACTTGACATAAATTTTTGTGTCAGATTCTGCTCTAGGCACTGAGGATACAGAATTTAAAAAGCACACACAGGAGAACCCATTGTCACATAGCTTTCATTCTAGTACACATGAAAATATAGCCTTGGCCGGGTGTGCTGGCTCATGCCTGTAATCCCAGCACTTTGGGAGGCTGAGGTGGGTGAATCACTTAAGGTCAGGAGTTCGAGACCAGCCTGGCCAACATGGCGAAACCCTGTTTCTATTAAAAACACAAAAATCAGCTGGCCGTGATGGTGGACACCTGTAATCCCTGCTACTCAGGAGGCTGAGGCAGGAGAATTGTTTGAACCTGGGAGGCAGAGGTTGCAGTGAGCCGAGACTGTGTCACTGCATTCCAGCCTGGGTGACAGAGTGAGACTCCACCTAAAAAAAAAAAAAAGAAAAGAAAAAGGAAAAGAAAAAAAGAAAATATAGCCATACAATTTTAACAAGTTTGCATCATATACTTTTAGGATTTGCTTTTTCACACCCATATGTGAATCACTAACCCAGTTTATGTACTGATACTTTTAACTACTGTCCAATTTTAGATTCGGCTTTTTACAAATGTAAAGCCATGTATATCTTTTCGGAGTAATCCATGCATATGAACACAATTAGCATTTTATAGCTGCAACTATTTAACTAAAAATGTGTTTCTATCCAATAGCTCTAAGAATGTGATAGCTTTATCAGAGTAGCAGAAGAAAAAAAAATGGACAGTATTCTATTGGAAGTATATTGGATCATTAAAACTTAAAGTATAATGGAATATTTTCAGTTAGCATTTATAGATGATTTAATTACTGAGATATTTGCAAATATATTCAGAGTTATGTAATTTTTAATACCTCTAATGGGGTTTTGTAGAGCAGATTAAGTTATTAAAATTGACACAAAGTCCAGATGTATAATTGTATTATTTTATTCCCAAATCAATATATTGTGAGTCATTTTCCCCCAAACAACTCTTTGTCTAAATACAATATCAGATACGAAAGAACATTTTAATGTATATTCTCTATCAGTATCTCTATAAAAGAACCAAATACAGTAACACATTTAGATGCTTGTTGCTAGGAATTATGTGCTGCACACTGAAAGGAAAGGAGTTAGTGTTGTCAAAGTCCTCTTTTGGCTGCCCATCAAAATTTTAGATTACTCATCTTTACTCTGTTTAGTATATGAAAATTTTAAGGACAAAACTTCTCACTTTCTTCTTGCTTCTTCTTCCTCCTACCCCTTAAATCCAAGTGATTCTTCTGTAATATTGTTTACTGAGACTACCCCCATTTTGTTTATTGCCACCACCAACTAACAATGTCAGCCCACTTTGAGAACTTCCCAAGTGGCAAGCAGCTCTCTCCTTTTCATTCAACTTTTACTAAACCTTCTGGAAGATAACTTTCACCATGTATTGAAACAAAACAAAAATTCTCAATATTTGGCTCGTAGGTCATATAAAATTTTTTGCAGGAATCTAATGTTATTAATTTAAATGTAGAAGGCTCTTTAAATTAAAACATCTAAGAGTGATAGGTTTTAATGTATTTTCTTCTTTCACGAATGTGGAAAGAGTAATTACTATTGATTCTCAGTTGGCTTCGGGAAGAAAATCCAGAGTAGGAGATGATATCTCAGGCTTCTGAATGGATGAATACCATTGCCAAGAACCACTATGAGTATTTCTTATCAGAGGGTACTCGTCTCACTGGAACTGCCTCAATGTCTACAAAGCTGAGTACTTGGGTAAGAGAAACTTGGCAACACTTGGGGAGAGAATGGGAAAGGGCTAACATGGGGAGAGTTTAACTTGTTCCCAGTCCCGTCTCCAGAGGGTCCTGATCAAATGCCACAATACTCTTGCCTGACAGGCTCAGGAAGGACAGGTCAGAAGGTGGGGTTGCCTAGCCCCTCTCTCTGGCAGGTCAGCAACAAACGTCTTCAGAAGCTTTTCCCCCCAAAACTAGGCTTCTCCCTGGCTGCACCAGAGGCTGTAGGTCCAAGAAAATGGAAAACAGAAACACCAACTTAAAGTATATTGTGGGCACATCATAAGTATTTAATAATTTCAAACCAGAATTTTAAATCTTTTGGAAAATTTCCAAAAGACCTGGTAACATTCTCTGAAATCTGAGTATGGAAAGACACCTCTTTAAGATATAACAGTTGTAAGAAAGGTGTTATAACACAAAATATGATCTGCAGTTTTAAGGAGAGAAAATATTCTCCTGAGGTTATTGCTTTCTTAATCAAGTAGTTTGAAGAACGTTTGGTTTTTAAGGCTAAGTACTAGAATCATAAGTCAAGTCAGAAGTGAGAGATAAAAGTAGGCTTGAAAAGGGCAAATTTATAATATGAAACTATCATAAAATTATTAACAAATGTAATATAAGAAAAGCTATATTTGATAAATAGAAAGTGTCCGTTATCTGACCCCAACCTGTATATTCAGTATGATTTTCATTATTCTTTAGAGGTTGACGAATACTAGATGTCCAATAACAACAAAGAAGTTGAATAAATGGATGAACCCTTAATTGTAATCACATTAATCTGCTCACTGTTCTCTCCACACAAGCCATGAACTTTCCCACATTCATGCCTTTGCTTGGGTCATTTCACCCATAATTTTACAAGACCTATATTGCATTCTACCTATTTTATCAGTCTTCAATTACCATTTTGTCTCTTGGATTGTCTACCCACTCTCTGAACTATTGTGTCTCATGTGACTCATTTATGCTATTCTAACTCAATTGCCTGCTAACCCGATACCCTGGGCCCTTTCTCCTATTGTAAAACAAATATTCCACTACCCAAATAATGAGCCTGGAACTATTTGTTTAATCTTGCTCTGCATAATTTGTCTTACCCATAAAATAAGGCTAACAATAATATTAATTTTATAGATGATGGATAAAATATTACAAGTAAAGTGATTAAAATAGGGTCAGGTACATAGCAAACATGCAGTCAATTTTAGTTATTAAATCACATACACACACACACACACACACACACACACAACAAAACATGAAGCATGTTTCCTCTTTTTTTCCATCTCTTCTGGCTGCCACTGTGAAATAGCATGAAGAATCCTTACTACTCAAATGTTCATTATTGGAAGAATGGCATGTGCTCCAAGGATGCTGCCTGTAGATACCTCCATGGGGTCCAAATGACAGGCTGTGAAAGTGAAGCTGGATGCTGTGCATTGGGTAGACTGTGACCAGAGCTTGGAGTGGAAGGAGACAAGGGAGTTTGTTTACTACACCTATCATTCCTCTCGTTCTCTTGACCCATTTCTTAACTTCCCCATAACATTACCTACTGTCCAAATTATGAAACCAACCCTCTTATGCATATTTGTGATTTCATTGTAAGCTAATGTTGCTGTGGATACATGTGTGATATAAATCTGTGTGTGGGATGGGTGGGGGTATTTTATTCATGAGCAGTTTTCAGCTTCAGCTCAGTCAATAAAAATACATGTTTATTTTATCTCTTAAGTTATGCAGTCATATTTATACTTATATTTTACTCCAATTATAACAGGGTAAACTCTCTTTCACATTGGAAAATAAAAAATGTATCTCCCAGAGTTCTTAGAACAAAAACTTTCACACCAAAAAGACTGATGGGAGACAATTTTCCATGGGTCTCTCACAAGTCCGCATGTCTTGTATCAGCTTTTGTTCCAGAATATTTTTTCAAGGATGTTTGTATAGCAAATAACCTTGCAAGATAGAGATAGCGTTTTTCTCCAGGTAGAAAGCAGATTTGTTTCCTTATCAGGATATTAAAGAATTAAAGAGAACATCTTTCTTCAGGGAAAATGTTGGGCCAGTTTTCTTGCAACCCATAAAAATAATTGGGATTTCCTAAGAAACCTGATATTTTCCACTGTGATGCAAACCCACTGCATAAGTCTACCCAGACCATTCTGCATAACCACAGCAGTGAGGAAGCAAGAAAAACTGATGCAAACATGAAGTTTCTGCTGCTTGCTGTGCCATAAATAAGAAAGTTCCTTGTTTCTGACCCAGGAATCTTGTGACTTTTGCCATTATCCGTAACTGTTGCCTGTATCCATGAAACAAGTTACCTTGCAAATATGGTAAAATCTTAGACTCTTGATAGTTCCTGACAAGGACTCAAAAATCCTAAGTAGATTGACTTATTTTTCTAGCTCACAGGATACAAAGAACCAGTTTGAAAGTATTAAATGCTTAAATTTGCATTATACATATATCGTATTAGTTTTCACATATAGATGTGCAAGTTTCCTTGTTTTGTATCCCAATCACTTAGCAATAGTTTAAAGTAACCCAATAGTTTAGGGCAGATGTGTTCTGCTACAGCATCTGACTTCACCCCAGAAAGCTAAAGAACATTACGTACTTATGCTCTATCTGTTAACAATTCAGGAAAATGAGGCTATATGTAATTGACTCTATAGCTCATCCTTCCCTCTCCCATTGATGAATAAATACAATGTATATTCAACAATTATTGCAAATTTAATTATGTGATGAAGGACAATGGAGCTTATTCATTAGAAATCATTGTTCTAGTAGAAGATGACTCATGTGATATGGTTGCTTTAACAAATAAAAGCTGGTGGCCCATGGATTATATCCAAAGAAATAAAAATCCTCCAGGAGTATATTCAAAAGCATCAGATTTATCCTATATGTTGCCCAAGTAATGTCTATGATTTGATACATGAGTGAGGAGAAGGCAAGAAATATGCACATGGAGTGAATAATTATTATTAAAACCTTACAAGAAATTAAGGCTTTAATTAACTGAACCCTTCACTGCAACAGAAACATGCACAGTCTTAAAAGAAGAATCATTCTTGTAATGACAGGCCTCCAAACAAATATTGAGCTTTTCTTTCCTTCAAAGGAGATTTTGAAAGGTAGGTTGCAAATTACTCAAAAAACTTACAATACGAGGGATATAATCTGTATGTAGAGGTGGCTGAGGTTGTGTGGTTTTGTCTCTTGAATTAGCCTAATGCTGTTTTCATTATTAGAAATGATTTTATCGCTGACTATTACATGGATAATATAGATCTTTGTCCTCACGGATTGACTATAAATACAAATAATGATATGGTGAAATGTTAACATTGTCAATAATGCATAGTCTTGTAGGAGTATGCTGTGTATACTTTCTTCCACAGAAAAAAATATAAATCTACTGAGCAATTATTATTGGTCCATGCATTCTGAGCATAGCCTAATAGGGGCTGGATAGATTTTTACTCATTCAGCTCTATACCTTGCTTTCTATGCCTGTAGCCATTGGTCTTTATGATTCACCTACTTTGAGATATCTTGATATCATTAGCCTGGTGATCTACTAGGTTGAATTTAAAGTACATGCTATTTACATAAAGAACAAGACCAGACCTCATTATCGGTTTCTTTTTTCTTTGTTTGACCTTTTTTTGGCTTTAGAGAAAGAAAATAATAATCTTAGCACACAGGTGTTTTAGAGATGTTGTTTGGTTTGTTCCGCATATGTGGCTTGTGTTTACAACCTCTGAAGTCAGCCTGCCCTTCGGATAGACACCTGCCACCCTACCTGGAGCGAAGATGCATATGTGATCTCTCGCCATCATCTCAGCCAAATGCATGCTGAGCCACTAGCTGAGTGTCAGACTAGATCCTTGCTCAGAGGTACCTGCTACAAAAATGCTAATTAATAATTTTCAGTTCTTTGTGCCTAAAAGCAAAGAGTTAGGTTTTAGTTTAAAGGGAAATCGAAAGCAATATCTCATCAGGAAAGAATTGGAATTGAAATCCAATGATGAGAATATAATATGGTGTTGAAGGTAGATTTGTCAATTTTTAAAAAAAGCTTGATATGGAGAAAGGAAACAGTGACTCAATTGTCTGCTTTCTAATTTTGGACCCCAGAAGTCACAGTGGCCTTTGAAGTGCTTCTGTGTGCAGACAACCTGGCTACTGTCCAGCTCTTCCACTCATGATGCAGACAGGGATCTGGGGTACTTAGACTTTAAGGCAGCGCAGAGAAGACTGGAATAAAAATTTCTTTTCTCAAATTCCATAGCTACGGCTGAAATTTTATCCTCATTGCTCAAATGCCTGAATTCATTCTGTAGCTTGCTGCCCAGATCTGTTTCCTCATCCTTCAGACCACAGCCCCAAAGCCCAAGCCTGAATTCCAAAGTCAGTACTTGCCTACCACCCATTCCAGAATACTGGACTCTGGACCCAGCCAGTTTGTCTGAATCTATGGAACCTTCTTTAGCTTAATTTTCAGCATTGCTCCATGCCTGGATAGACACACAGAACTCGCCGATGACTTCCTAATTTTGTCTGTCTGATACGTGACAACTGCCTAGTACCTCATGACTAGTTTCTAATAAAGCACTTTGTTAAATAAATGTGGCTTGGCAACACAGTCTTAATAATTCAACAAATCGAAAGCAGATGCCCACCATAATTAGAAATTGTTGTGAATAAAACTCAGTTAGGACTTACTTCTAGTCAGACATGTTTCTTGTTTTCCTAGGGAATTCCTTGTTTGATTACAATAGCAATAACTTTAGCAATTGTGATGTTAGAAAAAGATGATGTGGTAAATATTTAATTAGATATTTAAGTCCTAGATTATAAGACCTTTATTTTTCAAACTGAATGAATTTTATCTTTTATAGACATACCTGATGGTTGTATTGTAATAGGTAAAGAGGGTCACCATTACTATATGTTAGAAATAGACAATTCATTTATCAGCAATGGTCAAAGCAAAACCAGTGTGCCTGGCGCTATGCTGGGTGCTAGGAAAATAGCTGTGGGCATAATTTGCTACCCTTCAAGAGCTCATAACCTAATCAAGAAGTGCTGTATTGAACAAAAATAATTTCTTTCTTCTAGAGAGTAGTAAATATGCCATGTATATTTATATCCTCCTCGGTTACTACCTGCAGCAGCATGCTTACATGTGCCAGGCTCATTACACAATTTTACTTAGCCTACAATCAAGAAACAGACTGATTTTTAAAAATCATGAAAGTAAGAAAAATGACCTATTTTTTATATTCTAATAATGAGACTACCTTCTCAATAAAACCTGTAAACAATGTAATGATTCACTGAGCAAATACCACACGTATTTCCAGTATTGTACAAAAGTAAGATATGTAAATCATTCTCAATAAGTATGTAACATCATTGGACAAAAGCCGAAAGTCATAGTCATTAAAGCTATAGAAATGCTAGAAAAGTTTCACATAGTAAAAGATAACAACAAGTTGGTCAATGACAATCAGAAAATGCAAAATGAGGTAGCTGGCTGTTGAGATTTTTAAGTGCAATTGGCATTATATGCAGATATTTCAGGGAGTGGAAAGAGAATACATAAATCACAATGATGGAGAAATAATCTAATATTTGCAAACCAATCAATTTTGGTTTGGAAGGCTGTAGGGTTCAGTGAATGATATGGGTGAGTAAAGTATTTTATGAAGAACTTTAAAGCTACTGGGAAGATATTTTATTTAAAATGATATCAAATGGGAAGCCATTGGTATATTTAAAAGTAAATAATAAGTTTGAAGAGAAACATACAGTGGGGGTTTTGAGAGGATGGAGGCAGGAGGGTGGAGAGAGAAGATTAAAGGAGATTTGGAAAAGGTGAGTTTGTAGGCCTACCTATTATGATAAAGGATCTAATTATTGCAGCCTAAAAGAAGGTGATAATGAAAAAGAAAGATCGAATCAAGATATGTAAGGGAAACAAAATCCACAGGATGAGGTAATTGGCTGTATTTACATCCATGGAGATGGTTTCTTCTTTCCCTTCTCTTAGAATAAGCCCTCCCAAAAACCGAATTTGATAATTAATTTGGTTTTTCTTGATAATTAATATCAATAATAATTATATGATAGAGGAAAGACTGGCCTCCTTCACTTGGCATATTCTTCTTCCTTGACAGCTCCATCATCTCTAGAGGTAACAAGAAAAATTGGAAGGCATTCTTATCCCTTTGGTACTAGAACAAGGATGAAATTATCTCAATTTACTGCATTTGAAATTATGGTAGAAAAAGCAAAATATATGCACAGATGGGATTAAGTAAATGAGTTAAGCAAAGTGTGAGGTTCAATATGTCATAACCTTAAAATACCAAATATTTGCCCACAAGCAGAGTATTACGCTTTATATGTTGAGTATCAACCCATTTGTCTTACATTTTAAGATAAGTATTCAGGCATAATTTTAAAAGATTGATCCATTGGATAATGACAATTTATATTAGGTGCTTTATCTCATTTAAATAATTTTTTTCTCAGAATTCTGTGGTTTAAATATCATCTCCTCTATTTTAGTTTGAGCGATCAATAAAGCAGCAGCAGTAAATTGCTACTCTGAGTGGAGACCTGGCTTCATTCCTATTGCCTATTCTCCTTTATGACACCTTCCATTTGGAAGCTCAATAATAGCCAGAGCTCTACCTCCCCAGCTCTGCTGGCAAACAGCAAGCCCTCTGATGAATAGTGCTTATCTACTGAGATCCTTTGGAGATTCTCACTGGATATTTAATAAAGGGGATCATATAACCTGTGTCTCCCACACTCCAACAAGAAGTTTTTTTTATTATTATTATTATTTCACAGAGTATCTGCTCAGAAATGTCCACAGGGAACAAAGTACTGTATTGTCCATGTTAAGAAAAGACCTACATGGAAATCAGGAGTGAAATAATAATTACATGGTCTTTCTAATTTACAATTCAAATATCCCATTAAACAAGCACCAGAAGACTATCCAAATGAAAATTTGTTGAATCAAATATTGTTTGACTTAAGTGTCACTAAGTTCATTATATGCAGAATATTGTGTCAGTTTTAATGTAATCTGATTTCTGCTGTTTTATTATGTAAATCAAAGCTTTTATAATAGTGGCCTATAATGGAAAATGGAAAGGAAACTCTTTTCGGAGGGTACAAGTGAGCCCCTTACATGCTTTATATGGGCACATATTACAGAGCCTATGAAAATCATTTTACCTCTCTTTCTAGCTCCTCAGTGAATGTCAGAACTCAGAAAGAGTCTATAAAATGACCCATTATGAGAAAGATGAAGGAAATTATTCTTGGGATGGAAGTCAGGTATCCAGTATGCACACTTTTGATATTTTTTCATGTATAAACACTTTATTCATTTTATTTGTTTAATTCCCTCATGTTACACATAATATACAATGGAACCTTCTTTGGTGACATCTTTGGCAGATTTTAAAAATATTATAGATGACCAATAGCAGCCTAAAATGATTTCATATTACCTTCTCTTTTTAAGGCTTGATATTTATAAATGTATTTCTATTCATCCAAAACTCTGTATATTACTAAGTGGTCTCTAAGTGGACTGTAAAACCTTTACAACAGTCCACAGAAACACACAGTAAACAGAGATTGTGGTCTACTCACACCTGTAGCCCTATTGCATTAGAACAATGCCTGACAAATAAATGATAGGTGCTCAATACATGCAGAAGGAATAGATAAATTGGCATTAAATTCCTATTGAAAGCAACAGGGGCCAAAGTGTTGACACTAGCTACAATACTACATTGGCTGTGAAGCTATCTAAAAACAGCATATTGGATTTTCCCACCAACCGGACAGATATAGCAATTAACAAGTGATAAAAAGGAACCTAATCTTAGCAGTTATTTGATGATGACCTTGTTTGTTCTGATGTCAACTCTCAGCTCATATTTTAATGCTGCAGCTTACAGCTGCAGCTTTGTGACATGTAGGGCATAATTTGGAGTTCAAAATTGTTTATCAACTTTATAAAGAAATGTGTGGCAATGAAGATGAAGCATGGAAGTGTGTGAGAACATTCTCATTTAAAATAATTGGAACAATGAAATAGTGCTCAAAGGTTCAACAAATGGCAGGGAGTTTTGGTTGATGTGACAAATAAGCCATTTTAAGGGTACAGAAGTCAGTGAAAATAATAAAGACCTCTAGGGATTATAATCTTGTTTGTCAAGAATAGTATCACAGATGTTTTACTAAATCTGGAGAAGATAATCAGTGGCTGTAGTAAATAGAAAATGGATTAAATATTAGAGTGTTGTCTGAGATAGCGTAACCTAGCATGCCAGAACACTTTGGCTTTTGAGGTGGCAGAACATGCAATGACATGATGAGATGTAATCTAAATGACGTTTCACATGAGCATGTTTCTGCATCTGGATACTTGCTAATCACTCGGGCACAGGGACCTCATGAAGAATTTAATCGTAACTTTATTAGTCTATGTGGTATTTCTGTGGACAACCTAGAGATCTGGTACAGGTTCTTGCCATTGTTTTTACTATATTAAAGAGTTAAGCTCCTTTTGACTTTTAAAAATGCGACCAACTGTGCTGTTTCTTATGATGCTTCTTGAATTGCTGTTTTCTTTTGATGGAAGATTATATATTTTCCAAGAGTGATCTAAAAGTTTCAGAGATATCTAATAGGATGTCTAAAAGGATGGAAGATAATTACCAAAATCTTTCCAGGAAGGAGTCGTTGTCTATATATCTTATTAAGTGGCTACTTACAATGAAGAAAGTCACACAATACTTATTTTGACTTTCAATTTTCTTCCAAAAGCCTTCCCAGAAATTTAAAAAACAGGGAATAAATGTTATTTTTCTCAAATTCTCTACAATATGTCTATCATTCTGTCTTTCATTTACATTGTGGCAAGGCTGAGGTATATAATGTGTGTGTTTGGGTGTTTTCCTCTAAAACCATTACACTTCTGCAATGAATTATTTCAGAATATAACATGTTATTTATCATAACATGTTAAATAGCAAGTTAAATATTTTCTACACCCTGCTGTGCAGCACAAGAAATATCAGTTAAAAAGGATCCTAAAGTAGCAGGGAAACATCTCCCAGGCCTGGAGATGTTTCAGATTCCCAAAGTGGCCAGAAATGTATTTGTCTGAAAGAGCACGGAGAGAACGTTCTATAACAACCACTGTAGCATGCAATAGAAGATAACTGTATTCTTAGACATCCTTAAATTTGTATTCATATGTTTGTTAGCTATTGGAAACAAAAATAATGATAAACATAAGCATGCCATTGATAAATATTCCACATTCCAAAACATGGACTTTCAGCAATTAAAACAGAGTAAGTGAAATTAGTTTTAATCATATACCAACCTTAATTTAAGGAAGTAAAAAGTCTGATTTTAGTTAATAACATAGAAACCTCCATGAAATAAGGGAGTGGCTGCATTTCTACAACTTAGGGATGCACTGAACTAACAAAACCTGAAGAATGAACGAGAAGCAAGGACAGACAGATTTCTCTTACCCTTTCCTGTCTCCATGATAAGTTTGTGTGGAAAAATTGATAGTTAACATCTGGACTACGCAATAATTAGACCCATATGTTATCAGTAAATCGTTGCAAACTTTCCCTAGGGTTAATTGTTTTTATAAATTGTATATAGTTGATTATGTGGTGTTACTTCCTTTTCAATTCATAATTTTCTGGCCTTTATAAAGCCTTTGAATAAATGAGTCTCTTCAAGTATTGTTAAACAGAGGTATCTGAAATCAGAAGACTAATGTTTATAGAGTTGTATCTAAGTTGCAGGCAATACTGTTGTGGCAGAGACCACTAAATGATCCCTAATAACCACTCACCCTACTTCCTTTTGGTAACAAAATCCCCAATTTTAGCTGGGCATATGGCTTCCCAGGTAAAGGCAACATTTATAAGCCTTTCTTGTAGTTAGGTATGGTGTTGTGACTGAATTTTGACCAAAGGACTGAAACAACGTGTTCAACTCCTAGGCCACATCCTTAAATGGAAGCAATGTGCCCTTTAGTTTTATTTTCTCTCTCCCCGTGGTCTGGAATGCTGATGGGCTGCTAGTGAGCCAGATTCATCCGTGTGGTCAAGGAGAATACCCTCGGAAAAGACAGAGCAATAAAAGAGAAGAAATCTAGGTCTCTAAGTGTCTTGATTGAGAAGAATTAGCCTGAACAATCAATGAGCTTAGGCTTTTAATTATAATCATGTAAACCCCAAATAATTTTTTAACTTGTTTAAGCTACTGTCATTTGATTTCTGTTAAAACAGACAAGCAGGCTGGGCACGGTGGCTCACGCTGGTAATCCCAGCACTTTGGGAGGCTGAGGCAGGTTGATCACTTGAGGCTAAGAGTTCTAGACCAGCACGGCCAACAGGGTAAAACCCCATCTCTACTAAAAATGCAAAAATTAGCTGGGCATTGTGGCATGTGCCTGTAATCCCAGCTACCCAGGAGGCGAGGCATGAGAATTGCTTGAGCCTGGGAGGCAGAGGTTGGCAGTGAGCTGAGATCATGACACTGCACTCCAGCCTAGGCAACAGAGTAAGACTCTCTAGGGAAGGGAAGGGGAGGGGAGGGGAGGGGAGGGGAGGAGAGGGGAGGAGAGGGGAGGGAAGGGAAGGGGTGGAGTCTGATATCTTGTACTAACTTGTAGAAATTGCCTGAAAAATGCAAAAACGTTATAAAAAGTAGGAAGGATAGTCTTCATTAAGCAATTTTTACACACCCATGAACAGACAGGTACTTTATGGTGCCCACAAATGCACAGGTAGTGCATGCTTTATGATGGGGAAGAGATATATAAATTCAAGCTAAAACTTTTACTGTGAGTAAGTATCAATTAAATGCTGGCAGTCTCTTCTCTTAAGACACACACAAAATGGCTGTGGAGATATGACTAATTCAAATGAAAACTTGGAGTAACAAAAATTGCATAATCTCAAATGCTCACGAACATCCAATGGAGGGTGATGTCCTTGACTGAAAGAAGATATAAAGGAGGAAGTGGTCAGTGACACTGATGCAATCAGAGAGCCTCAATGTGACAAAGAAAATAACACATTTTGAATGACTTTTAGAATTGTCACTGAAGCACAATCCTAAATGTAGTCAGGGAGCAATTAGTTTATTGCAGAGAAGCATAGCTTGGGGACTACTCTGTTTTCATGGGGGCAAGGCACTATTGTTTGGTCACAAAGTCAAAGCCTGTATAGATATATTCTCGAACTTTCCAAGTTCTTGCACAGGCTGCCTTTGGCATGGATTTCTGATGCAGCATCAATAAATTTTCTATTAGCAAGATCTGCAAAGAAGCAACATCCTTGTCTTAATTAGGCAAAACATATTAAACCTGCCACTGACAATCCTAATATATAGTGAGTCACTGCATAGAAATTGGTGAAGATATTTTGTCTCATTCTGCTACATAATTAAAAAGTTTCTTTGATATACATAAAACTTATGACCATTAGTGTATAAGCTAAAAGTTTTAAATTCTACCCTACTTTATATGGATTCAATATAAAGTTAGAGCATTTTGGACTCCAAAGAGGTAGTTTGGGAAATATAAAAAAAAAAATTGTATAACCTACCTACTAATTTTGCCACTTGCCTCTTGCCCCTTGGGAATATGTGGGGAAAAATGTATTTATTTCAAATGAGAAGGGAAAATAAAATGCATTATGTTTATAATTTACCTGATACTTTTCCAAGTGCCTTCTTAGTTAGCAAATCAATTGATTGACTGATCTTTTGAAAACAGTGGTGGTTATGTAACAGAGTGACATAATTATGGCAGTTGGTGGAAATATTTCAAGTAGGACTTACAGAAATGTTATCTTCCTTATACATTTAATATATGATTATGTAACATATTTTGCCTAATTAAGAAAAGGATTTTGCTTCTCTGCAGATCTTGCTAATAGAAAATTTATTTTCTATATCTATATCTATATGATATAGATGCAGCATCTATATCTGATGCTGCATCAGATATCCATGCCAAAGGTAGTCTGTGCAAGAATTCGGAAAGTTCGAGAATATATCTACAGGCTTTGACTTTGTGACCAAACAATAATCAGAGAAGAATGATCCTGCATGTGATCTTCACCTTGGCTCTTCTCATTATTTCTGCCTGGAATACAGTCTTAATACATGGGGTTAAAGTGGCCATCTTTGGACCAAAAAACCATAGAGCCACGTTAAGGACAGCAGTGCAGGACATTAGAAAGAGCCCTGATACTCTTACTTAGCTGCTGCATTAACTTGCAGTTGTCTGCTTCCGGACTTTGTGTTACCATAAGCAATAAACCCATTCAAGCTACTAGCGTCAAGTTTATATTAATTTTACTTACAGCTGAAGGTCAAAACATATTTATATTAGGGAAATTATATTCCAAAATTATTTTCATTATTTCTTCTCCTCCTTTCTTCTGGAGATATTCATTCAAGAAAACATTAAAGTATATTTTGAACACCTAGTACATATCAGGCATGGTCCTTTATAATCAAGATGCAACTGTGAACAAATTTCTTCCCTTCATCAAGCTTACTTTCTAATAGAAAAAATAGACTATAAATGAGTAAAAAATGATAATGTGATTTCAAATCATGTTAAAAACTGTGAAGAGAATACACAAGGGCAAAGTGTCCAAGAATGATGGTGGAGGGGTGGTAGACAAGGAAGTCATGTTCAGATAGAAGGGCATCTCTTATGGGGGATATTTGAGCAAAATCCTGACCAATAAAGAATAATAAACCTTTATTTAAAGAGGAGCTAAAGCACATAGAACAGCAAGTGTAAAAGCCTAAGGCATAGCTAAACTGGACATATTTAAAGAATAACAAAAATCTCTGTTGTTAGATATTATAAGGAAAAACATGGTAGAAGATGAGGATAAGAGATTTTGCTAGTCTTCTCTTAAGCCCTGCTTTATATCCTCTTGGTTGTGCAGAAAAATGAAGCAGAAAAAGAATGACTCAGTGACTTCCAAAGGGGGTAAGTTTTGAGCAGGTAGTCAGAGAAGTCTCATGGAGATGACATTTAAACAGAGATCTCAGTGAGGCAAGAGAGCAAATCATCTGGATATATGAGAGAAGTGTGTCCCAAGAAGGAACAGCAAAGGCAAAACCCTGAGGCAGAAGTTTTCTTGAAGAATTCAAGAAACCAAAAGAAGGTTGGTCCAGTTGGAGTGAAATAAGGGTTAAGGAGATGTAGGAGAAGAGAGAAGAGTCAGAGAGGCATCAGGGGTCCAGAGGCTGTTGAAAGGACTTCAAGTTTTACACTGAGGGACATAGAAATCTGTTGAAGATTTTGAACAAAAGAGTGAAATAAACTTCAGTTTTAAAAGAACCATTCTGAATGTTGGGCTGAAAATAGACTCTAGAGGGTCAAGTAGCAACAGGAAATCAGTCAAAAAACCATGCAATCGACCAGGATGTTACAATTCTATTGATATTTTATTCAATTTTATTATCTTTACATTTATAAACCTTATTTATTTGTACTCTGATTTATAGATGTCTTTTATTTCAAATTGATCAACTCAATATGTTTTGAAACACCCAACCTGCTAGATATGGCTTCTGTTAAAAATCGAAGCCGGGAACAGTGGCTCACGCCTGTAATCCCAACACTTTGGGATGCCAAGGTGAGTGGATCATGAGGTCAGTAGATCAAGACCATCCTGGCTAACATAGTGAAACTTCTGTCTCTACTAAAAATACAAAAAATTGGCTGGGCACAGTGGCTCAGGTATGTAATCCCAGCACTTTGGGAGGTGGTGGCGGGCAGATTATGTGGTCAAGAGATCGAGACCATCCTGGCAAACATGGTGAAACCCCGTCTCTACTAAAAATACAAAAATTAGCCGGGAATGGTGGTGTTTGCCTTTAGTCCCAGCTACTCAGGAGGCTGAGGCAGGAGAATCGCTTGAACCTGGGAGGCAGAGGTTGCAGTGAGCCAAGACTGCGTCACTGCACTCTAGCCTGGAGACAGAGCGAGACTCCGTCTCAAAATAATTAATTAATTAATTAATTTAATTTAATTTAATAAATAATTAGCATTAGCCAGGTGTGGCAGTGCACCTTTAGTCCTAGCTACTCAGGAGGCTAAGACAGGATAATTGCTTGAACCAGGGAGGCAGAGGCTGCAGTGAGCCGAGATAGCTCCACTGCACTGCACTGCAGCCTGGGTGACAGAGCAAGATTCCGTCTAAAAAAAAAAAAAATCCGCTTTCGTAAAGTTCCATGAAATACATTTCTAAACTCTTCATTGTTTGCTTTTTATTACCCACTGCTGTTTATTAAATATTATATCATTTAGCTGGAAATGATTTGGCTACAAGTAATTTGGTAGAAATCAAGATAGTCAACAATAGCATTTATCAAAGTGATTTTACATGGATAATTTTGATAAACTCTGGGACAATTTTCTTGTCTTTTTTAGTGTTTAAGGGATTTGTATTTATTTTCTAGAATATTCCAGGTTTCAATACATTTTTTGGATTTTTTTTAGGTAGCACCTGATTCAGACAACCTTTCTGAAGTGATCAGAGTGGAAAGACTGCTATTTAAAAAAATTAAAGATAAAATATTGCTATTTTTTAATCATTTTGTGGTGAAAACAACAAATATTTGAAAATGTTCCTACTTATAAGAACTTCCACAGACGATTTTATTTATATGACAAGAGAATCCTGTAGAAGGTATTTTTAATTCACATTTTACTGTTACTGCTTTTATTGCAATATGTGTTTGAATTGGCTCGTAGGAGTATCAGCCCATTGCCTATTGGGCTAGGCATTGATTGTAGTATCGCATCACTGAACTGCAGGTAGATAAACCCAAGCCGCTGAAACCTCATCTTTTTTGGATCTTGCTCAGACTCAACAGCAGATGTCACACGGAAGAAAATTAAAAAGAAAAAGATCTGCAGGAGGAAATCAAAAGATAATACACAACCAACAAGGTGAGCTTGCTCTCTAGTGAAGCCATGGCCACAGTAACCTTCCATTGCTCTTAACAAGGTGGAAGAAAGTCTGCTTAACACTTCACCATACATCTTTGATTTTTTCCCCCTCAGCAGGCTCATTTCTTTACAGCACAGAGAAAACAGACTTTTCACTCTCAAGTATGCCCTGGACTAGAGAGACGGGAAAGTGTATACATTTGAGGGAAAATGTGATATATAACCTTTTGAAACAATCTAAGAGAAAAATACCTTTCAATCTACAATTTTTTTGAATTCAAATTCAAATATTTAATGCAGGGAGACTACTGTAATAGTACTAACAGAACTCTTACTCTCTATAATACTCCTAAGAAAGTTGTCACTGATATATATTATGGTGGAACAGTATAATTGTAAAGATGAATATCAGTTTTATATAATTGTACCAAATGCAACAGTCTTTGCTAGTCACCACCTTGTATGTCTTCCCAGAAAAATAAAATGCCTTTGGAACAGTATTACACCCTTTCATTCCCTCACCAGTCTGTCAGAGAATCAGTGTACTTGAATTTTCTCCTGATCGGCATATTATCAATATTCAATGATGAAAATATTTTAAATTAACAGGCCCCCCAGTTATGAAATAAAAATTAAAAACTGTGACAATGCCTCCGACTTTCCTTGCTTTTCATCATCTTCATAGCTTTAAAGAGTACTGGTCATGTTGTATAGAATGTCCTTCAATTTGAGTTTGTCTGATTTTTTGTCATGATTACACTGGGGTTATATAAATGTTGGGGAAGAATACAACAATCTTAAAGCCTTCTCATCACACTATGTCAGCAGGTACATGATACCCACATGAATGACCAGTGCTGATGTCAAAGTTGAGCACTTGGGTAAGGTAGTGATTTCCAGTTTCTCCACTGTACATTACTGGTTTTCTCTTTCTGTAATCCATTCTTAGAAAGTGAGTCACTAAATGTAACCCCCAGTCCCACACTCAAGGAAGGTGGTGGTCGTGGTGATATCTCTCTATATATTATTTGGAATTCTAAAAGGAAGATGTTTATTTTTCTCAGACTGAGCATTTTTAACGGGAAGCTCACTTTGCTTCCCTGTCTCCATGAAATTGACTCAGTTTTCATAATTCCTGCCCTCTTGAATTCATAGAAACCTCAGTACCCCTCTTACACATCAGAAAGGTGCCCTCAATACAATGTCTCTGAAGATGCCTAGAGGTAGATCTGAAAAATTTTTCTTCTAACTACTGTCTCTGAGGTTTCAGACCTTCACTGAACTATTTGGAGGTTTACAGAGATAGAGTCGGATTAACACAATCCTTGGTTTGATTAATTTTGACCTGCTGATTTTATTCTCCCTCTCTAAACTCAGTATTCTTGTCTATAGAAGACATTAATTTTCTGAACACCCATCATATTCATAACACTGTCCTGAGACTATTTCAGTAAAAAATACAATCAACACTGTTGCACTGTATTTGAGCAGTTGATGAAGAAAACAATCCGTAAAGCAAAGAAATAAAAGTAAAAGAAAAGCAAAATCTATACAACTTGTCCTTTGGGCCATGAGCTACAAAGAATAGTACCAAGCACGGTGCTTTGCACATTGTGGATAGTCAATAGATGTTTGAATGTTGAACAGAGCATTTGCGGGACATAGGCACATGCAAATAAACAGATTTTAATAATAACAAAAATACAACATCATTAAAATCATCCTGCAATGCATAATTGACAAGTAAATAGACAAATACATGAGCATTCATATTTGTATTTAAAACAACATATTTGCACATATTTTGTCAGATAGCTTACCACATGCACAATTTGCCAATATCCTTGGATAGCTTCACCATTCTGAGGTAGACTTATTTTTTAAAGGGTATATTTCAATGTGAGAATAATCCACACCTGCCAAAAACAGGATATCTGTGGCTTAGGAGTATATTGAGAGTTCTCATCAGGCAGATGAGAACAAACTCAGTGGCACCTAGGGACAATCAGTCAAGGCAATGATGCTGGACCAGGTACAAAAAAGAAGAATAAACCTATATTTGATCCATAGTAATGTGAAGTGGTGAGGCAAAACAATCAGGTCTGATAGGAGGGAGTAGGGTGACAAAACAAACAAAAAAGGTTGAAGACTCAAAGGATGTCTGGTCATCAATCTGGGATTGATAAAGCAAGAAAGAGGCTGAAAAAAAACTAGATGAAGAGAACAGTCTCCCAATCAAATGACCGGTTTTCAAATATAGTCTAAAAATAAAATTGGAAGAGGAACAGACCAAAGAATGTGTTAAGTCTGACAGATTCTTACAACAGAGGATCTAAGGGAATTCTGTTGCCTTTGCACTCCCAGGTGTGGCCCAGGGCCACCAGAGATTACAGCAACCCTGAGGCTCATTAAGCATAAACAGGTGACAGTAGGAAGCTATGTACCTCCATGTAATACTGTCATTGGCTTATTAAAGGTATAATCTGGAGAAGTTCATCCCCATGGACAATTTGCTGAGGCACATGCTGACAATTAAAGGATTAACTGTGTTACTGTATTTCTATTTATTTAAACATATACGAGGCTATCATATTTGTTTATTTATTTGTTCAGCAAATATTTGTGGACCTATTTTGTAATCAAGACTTTGCTATCTGTAAAATTCCATTAATAGAACACTCTACATTCTGCCCTCTGTGGTAGAACATCTATTCACATTTTAGCAAAATGCTGAGCTATGTACGTAGTGCCCATGTGAGAATTAGACGTATGGTGGGCGTGAGCCCATGGCCAGCCTGAGGCAAAACAATCACAACAAAAATGGGAAAAAAAGCTATGAGGGAGATTTGAACAAGTTTGTTTTTATAATCCTGAAGTGAGTTGTGTGGCTTTTGCATATGAATATATTGTTAGACAAATATATTCTAATGTGACTGAAACAGTCCATCTTGGCATGGGACAAGACTGTGGATAAAAAGATAAATACCATCTTTCTGGCTAACAAGATGGGCAAAAAAAAAAACCTTTATTGAGTGTCTATATTGGACAAGATACTATGTGACATGGTTCACATATGGTGTCTCTTAATTTTTACAACCATCATATGAGATAGAGATTCAGTCTCATGTCATTAATCCACAACTAGAAGATTTAACCACTTGTAGAAAGTCCACCTTATATTTTGTGATATGTTCTGATTTCAGGTATACTTTGAGGGCAGCATCCATAGTATAATGATTTCTCCCATTAGAGAGTTTGGCAGGTTGATGACAGGTCTGGCATCTCAGCCTGCACCCTGCTACCCTGTCCTCTTCATGTGAGCTCTATAAAGTAATAACAAACCCAAATGAAGGAAACAAAACAGAAACATTATTTTATGGTTTTGAAAAAAATTGAATAGGACATTGGTTATTTATGTATAGAAACATTAAGAAAGTAAAAGTATTTAGATATTTTTATGCCATTTTATATTAGAGAGTATATACTATAGTGGTCTATCAGAATTTTAAAATTCAAGAAAACTCTGTGACTGTCAGAGCTATGCTGCATGACTGTTCCCATTTTTTTAGATGAATAAACAGAAGCTCAGGGCAAACAGAATGTGTTAGTCATAGGCTAGCAAGTAGAAGTAAGAAACATGTTTGCCTCCATAGTCCTGTAGCCTTTTTCCACAGCTGCTATGAACTTCAGCTGTGCTGGAGATGGCTAAAACAATCTTTCTTCCCATGAGTCTCTTATATGATGTCTATTTTTTTCTTAAATCCGAAAAGAGATTTACTTTATGACAAAATTGTCAAATATGAGCAGAAAGACAATCCCAATTTGGAAATGGATTAATGAAGACCTAAGGGAAAATTTAGAATGTAAAGGAATGTCATGGAACCTTTAAAAACGGAGACACTTCCCTGTCTTGGGAACATTAAAGGTCTCGTCTATAAATGCCATGTACAATAAATTGAACCACACTCAGATCATTCACCTTGGGAGAATGAGGCAAGCAATATGTGAACTTCAAGCTGTCATTTTCGAAAATTGTGAGACCAACCTAAGACTTCACCTCTAGCAATCAAAATTGAGAAAGTTAAAAAATTAAATGAAATAGCTAGATGTTGCTCTAAGTTGAATTGATGTCTTTAGTTTAAATTTCTGCTGGTGGAAGAATATAGAGAAAAAAAAAAGCACTGACTTAAACTAGATATTAAATACAGGTTTGACAAGTTATAACTTAACCATAAAAAAAAAAACACTGCAAACACTAATTAAGGAATCTGGACTGTATCTTGTAGGTTAAATTTGGGGTGGGACATCATTTAGAATTTAAATAGGGAGCAATGCTCCCAAGAATAGGTCTTATTCCACTCCTGTGTTTCCATATCATCCCTAAACTTGCCTTCACATTATTGACTTTTCCATTTTAATGACACACTCCTCTGAATAGCCACTAGAGTGTTAGCCTTTTGAGGATGGGGCCTGGGCCTTGTTCATTTTTTATACCAGCTTGTGGTGTGGTGCATGCCACAATGTCTCAATAAATGTTGAAAGTGATTGTGTTCTAATTTCAGAAAACTATCATGGCAGCTTGTAATCTAAATTGAAATGGGGAGAAATTAGAAGCAAAAAGAACATTGAAATTATTACTGTTAAGGAGAGGAGAGGTAATGCTGACCTGACTTAAGCCAGGGACAGTGAAGTTGGAAAGAAGGCAATGGGTTATAGTGTTTTTGTAAGCAGAATCAAAATTGCTTGGCGACTAGATAAAAAAAAGTGTCGGAAAGGGAGAGGAGAAAATTGAAGTTTACACATGTGTTTCTGCCTAGGTGACTATGTGAGTGGGAATGTAGTGATTCAATATCAGGAATGGAAAGGAAGAAGCAAGTTTGGAGAATAAAGATAATGACTTTTAGCCTTAATAGTTTTATGTCTGCTTTCCCAGAGTCACCTCACCACACACTGCAGCATATCACCAACCAAACTTGAGTCATTTTTGCATTAACTTCTTTTCCTTACTTCTTTTCAAAGTCATCTTTCATAATTAAGTACCACATTATTCTTTTAGGATGAGCGATTTTCCTTGCCAAATATATTTTCCTAGAGCAAGTTCTTCTGAGTTATTTATCTAAAATGCGTTTAACTTTGTTGTCGTGGCTGAAAACAACTTTTGTTCCTAACCTTCTTAGCAGTTTCTAAGACAAAACATACAGCTAAATTCCAGAGAGAGCACAAGTCAATTATCCTAGGTGAGTCTTGATTTATTGACTGAGGTTCTACGCATAGTCATTACTGCTATCTTCTGAGTGTCCTATTTCTGGTGCTGTGGTACAAAGGAAATGGTAGAGATTTGGGAGAGAGACACGTTTATGTTTAAACTCAGCCTTGCAACATTCACTGAATCTCTATGAGCCTCAGTTTCTCTATTCATAATAAATGCCTAGCTGATCATGTTGCTAAAAAGAAGAAATAAAACAATGTAAGAGGAAGTTTCATTCACAGATTTTCATTACAGTGTATCTGCTTACACATTGGTTCAATTACTGCTTATGTTTGTGTTCAAACATTTTTTTCTTACATAAATGGCACATAGAATCCATGACTAATTGTGAAGAGCAGAGAGCGACTAAAATAATGATATAGAAAACTTTATGGCATTATTTTTTAATGTGTAAGTAACATTAAGATTATAAAGTGTCAAATACATTTTATAAAAGTGTCAGAATTTAAAATTATTTCTACAGGCTGAAATAGTGAATTGGAACTAATAAAACATTTAATAGAGTAAAAGGTGGAGTTGACAGGTGTTATAAGAAGCCTAAGAACTATGAGTTGACTCCCCACCTAATTGAACAACAATATGGGTGCCTAAAAAGGAAATTTAGTTTTAATCTGTATTGACAGAGGTAAAGGGTCCAGAACAAAGTGGCGACAGCCTACTGTTGTACTTGTCATTCATCAAACATCATCCATTCAGAGGAAGATAATGAGCACAAAAAATGATTTAGTAACCAAATCTTAAGAGAAATGTCAATTTCATCTTCTGTAAAATGAGATAAGGGAACAAGATATACCCCATTCTCCTGTTTCAGTTACCTATTGCAGCATAACAAGCCACCCCAAAACTTGGTTAAGACAACTATTATGCTCATGGATTCTGTGGGTCAAGGATTCAGAAAATGCACATCAAAGGTGGTCCTTTTCCATGTCATCTTGGATGACTGGAATAGCTCGGGGTGCCTCAAGTGGCTGGGTGATAGAATAACTGGGCTAGCCAGGCTATTTCCAAGAAAGTTTCTTTCCTAAAATGGGATCTAATTAAACTAAAGAGCTTCTGCACAGCAAAAGAAACTACCATCAGAGTAAACAGGCAACCTACAAAATGGGAGAAAATTTTCACAACCTACTCATCTGACAAAGGACTAATATCCAGAATCTACAATGAACTCAAACAAATTTACAAGATAAAAACAAACAACCCCATCAAAAAGTGGGCGAAGGACATGAACAGACACTTCTCAAAAGAAGACATTTATGCAGCCAAAAAACACATGAAAAAATGCTCGCCATCACTGGCCATCAGAGAAATGCAAATCAAAACCACAATGAGATACCATCTCACACCAGTTAGAATGGCGATCATTAAAAAGTCAGGAAACAACAGGTGCTGGAGAGGATGTGGAGAAATAGGAACACTTTTACACTGTTGGTGGGACTGGAAACTAGTTCAACCATTGTGGAAGTCAGTGTGGCGATTCCTCAGGGATCTAGAACTAGAAATACCATTTGACCCAGCCATCCCATTACTGGGTATATACCCAAAGGACTATAAATCATGCTGCTATAAAGACACATGCACATGTATGTTTATTGCGGCACTATTCACAATAGCAAAGACTTGGAACCAACCCAAATGTCCAACAATGATAGACTGGATTAAGAAAATGTGGCACATATACACCATGGAATACTATGCAGCCATAAAAAAGGATGAGTTCATGTCCTTTGTAGGGACATGGATGAAATTGGAAATCATCATTCTCAGTAAACTATCGCAAGGACAAAAAACCAAACACCACATGTTCTCACTCATAGGTGGGAACTGAACAATGCGAGCACATGGACACAGGAAGGGGAACATCACACTCTGGGGACTGTTGTGGGGTGGGGGGAGGGGGGAGGGATAGCATTAGGAGATATACCTAATGCTAAATGACGAGTTAATGGGTGCAGCACACCAGCATGGCACATGTATACATATGTAACTAACCTGCACATTGTGCACATGTACCCTAAAACTTAAAGTATAATAATAATAAAACAAAAAAAAAAAAAGAAATTCTAACATGTATACAGTATTTACCCCTTTTTTTGCCCAGTGGCCTAACTAAACTCTGAATTTTAAAAAACAAAACAAAACAAAAAAAGAAGTCTTGTACCTGGGCTGGGAAGGCAATAGGACAGCCTCAGTTGTGCTCTCAAGCATGGGGGCTGTATGTGGCCCCTCCAGCATGGTGAGTTCAGGGTAGCCAGGCTTCTAATATGGAAGCTCTGGGCTTCAATAGTGAGCACTCCAGTGACAAAGGCAGAAGCTTCACGGGCTTTATGACCAGTTTTGAAAGTCAGAGTGCCAATTCTGCATACTCTATTGTTTGAAGCTATCAGAGAGCCCGCCCAGATTCAAGAGACAGAAGCATTGTTCTCACTGTGTTTTCAAACCATCATATGTCTTTCCTAAAGACAAAAAAAAATCATAACTTTCTGTCTCATAGGTGGGTAAAAATGAGATAGATTTTGGCTGAAAGTAAATAATAATAATAATAATGCTTACCTTATAGATATATGATAGCTGAAAAGTGGAATGGTGTGACCTATGAGAAAATTGTTCAGGATGTTGAAGAGGTATGGGATTTAGGAGTATATAAAGAAAATGATCTCATTATTCTGTGAATCTCAGGAGAGACAAAAAGTTTCAAACTTCAGTTACTACTGCTACTTGGTAGCACTATTCAAAACAGAAAAATCACATGAGGTTGTCTTTAAAGTACTTGCCAAAGAATAAACAAGAGGCCAAGTGAGAATGGGTTAGTATTCACAGTTGGGTCATCATCTCATGGAATAGTAGGAAATCACTCAACAAGCTCACGTGTTGTATCCAAATTAAGTATGTTCTGGACTATTGCCTATGTCCAAGAGAGTATTCATGAAAGGGAACTCTGTGTAATTCTTTGTAAATATTTCTGAGCAATCTGTGAATTTATGGAACCAGCCTTTTAGGATGGGATCATACCTAAGAGAGAAAGAGAGTGCTAAGAGTTAAGGGTGAAAAGCAGAATCAGGTCTAGATGAGTTTTCAATTCAATGAAGGCCTGAGCTGTGTATTGAGTTGACACGTAAGATCAGAGGGTCAGAATACCTGGAAAAAATGAAACAAAAATACTAGGTGGAAACTGAATACAGTGGCTAAACACATGCCTAAGGATAGACATTCAGATATTCCATGCATGTATTCAAAAGCTTAGGTGGCAGATAGACCCCATGGAAATAGGATATGATAGAAATGAATCTTATGACTATCCACAGTAAAGAAGGAAATGGGAGTGAGAGCACGGTAATGTGCTCCCCTCTTCCCCCATCATCAGCAGAGATAACTGAACATACTGATTTTGTACAGAAGAAACTTAGGCAGAAGGGAGACAAATAACACTATCAGCAAATCCAGGTCATGTGCCACTTATTGGTAGTCAAATATCAGACAAAGGCAATTATGAATAAAATGGTTTCTAAACCAAATCTTAATGAGAAGGACAGCTGCTGATATTTCAAGCTGGCATTGTAAGTGGATCCAGGACAGGGTATCAAGAGACTCCATCATCTGTGAGTAAAAGGAACAGCTGCGGCTGGGATGGAGCAGGTGAAGAAGTGGTTGTCCGGCAATTTAGAGCCAAGAAACGCATCCTTTGCCTGCCTCATATGTCTCAGGGAAATTTGATAGGAGTTTTACATGTTATTACATGGAGCTGTTATGAGAACAAAACAAGTCTATGTTTTCAAAGTAAATAAAAAAGGGTGTATGAAAAACAGGGCCTCACAGAGTATGAATTGAATAAAAACCATCATTCCAAAGTTGTTTCCTGTTTGCTTTCTATCTTTATTTTTTTTTTCCAGCCATGTGTCCTTCCTTACATGGGCTACTTGCCTCTGGTTTTTTATTCTCGTTGCTATATTTAGATATTTTAATTGACTCCTCTCTCTAGGCAAAGGGTGTAACTCAATCCTTACTCCCGATTAGCATATTGTTCATTGTAATTTGCTCTTCAGGGTTTAGTGACTTTGACTGGTTGGTTAAGTTTGCCTAACACAGACAAGCCTATACTTTCAAAATATGAACTCTGTAAGAAGAAAAGCAAATGTATAATTTCTGTTTGTAAGAGTCTGGATTAATGAACAAGTAAAATCTGTTGAATTCAAATAATAGAAGTAAATTATGAGTTTAAGCCCAATAAAATTGGTGTTTTTTTGTGGCTTTGCAAAATGTCTTTTTTCGTCTCTGAGGTTTATTTATTTTTATTTTTATTTTTTGCTTGTTTTTGCATTACTTATGAAAATATCTTAATTTATGAAGGTTAATCAATTCGTTAGTATAAATAGTTTAAATTGGTTTTTAACTTATTCTTTAACGAAGTTAAATTCTTTGAAAGAGAAGAAAATCTATGGATTTTGATGCTTTAATTTTTTGTTTTTTCTGAGACAGGGTCTCACTGTCACACAGGCTGCAGTGCAGTGGCGTAATCTCAGCTCACTGCAACCTCCAACCCTGAGCTCAAGTGATCCTCCCACCTCAGTCTCCTGAGTAGCTGGGACCACAGGCGTGTACCACCACACCGGGCTATTTTTTTGTATTTTTAGTAGAGATGGGGGGTCTCTTGCCCAAGCTGGTCTTGAACTCCTGAGCTCAAGTGATCTGCCTGCCTCAGCCTCCCAAAGTACTGGGATTGCAGGCATGAGCTACTGTGCCAGGCCCAATTTTTTCCCTTATCACCACAGATACAAGCTAGTAAGATGAAATTACTGTCCTCTTTGTATTTTCATTTTACATAAGTACATATTAGATGAAAAAATTTTAGAAAATAGAAATAAGTATCCAGAAGAAAATTAAAATTAACTATAATTGTTTTTATATAAAATAAATTCGATGTACTTTCCTTCAGATTCTATGATTAAATGCATGTGTGTGTATGTAAATATATATGCCATATATACAACTGTATATTATTTTTTAAACATGATTTTAATATAATTTAAGAAGTCATGTTACATACATGAATAAATAATTCTTATATTTGAATTCTTATGATCTTTTTTAGTTTGCATGAAGCATAACACTGTCTTGTACTTTGGATACATTCTTAAAATAAACTTGTAGTTAAAACATATTGAGTCAATACTTTTCAGTATTGCTCTCCTAAATTTTCCACTGAACTGGTAAAGGATGGTTATAATGAAGAAAAACCTGTATTACCACTGAAATCTGGTGATAGGTACCATCTATGTGCCAGAAAAGATACGAACATTCTATAAAATATAGAAAAAAAAAATCAACCATCAACCATGGACTCCAAGCAGAGAAAACAATTCACCAGTGATGGAAGGCCCAGGTACAGTGAAAATACATTGTAGCATAATAATCTACTGTTATAACATCAGCCCTCTTGCATGGGAAAGCTTTTATACAACCAGAAAACATGCACTGAAAATGACAATTGAAAGAAATCCCTTTATAAATGTTTCAGTGGCCCATCAGGTAGCCAAATGTACCTGAAGCTTTGATTGTCTTCCAGGAATTTAGAACCAAACATTGGTTTTAAACTATTTCTGCAATTTGTAAGTCACCACACAAATATATTCAATTTGGATTATTTTATCTTTTACATGGTGAGTCATGGAATGCAGAAACTTTAATAATAAAAGCTTTAAAAACTCAGAAAGGACAAGGCAGCCGTCCTGTTTCTTCATGAGTCCATGCTTAAAGGACTTACGTCCTCTTGGATACCAATTGTTTCTCCAATTTAAGTGCATGGCACTGATAACTAATGTTTTATCATAGGTAATTTGACTTAGACCATGGAGTTCATTCAAATTGTATTTTTAAACAATTTTAGTATTGGCTGATTTAGCATGATACTCTAAAGCTTGATTTTGAAAGGTTTGTTAAATACCGAAGGTTTAAAACATTAGATATTACAAAATAGAATCTTAGGTGACCATAAGTAGTTCATTTAGGCAAAATGATGACTCAAAAATTTTTTAAAAGAAAAAAAAAACCTTCTGACAGAGAGGAGACTCAGCTTTCCAAACAAGACCCACTGAGTCTGTCTCCTTTCTTTCCTTTTTCCCCTTTTTCTTTTGTAGTTTACTTCAACGGTAAATAAAAACCTTTCATTATCTCTTAATATTACATAAAAATCCTTTTTAAAAGAGAAAAATGAATTTTATGTTTACATTAGTGTGTTTTTAACGTTAAAGCTAGTTTTTTAACAACATTTTATAAATCTATTCAGTTTTAATTAGTTTGGCCATAAGGTGAGGTTTTTATAATCCTTTATAGTTTTTTCTCAGAACAGAACAATGTTCTAAGAAAACTCTGTTGTGCTTTTATTCCAATGTCCAATTTATGGAAAAAAATAAATAATGCCATTTTAACTTCAACCAATATGTTCACACATAGAATCTTTTACAATTTTTTTATAAACCTTCCACAACTTCTTCAAATCTTTAGCTTTATTTAATTTAAAACAATCCTTTAACCTTCTAACCTAGGCAAAAATTTGCATTCCCATACCTTCTTATAATCTCTTACCAAAACACATCTTATTCTCCTTACACACCTTGCATGTAAACTTATTTTTTCAGTAGATTCAATTACATATTACAATGTTAACTCTTAGTGACTTTTACTTTTGATGAAATTTTTGGTAAGTAAGGGATTTTAATTATGTACTAGGTCTGGAGCCTAGAACCCAAACAGAAATGAAGATAAGGTCTGACTCTTTCCAGTGTCTACTTCCATGTGTCCCAGGCCTTACCTAGCTGTAAAGCAGGCAAACTGTACAGTTAAGAATCACAGTGGTGGCCAGGTGTGGTGGCTCACGCCTGTAATCCCAGCACTTTGGGAGGCTGAGGCGGGCAGATCACGAGGTCAGGAGATCAAGACCATCTTAGCTAACATGGTGAAACCCCGTCTCTACTAAAAATACAAAAAATTAGCTGGGCGTGGTGGCGGATGCCTGTAGTCCCAGCTACTCGGGAGGCTGAGGCAGCAGAATGGCATGAACCTGGGAAGCGGAGCTTGCAGTGAGCGGAAACTGGGCCACTGTACTCCAGCCTGGGAGACACAGCGAGACTCTGTCTCAAAAAAAAAAAAAGAAAAGAAAAGAAAAGAAAGAAGAATCACAGTGGCATTTTATGAAGCATTTAGGAGACCTAATCACCTTTAAATCGTACAACATTTCTGGCATACATTTCTTTTCATAAATTATTTCATGACTTACACAGACCATGTAAGGCATTTTTAGACTTTCTGACTTGCCCTAAACATCCCTCTTTTTAAACAACCAATCATTTTACTTTAAAACAAGAATTTAGCATACAACATCCTTTCTTATATAAAATCTCTTTTCTGGCCAGGTGCTGTGGCTCACGCCTGTAATCCCAGCACTTTGGGAGGCTGAGGCAGGCGGATCACGAGGTCAAGAGATCGAGACCATCCTGGCCAACATGATGAAACCCTGTTCTACTAAAAATACAATAAATTAGCTGGGCATGGTGGTGGGGGCACCTGTAGTCCCAGCTACTTGGGATGCTGAGGCAGGAGAATTTTTTGAACCTGGGAGGCAGAGGTTGCAGTGAGCCGAGATGGTGTCACTGCACTCTAGCCTGGCGAAAAGAGTGAGACTCCTTCTACAAAAAAAACAAAAAACCTCTTTTCTTTATAACCTTCTTTGCATAGCTAGGGGGCATGGCTAATTCCATACATCCCCAGGTCTTATTTAGAATTTAATGTTTCCAAAATAAATTGAACAATTTTTAAAAGTCAAAGCAGTTTATGACCTTAAAGAATTTAGCAAACCTAATATCTGACCTGTGTAATTTAGACAAAGTGTCTTAATTTTATCAATATTCTTTAAGGCTGTTTTTATTTCCCAAAGATTACTAAAGTTACATGAGCTAAAAGGCATTACAGTTTTTGTTTTGCTTTCAAAATATTTAAGTGCTTGTTTTTGTTTAAGCCCAATTAATTAGTGCTCTTTTATATAAACATCACACACAAAACCTATATAATTACACAGACAGACAGACAGAAGATTACTACAGTAGTTGTAAGATTTTTTCATTTGCCAGTTTTTAAATTTCTTTATTGGTTATTGGTTTTAGGGTGGAGTCCTTGGAAGAACAGGGCCAGGAAAGGGGGTTCTGTTGCCTCCTGTTTTTCCCAAGGCATCCAGGCTATCAGAGCTTGAAAATCTGCTTTTAATTAAGCTGACTTTTAACCATACCACTCTTTAATAAAGTCCTTTTAAAATTTCTTATTACCCGATTTTAGCCAGACCAAACAGCGGATACTTCTGGCTTTTGAACTTTTCCAATGGTAACCTCCCAGGTGCTCAGAGAAAGGAAAATGTAAGAGATTTTGTGGAGGAAAATAGACTAGACAAAGTCATGCAGATATTAAACCAAAAAGGACTTACTTCCTAAGCAGAGAATCAAACCCAGCGTGCCAGTGTAAATGGGCAAAAACCTTAGCCACTGACCTACAGCACTGGGCAGCCTCCATTGCTCTGCCCAGAAGGAATCTGGAGTAATCAATTTTGAGCTTGCAAAGGCTTTTAACTACTCAAGACAATTTTCAGAGCTAACTGTGACATAAACCCTAAAATTCCTGTTCCCTGGAAGGCAGAGACCAAGAGAAAGTACTACCACGTGGTTACAAGGTCAGGCTCCCAAGGACAAAAAACAAGATGGAAATAAACAGTGACTTTTACCATTCATCTAACCATTTGCACATAGAGAGAGAAGCCAGAAATCTGACTGGTAAGAAATTCTTATCCTTTTGCCAGCATGCCAGGCTTCTGGGTTCCCTTTCCCTGAGCGGCCCTAGTGACTCAGCTTGCTGCACCACCATGCTGGGGCCAAGTCGCATCATAAAAGAAAATTACCTTTTTTCATTCGGGCCAGAATAAAATATGTGTGACAAAACATAGAAGTTAGCTACTCTGCTTAGTACCCAATATCAAACTGACAAGGCTCAAACTTGCACCTGGTTGCGCCCCATCATCGTAAATCCAACCTCTGACCAGGAGTTTCAACATGTGGTCTCTGGGCAAGATGGTCACCCTGAGTAATAGAAAAGATAAGAAAGGGAAAAGAAAGAGAGAAAAGCATTGCCTGTGGCAGGGTGGGGAAGGCGAAATACTCATGGAGGACAGAGAAAGACCCACCCATTGCAGCGACACTGAAAAGTTCAGGCAGCTGCTTCTCGACAGCAAAGAGATCTTTTCCAGAAGTCTCATCAGCTCTCAAATTTCCCCTTTTAGGGAGGAAAAAGCTCCCCATTTCCCACAGTCTTGTACATGCCTGATCCTGTCACCCACAGCTGTTCAGCAAAGAGTGCAACTCATATTATTCCAAAGAGAATAGCAGTTGACATCCTGTAGTGCCAAACACATTCTTAGCCCAAAGGGACATTACCAAGAGCCCGCATTTTCAAATGTACTACAATGCATTGTTGTTCATTCGGAAGGTACCACTGTAAGTGATCTTCAGTAAGATTTTGCCATTTCTGTAAGACTTTGCTGCCTCCCAGGCCTAAAGTATAATAAGCCAGATGGAACTCATTTTTCTGGAAATAAGGATTCCATTTTTACCTAAAATATTGGCTTTACTCTCAGGTTCTCTTGATTAACTTAGTCAACGATTTTTCCTACCTAAGCACACAGAAAAAATGAAACAAACGGGTAGAACACAAAAATCCCTGTGAATTTTCAAAAGCCAAATTCTATAACCCCTCCAATATTACTGCTTACTATCAGTTTCTTTCTGACCCAGCCAGATGTAAGAGGCCTCTAACTGGATCCAAGCCAGTTGATTCCTGGATCAAACTCATTCCTGTACCCAGTCCAGGTTCTGTCATAACTCCAAACCCAGTTTGGATCAGAAATTTCCTCAAAGAAATTTGGAGAGCTCAAAATCTGTGATTGGAGAGCTCAAAATCTGTGAAGCTCTGAAATCCAAGAGAGAGCTTACCCATGATCCCCAGCTGCTCTGAGAAATCAATAGATGCAAGTGGGTCCTGCAGGTAACTTGCGTGTTCACTCAGCACTCCTGGGGGTCACTAGAAGCTCCAGTTTGAATCCCACTTCTGACACCATCTGATAAAAGAAAAACTTCAGCCCAAATAAACTTAAAGGAATTTAATTGGGCAATGAACGATTTGCAAATTGGGCAGCCCCCAGAATCACAGCAGATTCAGTGACTCCAGGGGTACTGCATGGTCAGAACAAATTTATAGACACAAAAGGTAAAGTGACATACAGGAATCAGAAGTGAGGTACAGAAACAGTGAGATTGACTTCAGCTCAGTGTTTGCCTTATTTGAACACAGTCTGAACGTTCAGCAGTCAATGAGTGGTTGAAGTATGGCCACTGGGATTGGCCAACATTCAGCCATTGCTACAGGTGCATACTATTAAGTTAGGTTTTCAATTTCATCTGTTAAGCTTGGTTACAGTTCATCCACAAGGACTCAAATATAGAAGTACGGAGTCCTTCTCAGGCCATATTTGGTTGGCTTTAACGTTACACATTCAATAATCTTTATATTTGTATCCCCTCATTTTTTTTTCCTTTGTTGAGACAGGGTCTGACTCAGGCTGGAGTGCAGTAGCATTATCTTGGCTCACTGTAGCCTTGACTTTCTGGGCTCAAGTGATCTTCCCACCTCAGCCCCTACTGAGTAGCTGGGACTATGTAGGCATGCACCATCATGCCTGGGTAATTTTTTTGTATTTTTTTGTAGAGACAGGGTTTCACCATGTTGCCCAGTCTGGCCTCTAACTCTTGAGCTCAAGTGATTTGCTCACCTCAGCCTCTCAACGTGCTACGAGTGCAGGCTTGAGACACTGTGCCCAGTGCCCCCCAACTTTTTTTATACTGCAAATTTTGTCTAATGTCTAATTATTCCTGCTTTTCTTATGGTTATTTTTCCATTTGATTTTAAAAATGAGAAGACAGACAATTGACAAAAGCAGCACTTTAGAGAGATTGATGCCTGATGGTTTTCCGGAATGGTGGAGACCTTAGCATCATGCCTGGCATTCCTAAAAGTCAGCAGAAACAGCAGTTTACTGTTGGCTGCCAAAACAAAACCTATTTACTCCATTTTTCCAGCAGAAATTATGAACTTTTACATGGGAGAAAATGCCTATGAGCCATTGAATCTCATAGGGAGACTCAATGAGAGTCTCATAGGGAGATGGGAGGAAAATGGGAGGTTGCTCATACCATGTGTAGAGCTTTTATTACCTTTATGGTAACTTCTATTTCTTATTACAAATCTCTTTTTGACCTGCTTCTCCTAGTTCTTGGCTTCCTATTCTAAGCCATTCAATCTCTCCTTCATGAGAGCTACGTCCAAGTTTATGATATGCTTTATGTTTCTACACCTTGCTTCCTCAGTGCCTTCTTTTATCTGCTTTTCTTGTTACAATACGTATTTCATATTTTTCATTGCTGAATCACCTCTTTTCATTCTTTACTGAAATTTCAAGGGGCATTAAGAGAGTGCAGTGATTAGTTCATGGACTAATTCTTCCATCTTGATTTAACTACATACTTGCATATACACAGCATAATAGTGTACATTCTGTTTTGAAATGTTTCTTGTTAGTTAACCATCAAAATTATGTTTCCACTCAGTAAGTACTTTCACTTAACCATATTTTAATAATTATATAAAATGTTTTATGGACACACACAAATTCATATACTTATTTGGGATAAATTATTTTCTCATTTTTCTCCATTTTTAAATAGTGTCCAACTAATATTTTTACAATTTTACATTTGTCCCTGACAATAATTACACTCTTATGAGAAATGCCTAGAAGCTAAATTACTGAATGAATACATACAGAGGTTCAAAAATTGATGAATTGCCAAATTGTCCCATAAAAAGCTGTGACAATTTATATTTCCACCATAGTGGAAAAGAATAATAAAACTCATTCTCCGGGTTTTATTATTTTTAAGCTGGGATGATATATGGTAATTAAGTTGAATATATCATCATTTAATTTGCCTTTCATTGATGGTTACACAGATTGAAAACATTTTTATATGTTTAATAATCATTGGCAACTTTGTTCGTGAACTTTGTCTGTCCACATTTTGCCCATAGTTCTGTTGACTTTTTCTCATTCTTCAAAATTGTTTTCAAATATATGTGTCTGTATTGAATATATCAACATTTATTTTGTAACTGTTCTTCATATGTTCCCAAATTTTTATTTGCTTTTAATATTTTTGTTGGTTTTGATTTATTGATCTAAAAGTAATGTTGTAGAGAAAAAATTTATCAAATTGTTCTTTTTACCTTAATTAGGATCATGTATAAAAGTGTAGGTATGTCTCAAATTATATATTTATTTTCTTATAGTATTTTTATTTGTTAATATTCAAATATCTCATTTTGAAGATATTTTCATAACATATGTGAGCAATTATTTAACTTAAAATTTTGCCAAATATTTAGCCAAATGGCCTACAAACTACTTATGAAATAATTTTTACATACTGACTTGGACTGTCCACTATATTATATACATAACTTTAGAGTTGGGGGGAGTTGGCAGTTATGCTTTTCTGTTCCATTTCAATTGTACCTTAAGGGTGTGTGTGTGTGTGTGTGTGTATTTGTTTCTTCATTCTAGAATGAGGCAACATCTGGACATGCTCAGTTGTTGTTGTTGTTTTTAACATATCAGAAGTGAGGACCCTTGGTGTAGGCCACACTACCCTCATGTGGTGACTGGATACTCTTCTCAGATATAGAAAAGGAGAACATTCATACCACCTGCCCAATTTTAGGATCTAAAGGCTTCATTTAGGCATCTTTAATCCTAACTTCCTGATTTTCTCATATTTTGAAAACATGGATTTTTTGAAAACCGAAATGTCTAGGATATGTTGTTCTCACAGTTATCCTTGGATTCTTAAGAAAAAAGAACTCTAAGTTTCCTTCACAGGGTGCTGCCAGGAGGCTGTCGAGTGGTCACTGTTAGTTTTCAAGTTAATTTCCTCTGGGTCCGTGAGTCAGGGAAAAGAAGAAGGGAATGAAAAAGGAAATTGCTACATTCTTTTCTCAATCCCCTATTTCCTGAAATCTGTTTGGACTTTGATATGATTTGGAACACAGATTGTATTATTTATTACTTCCTAGCCCAAGTCTCCTTATTCATGTTACTTCCTCCCAGACACCATTATCAAATAATCACACTTAGTTTATTAGACTTTGCTTTAGTTTCAGTTTCCTTCACTTTTTATGATCTACTCCTGTAACTTCTTTTGATGTTTTAATGGGAATTCGAATGAAATCGCATCAAAGTCCGTTAACCTTTTTGTGATTTTTGAACCAGTATGCTATCCCTTCTTGATTCAGTTGCTGAGAATTGGTTAACATTAACTATACAATGAAATAGTGATTGATATGTTACATATATTTGATTCTATGTACTTTCAATGTTTAACAAATCTGTCTTTAGAAAGGAAAAAGAACTCTGCATTAATAAGTTTATGTAGAGTACACCAGAAAAAAAAACCACTATTATAGCTCCTTTGTTCAAGTCGAAGGTTTAGGAGTTGGACAAGTCTGGATCCAAATCCTATCTTGATCCCTTACTCTTGATCTCATTTTGAGAAAGTCTCTTAATCCTTGTTGGTTGTAGCTTCCTTACCTGTGAGGTTTTGTTTGTTTGTTTGTTGTTGTTGTTGTTTTCTTTTTTTGAGAGGGAGTCTCGCTCTGTCGCCCAGGCTGGAGTGCAGTGGTGTGACCTTGGCTCACTGCAAACTCTGCCTCCCGGGTTCATGCCATTCTCCTGCCTCAGCCTCCCGAGTAGCTGGGACTACAGGTGCCTGCCACCACGCTCAGCTAATTTTTTGTATTTTTAGTAGAAAAGGGGTTTCACCGTGTTAGCCAGGATGGTCTCGATCTCCTGACCTCGTGATCTGTCCGCCTCGGCCTCCCAAAGTGCTGGGATTACAGGCGTGAGCCACTGCACCCAGCCACCTGTGAGGTTTTAATGAGATCCGGCCCAAATACTGAGTACCCAAAAAGTGGGAGCTGTTGTTTTTATTATCACTATTATCTTGCCTTCAAATGTACCTTTATTTATAGCAAGGCTACTCAAAGTGTGTTTTCTGAACCAGCAGCAACAACATCAACTTGGAATTTGTTACAAATGGAAATTTGCCAGCCTCAGCTTGAACTACAAAATCAGAAACTATAGCAGTGGAACCAAGCAATCCATGATTTAATAAACCTTCTAAGTGTTTGTGATACATGCTCAAGTTAGAGATCCACTGATTTACATCATACCATTGCTAGTAGGCAATTTTCAATAAATCATTTTAGCAGACAAAAATAAAATACAACGAAATATTATCATGGCAGCCACACGTGACATTCTTAATTTTCTTATGGCTTAAATGGATATGTTAGTAACACTTACCAGGAAAAGCTAATGATTGACAAGCATTATTCTAAACATTAAAATGCTAATCATCAGCACTGGAATCATGGCGCCAGCAACGCATAACTGCTTTACATAAATAAATAAGGCCTGGCCTACTTGATTTTTTTTCTAACTGTACTTCAGATATAGGCCAACAATTTGGAATTTTTCCATGTCACTCTCCATTCAATCTTTTTTCTTTCAAAAGAGATACATTTATCAATACTTTTTTTTGACCACAAGTCAGAAAATATCTGCTGGACTACACCCACAAGTAGTTATCCACATACAGAGAGAGTTGAGATTACTCTGACCTATAACGCTTAGCTTAGGAAACTGCTTTCCCATAAATTTAATGTGTTAATTGTGTGGTTTCCATTTTCTCACATTATAGGTGTCAGCTCAAGCTGGCAACTGCAGTCTTTGAGGTCAGCAGACAGTATTGGTAGGCATACAGTTAGTGTCGCAGCTGTCTTAATGCACAGTTTTAACCCACTGGTTTGCAAACAAATGGCAAAATGTATGTGAAACTCTCTGTAGCTCCTCACAGTGTGAACTCTTACTCAGGTTTTCAAAACTGACTTCCTCCTCTACCCCACCCCTATTCCCACTGGATTTTTTAATTCATGTTTTCTAAAATTGCAAGAATTTTATTGTTAAACTTTTATAAAAATTTCTCTGACTTTAAAAAAATACTTTCAAGCTGTGCTGCCTTTTGAAATATCATCAGATACAGAGTTCCCTTTGGGGGACCATAAAGTTTAAAAAATTTTACTTTATTTTCCCTAGGGTAATAATACAGTGGTTTATCATTCACTCTAAATTCCTTAATTTTGTTCCCAAGGGGCAACCATTTTATATGTGCATTGTCAAATATCTCATGAAAACCTACTTATTTTAAAGCTGTTAGAATAGTTCTCAGTATTCCTAAGGGTTTCAGTTTTGAAGGAATTTTTTTTTTTTTTTAGTGACTGTTTCAAAATTTGTGTTTCTTTTTTGGATACAGAGATAGCAATTGTCAATGGAATGTGCTTGAGATTTTATTAGTGATTAGTTTTAAACCTCCAAGCTATCTCCATTTAGCTTTTAAAGAAAATCTGATATTTTGGGGGAAAAAACGATAAATGAAGAATATGTTTCAATAAGAAACATACTTTTATCTTTTTAAATTAAAATGAATTTTTAAATTGAAATGACTGTTTCACCGTGTGCTGGCTGCATATCCTTGAGCATGTCACCAAACTTCTGTGACTCTTGGATCCTAACTGCAAAGAATAGATGTAATACCTATTTTATATGGTTAATTAAAAATGATATTCAAATACGATAATATATGCAAAGCACTTAGTGCAATGCTTGGCACATATGATGATCTCAACAAATGTATTTTCGTTCCCTTTTCCCCAGCACAACGCTTATCAATCATGGAGACACATTAGAATCACCTAGTGAACTTTTGTAAATATGGATTCTCTTAGCCCTCCTGCCCAAACTTCTGATTAAATTCCTCTGAGCTAGATCCTAGGCGTCTGTAGTTCGTAAAGCTCCCCAGGTGATTCTAATAAGCGACCAAGGTTGAAAATCTGTATAAAAGCATTAGTCATCAAGCTTTCATGAGCTTCAGAAATACCTGTGGAGATTTTTCAAATTTTAAATACCTGGCCTTTAACCTTGGAAGACTCTCTGATTCAATAGAATGGGAGAGATTACATTAGGAGTTTCAGGAATATATTTTAGTGTCACTAACTGTTTTGGAATATCTAAAAGTTTAGAGCTACTCACATCACCTTACTTCTACCTCAGTTTCATAACGGCTTCTGAATGACTCACATTTTCTCATTTGATGACAATTCTGTGGAGTAGATATGGCAAAAATTGTCACTTTTGCTTGATGAACCAAAACAGTTGAATTTAGAAAAATGAAATAGCGTTACAGTTAGTTAACAGTAAGTGACAAAGATAAGACTCCCATTTGGGTTGTATAATAACAATAATAATTTACCAAGAGCATACTATTGCTAGGCAATGTGCTAAGAGGTTTGCATAATTTTTTAGCCCCTGCTGACTTAAACAGCTACTATTAATTTGCCCCCTCTTTATTTGTAAGATAACTAAAGTTTAACAGTGGAGAGTAACACGTTTGAGGCCACACAGCTGCTAAATGCCAAAACTCAGATTAACACCAATTCTCTCTGGTCTCAGAAACCTTGGACCAAGACACCCATGCTTCACTTTCTCCTTCTGAAGTGCCAGTGCCCTCTCTGTCCTGCCATGCTGCTCTGGAAGCCTCAATGTTATCATCAGACACCCTCTGTAGAGTGTTTCCCAGTACTCTAATTCACAAGAAATGCAATAGAAAAAAAAATATGGTTGTCATTACGTTTTCCTGAACTATCTGACCCTGACCTTAGGCTTTGGTACTTAAAGGCTCAAGTAAACTCTGTTCAGATCAATTAGGGCCTTTGGGTTGCTACTGACAAACACTCCAACTAAATTTTTGTTTCAGGAACTAGGCTTTTGGAAGTTTTTGGTTTATGTAAATTTGGAAAAAGACAAACTTAGGGCTGCTTGTAGGTTTTGCTTAATGTAGTAAGAAATGAAACAGTATCACTAGGACATGGTTTTGTCCAACTCTTAATCAGTTCCTACTCTCCTTCTTACTATATTGACTTCATTCTCAGAGAGATGAGCCACTTATTATTGTAAAATGGTTATGCTGAACATTAAAGAGAGCAAAGAAGAAAATCTGCTCCCCACAGAACCAACAATTATTTATAAACTCATTCTCATTACTCATGATGGTTCACATGCCCATCCTTGGAACAATCATTACTGCTAAGGCAACGTGACACTGTTCCAGAGTCACATGCCTTCTCAGAGGCTGGGTTTGGAGTCTGTTTCATGGGAATTGTAGGAATCAAAACTAGAAAAGAGATCTATTTTCGTAATCAAAATTGAGTGGTTGATGGAAGAAGGTGGGGTTTTCCTGCATGTCCTAAAATGCCATTCAGTTGTTTATGTTTATTGCAATATCTCATATTTATATAAATCTTTGTATTTCCCAAAATGTATTTTATATACATTAACTTATTTCTGCTATTCTTAAATTTATTACTAACAAAATTTATAACCCATATGTTTCTTGTCTTTTGAGGTTGTTCGTTGCTGATGTGTACCAATATTCAGAATGAACTCATCAAGGATTTAAAAGTTGGATGGACATGGGTCACTGACCATCAAGGGGATTATAGATTTGGTTGCCTGGCAGGGAAATTATGTTAAACTTTTCTTTGTACAATCAGTAAACTGGTTTTGCCATAATTACCTAAATGTATGTGTCACAACCAGAAGGCACACATGCTGGCCTGTAGTGATGATTAATTTGGCCTGGAGACTTCAACATTAGCAGCACAGCCGCAGTAAACTCCAGAGGTCAGTCTTGTAATTCAAATGTGGTGATAAGCCAAACTAAGCCTATACGGAAGACAAAAATTATACTGTAAAATTTCTGCCATTTTCTTCCTGATTAGAAAGGACTCACTCCTATAAGTGGCCCTTACAGTAAAGGTGATGAGAGTTTGAATGAGTGTCTGTGTCAAGAATACTTTTCATACCCAATGAAGAGCATTCAATTCACCTGAATCAAAGCCAACCCAATATGCCTTTTTATTCAAGACAGAAGAGTATTGTTTGATAGAACTATGACTAAAATTTGTGATATCTTGATTTTTAAAATATTCAGAAAACATTTTAAAACTAATATTAAAAATATTAATAATATTTATGAAGATAAAAGATCAAACATTTGGAAAATCTCAAAATTTATTTACTTTCACAATTATGGTTCTATATGTGGTGTTTGCATGTTTAAAACTTCAAATAATAAATATAATTACAGAAACCCCAGAAAAATGTGTTGAAAACAAAATTATGATCCTCTAGAAAACTGTTTACACACTGAGACACTATTTTATAGTTTTATGCTTTTTTCCAAGCTGAAGGGAAACAAGTTTATCTTTAACATAGTACTTTTATAAATATTCAGAGCATTTTCAGTCTCCTCTAATACAGTAATTATAAAAACAGTTGGTTCCTATTCATATTAAGCTTTCAATGATTTGTTTTGTCTTATGTATAAGCTTCTTTAGCTAGATAATGAGACTGAAAACTTTACCTTTTCAAGATTCCTCAAAGGTTATTCCTAGTCTACTTAGAATTTTCCCTCTACTCTGATCCTCTCTTTGCCTTTTTCAAAGCCTCTGTTTATACCTAGAAGAATATAAAATTAAAATTAGCCAGGAGTAAAATGGAGAAAGTAGCTAAAAATGATTTTATGACATTTCTATAGAATTATGAGATTCAAGGAAAAGTGATTCTATGCATTTTTACTAAATATTTCTTTTGTTTAAGGGAAAATGATGAGACTATTATTTCACTAATTTCTCTTTTATAGATGCTAACCCTATGCTACCTGACATGATGACAATTTCTGCCAAGCTGGACTTCTGTAGATGTGCTAGATCTGTTTATCGCATTTTGATGCATTTATTACAAACTTTCACTTTCAACAATATGGGTCACATTTTTCAAGATTCTGTTGTGCAGAAGAAAGATATAGTTATTTGCCTTTTCTCCAGTTTGTGGTTATGAAATAACTTCTGCCTGACTGAGGATTAATTATTCCATGAGATAAAAACATTGGTATGATTATAGAATTTTAAATGTTAAAGGACACTAAGTAACATTTATACCAATCACTTTCTTTCAAAATTGGATTAATTGTAATTCAAAGAGATGAACTATTGCTCAAATATGGAAAGCCATGTCATGGTTCAAAGGTAGCAAAAGCTAAGGGCAGTATTCTCTTCTACAGGACTGATTCATGATCTATCAGTTACTATATTACATTTGACGCATAAAACCCTTGAACAATGAAGGTAAGTAAGATACAGTATGTACTCCAGGGAGGTTGGTGTTTTAATCATGTGAGATAATGTATGTATGTATAAGTGTTTAAAACATGGTACGTGTTTACGGAAGTATTTTTAAATTAAGACAAAAGAAAAAAAGTTCAAATTGATAGGTTAAGGAAGAATTTCTAGGGAAGGTGGTGCTTGATCTGTATCTTGAAAGAGGAATAAATGATTTGAAGTTTAAATAAGTATCTACTCAAGGTAAAGGAAATATCTTATTCAAAGTTATGACTCTGTAGAGAACTAAGTAGCAATTTTCTGACTGGATTCCTAGTTATATAAGGAGCAGGAGAGCAACAGGAGATGAGGATGAAGATAATCAGACATGAGAGACTATGTATCATTCAAAATGGATTGGTGGGAGGATTCCTTTATCTTACACAATTGGGAGTACAAATGATCAGATGAGAAATTGTACTCCACATTTTTTCTTTTTACATTATATTCTCTGAACCTTTCATGATCAACTACATGAGGATGGCTATAGGTTTTTACATTGAACCAGGGCCTCTCTTTTGAATGCCATGATTGTTAGAAATTTTCAGATTGATTTAATAGCTAAAGACAGATTAAATATTAAAAATACTGTGTTTATTATTCTTAGCTCCCAACTTTCTTCTGATGAGAAATGTTACATGTCAATGACAATAGCAGTCACCCGGAAAGCCACTGTATTTTTTCACCTCTCTCGATCCAGAAGGCATTTGGGACACAATAAAAGAGACAGGATGTCTTCTTTATTCCCTCCTGATCTGCCTAGAAATGTGGGACTGGTCCTTTGCTCATATTTATCTTTATAAATAAAAACCCTGTTGGAGATGTTGTTGAAATAGCATGCATGTGATGTTCTGTGTAGTAAAATCAGTGGGGTATTTTCTTCGATGATATTGTTTTATCCAGTTTCTATAGGCAATGAGAACTCTTCATTGTAAAAGCAAGCAACAGAAAAGATTTGTGCATGTTCCTTATCCCAAGATCCCAAGGAATTATATTTGTTAAGTGAATTAGAGTCCTGTGTATCATTTACTTGGTCAAATTTGTGGACGCAGGGCCCCGTTACTACAGTAAATTGAACAGATGAATTATGAAAATTAAATCCAGTGTCCTCACAAATATTATTTGGAGAAAGCAGTATCTGAAAACTAACAATCTGGTTAATGAAAGCACAAAGAAATAAAACCTTAATCCGGGTTACAAATGTTCAACATATAATCAGAGTGGGAGAAGATAAAGGTAAGTTTAAATACAAGGGCGGAATATGTTAAGAAAATGCTTTTCTAGACAGGTGTGTTGGCTCACGTCTGTAATCTTGGCATTTTGAAAGGGCGAGGTGGGAGGATTCATTGAGCCCAAAAGTTCAAGACAAGCCTAGGCAACACAGTGCTACTATACAGCTATACAAAAAAATAGAAAATTAGCTGGGTGTAGTGGCACATAGCTGTAGTCCTAGCTACTCCAGAGGCTGAGGTGGGAGGATCACTTGAGCCCAGGAGTTCAAGGCTGCAGTGAGCTATGATGGAACCATTGTACTCCAGCCTGAGCAACACATCAAGACTCTATCTCTAAAAAAAGAAAAGAAAAAAAAAAGAAAACACTTTTCTGAATAGAACGAGGTTTACCTTCAGTTGAATATCAGCTCTGGTACTCACAAATATTTACTTTTTTTCTAATCTGTTAGGTAATAATAATTTTAAAATTACCTCATAGGTTTTATGAGGATTGAATGCATTTACACATTTAAAATATTCAACACATTTCATTACATGTGCCCAAGAAAGTTTAATTCACCCTTCCCTTCAATACTTTGTTGTGAGTTTCTGAAACAATACAGATTAAATATAATTGAGTTAAAGAAATTGAAAATATCTTCTAAGCTCTATTAAGAGACATAAAGAACAGTTTAAAAGAATTGCATAGGGACATTTCCCACCAGAGTGATAATGTAAAGATGACTCTAAAAAAATAGCTCTTTTAAATTATTATTTTTCCCGAATAATTTGTAAATGATAGTTTTGTGTTCATGTGTATGTGCATAGCTGTATTTTGAAAAGACAAAAGAATGTTTATTCTTCTTTATTCTATAATAAAAGCGGCCTATACTAATATTTATGCAAACATAATAAGCCTGTTGATCTTCTCATAATATGAATTTAAACATACTGAAATTCCAAATGTTATGAACACTAATTATTTTATAAATTGGTCACAGTTAAAAAAACATATCAAATATATTGATTTAGATTCATGTTTTAGAAAACAAAATATATAAAACAAATACATAATAAAAACTAATGCATTCCACTTGATGTAGAAATATACTAACCAAAGTCAGAGTGACAATGATTTATCAGATAGATAAATAGATAGGTAATTTGTACATATGCTATATAGGTGTATGTGCATATATAAATGTATAATGTAAATACATTAGCCAAATTATAGGACATCATTCCAATATTTTTATCTAAGAGAGACAGCATTTCCCATAATTTTGCTCTTATGTTTATTGACTTCCTGTTACTTTCCATGAATATATTTGAGGAAACAGGGATGGACATTGATACACTTGTACATGTAACATAGCTGTCCCTTTTGCAAAGCAGAAAAACCATCCCCTCAAGTGATGCTGTGCAACAGATTCTCCCTTTGAAGCCAATTCAGAATTTGTCTAGTAATCTTCTGGATGTGGGAGAGGACATTTAGGAATGAAATGTATCCCAGAGAGAAAATAAGAATAAAATTCACTATTTCAAGCAAACTGATTCCTTCATGCATTTGTGATATAGAAATATATTTTGTTGGCACTAATAAATATACATTAAGGACTATACTATTCTATTTCCAGTACACTGTTACATAAATGAATTTTGTACAATGTATGCGAATTGCTATAAATTCAGCTGAACCATTTAGTCACTTTATTTCAAAGTATCTATTCAATTGAACTAATGAAGTTGTAGAACATTGTCAAATAATAACAGGCTACAGAGATAGCTGTCAATATCATTCCACTCTGATTCGTTTCTTACTTGTTAGCATTCTTATTGATATGTAGGTGATTGGAAACAATGGCAGAGTAATTTTGCACAACATCTGAATTCAGGAAATAAGTGTAGAAAAGCAAATGATAATTTTGAGCAAAATCTCTCTGGAGTTAAAACATATGATAATTTAGTTTTCCAATTCATCATTTCTCTCTTTCTGTGCCCTCTTCCATGCTGAACAAAACCAGCTTCTATTCCTCTTTCCTATATTCTCTTAACAATCTACCACTCTCCCCTTCCCCTAACTTTGAAGCTTAGTGATATCATCAACCCTCTTTTTGCTTCATGTCCCATGAAAAACAGCACCCTTTTTTGTCAGTGCTTTTTCAATCTTCCACAAACATCCTTCCTCCCTACTCCTATTTGCCAGCATATTTCAAATGTAAATTCATATGTGGATACGTAGACTATTGTAATATTGCCAATCACTTCTCTACCACCACCTTCTCATCATTCCATAAGCATAGTCAAGCTGTTACAATCACTAGTCTCTGAAGATATTATTGTACCTTTGTTCTTGCCATATCTTCTTTTAAGAATATCCTTCCTAAAGCCTTACCTATGAAAAGCCTCCATATAAGACCCTTTCCTCAAGCAATCTTTTAGAATTTCTTTAACAGTTTTATTGCAGTCCAGCATTTAGCTTAGCTTTTTTGTATTCCACTAATTATATACGTTGTGTTTTGTCATTCTGAGGGCAATGTATAAAATGTACATATATATACATATGTATACATGCACAAACACATACATCTCCATACACATACACACACACAAACACATACACAAACAAAACATATGTATACATGCACATACATACACATCTCCATACACATGCACACACACAAACACACACACACACACACCTCTAATCATTACTTGTGTTTACTATCCAGACTTATGAGAACCTTGGGCTAAAGGCAGAAATCCTATAATGTTCATCTTGTTAGAATATGAAATCCCTCATTAACTCAGAGTATTAAATGAAACAGTTGAGTTAGTAACCAAATCAACAAAGAACCAGTAGAATATATGTACAATTAGGGACTTTATCATTTTGTTCTTAGATTAATTATATGGTTCATTATACTGGAATGTGTGCTTAATTTCACAACTAGTTTTTTTTCCTTTATATTTTTGTTCTTTCCATCTGGTTTGTGTGCCTTCCATTAAGAAAAAAGAACTGTGTTTTACATGTCTGATATGCAGCACAAATAAATAAATGAATAACCAGTAGAAATAAAAGAATGAAGAACTTTGCCTCAATAAAGAGAGCCAATTTTAAAACAAAAATGACAGACACAATATACCAGTGGCTTCACTAAATGAGAGTGTGCTGAGGGTATTTTTCAGCAGCACTGTGCAAAGCTATCAGTTAACATATTCTGTCCAAACTACTAAGGTCACCATAAAGACAGTGAACACTTTTTCTATAATTTTTATATTGTTATGAGAAGACAACTACCCCATGAGTGAAGACCTCAAGATAATTAACAAGTAATTGAAGTACACATATATAAATTAGCCTTGGTCACTTTGAATGGCTGTCCAACACTACATTCCCTATTTAAGTTAATAATTTGAGTTCATTTGTTTAAATATACTTCCTCTCAATTTTTCAATTAAATTTATTAAGGAATTTAGTTACAGGGATAGTTGTAACAACATCAGAAATCAGAGAAAGCTGGAATCACCAAGTTGAGGATTTTCTGTAAGAAGCTTTATGAAGCCATATTGACGGCGATAATCACTATAAAAGTAAAGAAAGTAAAAGAGTGTCAGGGAAGATTAGTAGGTGGGGATCCAGCAAGACCCCCTTAAGCTATGGGAAAGGTCAGGTTAAGGCAGTAAGGTGGTTGGGCATAGGAAACCTGGATCTCAATTGTGTGCACACATTGGAGCAACAAAAGCAACCAAAGAAAAGTAATCATTGCCCTTCTTAGGTGTGTGTGGTGTTACTGGAATATGGTTGTGCAGGACCAGACACATCTCTCTGCTTGAATTCTACCTGACAGTCTGAACACAAAGAGCTTCCCTTACCTGGGCTGAGTGCTCTCCAGGTCTACTGTACAGCTATCATCCTTCATTACTCTCCTCTGTGGTGGCTGCCATGCTTCTGGAATTACAACTATTTTTCGTATTTTTCTGCTTTGTTTTACTATTGCATAGGCTTAAGAAACTTCCTGTGGGGTAGTTACGAGGCATTTTTCCTCTTTTCTTACTTGCCTGAATGCCATTACAATTTATTGGCCCAGTATGAAATTTTATGTAGAAATAACTTTCTCTTACGGGTTGAAAGCTTTATTCTAATTCTTCTAGTGCACATCGTGCTGCTGGTAAGAAAATAATAATCCCTGTCTGACTCTAGTCTCTTGTGGCACACTGCTTTATTTTCCCCATACTTCTTTAAAAAATTTTTTCTCTTTTAGAATTTTTTTATCTCTAACGTTCACAGTGATGTGTCCAGCTGTTTATCTTTTTCATTCATTATGCTAAACACTCAGTGGCACCTCTGAAAATTCAGACTATGTCTTCCACCCCAGGACATTTCTTGTATTTTGGCTTTTATAACTTCCCTCCTTATGGTTAACTCTTCAATTCTTTTTGTAACTCATTCACGTCAAGTTAGAACTGGATTGATTTTTACTTTATCTCTCTTTCTCTATTATCTCCCTTTCTTTTTGCAATACTACATACATAATTTCTTTAGTTTTATCTTCTGAACATTCTGTTGAATTTTTATTTTACAATTATATTTTAATTTCCAGGAGCTCTTCTTTGTTCTTTCATTGTTCAACATCCTTTTGGTCCTCTGAGGAAACTAATTAAAGAATATTAATGATGATTTTTAATTTTTTTTCAATTTCCTGATTTTTTTCTGCATTCTCTGAGGTTTATGTTTTGTCCTTTTATAATTTTAAGTTACAAGTTTTCTTAAAATATTCGGTGATTCTTGGATATTTACTAATATTTAATATTTGGCACACATTTTAAATATTTGAAAACTTTGATTATATAGCTGAGACCTGTCATCTGGAAAACTATAGGGTGGTATATTGGTCAGGGTTCCACCACAGAAACCAAACCTGAGATAGAGAAATAGAGAGAGAGGGGCAGAGGGAGACAGAAACAGAGAGAGAGAGAGATTGCAGAAAGATTGCAAAGAATTGGCTTACACAGTTGTTGAGGCTGGCTATGCAAGTCTGAAATTTGTAAGAGAGATCATCCAGAAGTATAAGCTAGAAATTCTCATGCAGAAGAAGCTTCATTCCATTGACAGAATTTTCCCTTCTTCAGGGGAACCTCAGTTCTGCTTTTAATTTTTTTAAACTGATTGAACCAGGCCCACCTAGGTTATCAAAGATAATTCCCTTTCCCCAAAATCAACTGACTGTGTATGTTAATCACCTCTACAAAATATCTTCAGAGCAATCCCTAGATTTATGGTTGGCTGAATAGCTGGGGACTATAGTCTAACCAAATTGACATATAAAACTGACTATCTCAGGTGATCAACCAAGATGTCACCTTTTTTGCTGCAAGAGGACAGAGTGGATAGAGACACAAATATTGCAGTGGTTAAGAACATGCACTCTAGAGTCAGACTACCTGGGTTTAAATTCTAGTTCTTCAGAGCATTGGTTACAATATGTAACTTCTCTGTGCTTCTGTTTCCTAAACTGTAGGAATACCTCATAATAATATCTACCTTAGAAGTATACGTGAAGATAAAATTTAACATATCTAAAGCATTGAAATGTAACCTGTCATGTTCTAATGTCACGTCAGCAATACATGAGTTTGCTGCTGTCACTGATGTTGCTATTCCTACTGGCTTCTCAGGATTCTATGGATGGTATGGAGAAGAGTGAAAAAAGGGATCAACTGTTCCATATATAAATTCTCAAATAACATCCATATAAACACCAATGTTTTCACAGCCCAAGTCACCCTGACATCTTGAATGTAAAACTAACCTCCTTTGCTATAACTCATCCCACAGGTATCATGTGTGTCAGAATCTCCAGTTATTTCTCCACTCCACTGTAAGTTTTCTTTCAGAAATGTTCTTCTATTCCTCATCTGAAGATAGCTCATCTTGTTCACTTTGTTATTATCAGTTTATCTATATCTTAGAAATCGGAAAAGCCGACCAAAGTGTTTTTTCTACTCACACTCACTTATCATACAGCACATTTCTGACACCAGATTTATGAAGGTTTTTACCCAAACACCAAGGAATTCGCCTGTGGATACCAACTGGGTGCCCTGTGATCCAATTCAATTCTGACAGTATGTACCTGGAGATCGCATCAGATCCCACAGGTTAGGCACTCAGTCCCACCAGACAGCCCCCACATCAGCTGGCAATCACAAGCCCCAGCTTATGACCTGTGCTTCTGATCAATCCCCTGTGAACTGGGGTTCTTGAGATCCCCTCCTTGGGTTCAATTAATTTGACTAGGACAGCTCACAGAAATCCAGACAACACTTATGTTTACTGATTTATTATAAAGAATATTACAAAGGATACAGATTAACAGCCAGATGGAAGAGATGCATAAGGCCTGGTCAGAGAAGGGGTGCCAGTGCCTCATACCTCCTCCAGGTGCACCACCCTCTAGGAACCGCCACATGTTCAGCTATCAGGAAGCTCCCTGAACTCTGTCCTTTTAGGTTTTTATGGAGGCTTTATTACATAGGCATGATTGATTCATATTATTCGCCATCAGTGATTAATTCAACCTTCAGGCCCTCTACTCTTGTTGGAGGTTGGAGATGGGACTGAAAGTTCTAACCATCTACTCACATGGTTGGTTCCTCTGATGAGCAACCTCTATCCTGAGGCCATCTAGGAGTCTCCAGCTACCGAGTATCTCACTATCATAAAAAAGTACTAAATCACTTAACAGATTTCAAAAGTTTTAGAAGCTGGGTTCCAGGAAATGGGGACAAGACCAAATATTTAAAAAAAAAAAAAAAGATTCTCCTAGCATCCCTATCTACAAGGATATTAGGAGGTCTGTCTCAGGAACCAGGGACTAAGAACAAATATATATTTCACAATATCATACTATGTTTTATTCCTTTTATATTATTTTAATAAATTCACAGGATGAGCTAACACAAAGGATAAAATTGTCACATCAGATTCACAGGAATCAGAGTTTACCCAGTATCAATCTTTACCAATAATTTAGGATGTTGGATATCCAGAGGCAGACAAAGCAGCCAGAGAGTTTCACAAGGGCTTCCAAATTCTTTGTTGTCACATCAGACATATGCTCTCTGTCTCAGAATAAAACATTAGGTTTCATTGCGTTTGTCATATCCAAGTGTCACTAGTGGAAGTTATCCGAGTTACCCTGAGTTACCGGCAGCTTATCTGTACGTGCCTGCAGCAACTTTAATTCTTGCCTCCTCAGAAGAAAGAATTGAAGTTGCTGTAGAATCATACAGGGGCATAAGGCAGAAGAAGAGATTGAAACAAGTCTCAGAGCAGGAGTGGAAGTTTATTTTAAAAGGCTTTAGTAAATAAAAGAAAGGAAAATTCATTTGGAAGAGACGCAAGTGGGCACCTGAAAGTCAAATTCCTGAAGGTCAAGTGCCCTGTTTAACCCTGATCCAAAGGCTTTATAGGCTCCCTCCTTCCCGTGATTCTTCCTTTAGGGTGGGCTTCCCACATGCACACAATCCTCCTTACCCTTGGGAAATGAGCATGCTGCACTGTGTTTAGGAAGTTAGAGGTATGCCCATCTGAGGCTTTCTTCTGTTCTGGTAGAGTGCTCCCGGAAGGTCATATCTCGCCATCTTGTCTCTTAACCCTGCGTGCCCAGGAAGTCTCTTCTCCCTGGCATCTGCATTTAATTAACATTTTAATATTAATAGCTGTGGATCATAAGGAGATTGTCTTTCCATGGCTTTAGAGAGGTAGTGTGATAATTGTCAAACCTTCACCTGACATTCCTAGTGGGTGGGGAGAAGAGCCCTCTCCTGCCCTGCACATGCCTATCTAACTACCTGTAACACAAAGAGCATTTAAGTGATAAAGTATCTCCATTTTATACCCCAGATATTATATAGTTAATGTGACATTCAGAAGGGAAACATGCTTCATAGATCCTCTACTTATTTATTATAGGTAATCTTTTTTGCCAAAGAATTCCTGTTAAGGGCCCTCTGTGGATAAGGTGTGTTTCTCTCAGCAAATATAATTAATTTAGTTACTTGGAGGTCCAGCTGACAAGAAAATTAGATTGAATAACTGGTCTGCTTTTTTTCCCCTAAGTAAAGTGTTGGTAAATAATATCAAAATACATAATAGCAAAGAATATGTAACATTATGATGTGAACAAATATAATTTATTATAACATCACCTCAGAGTAGAAAACCTTTCAGTTCAATTGGATAAATTTTAAGAGGAAGACAACAGAATACAAAATAATTTCCAAAAATATCTTTTTAGGAAAACAGTGATAGAATGGTATTTATTTAATATGACCAAAAAGAACTATTTTATGTTAGCCAGTAAACATCACCATTAACATCAAAATAACACTCCCATTAAAATTAGCCATAATAGAAACCTATTTTATTATAAATATTTGTTACTGCTGCAAAAATATATGCCAAAGTAATTTTTGATCCTATAATAGCATTATTTGGGATTTGAAATATACCACAGTAGTTTGTATATGGCCTGCCAAATTCATTTGAAAACAAGAAGGTATATTTTTGTTGATATATTTTCCAAAAACTTTTAAAGGCTAGTGCACTGATATAATCATACTTAGATTGCTCACAACTAAGTCTTATTGGTTTGTCCCAAGTCTTTTTTATTTTTTCTTTATTGTATTTTATGTACTTTTAAAATTTCCATAAGGAGAAATGCACTCTTTTTATTGTAGTGTTCTGAATTTAGACAAATGTGTGTAATCAGGTAACTATTACCACAATTAATATAAAGAAAAGTCCCATCATTTTCCCCAATTCCCTAGTTTTGACTCTATGTAGTTAACCCCTCCCATCATTTCAATATCTGTTAACTACTCATTTGTTTGTGTCTCGGTGGAATGTCATGTAAATAAAATTAGAAATATGTAGTGTTTTGAGTCTGACTTCTTTCGCTTAGTATAATAATGCATTTAGTATTCATCAGTGCTGTAGCTTTCATCAGTATACTCTATTTCATTGCTGAATGGTATTCTATTATATGGATGTATCACAGTTTTCTTATCTTTTCCTAAGTTGAAATATATTTGGAATTTGTTTTTACTTTTTGACATTACAAACAAAGCCACTACTAATATTTGCATAAAGATGTTTGTGTGACTGTAACTTCTCATTTCTTTTCAGTAATTACTTAGGTCCGGAATGGCTGGCTAAGTCATAGAGCAAGTGTATATTTAACTTTATAAGACACAGCCAATGGTTTTCCAAAGTGGCTATACCATTTTGCATTCCCACCAATAACACATGAGGATTGCAAATGCTCTACATCCTCAGCAGCACTTGGTATTGTCAGTTTGTTGTTTTATTCTGTTTTGTTCAGCTGTTCCAATGTGTATGCGTGATGTCTCATTGTAATTTTTAATTTGCATTTTCCTACTGACTATTTGAGCATCTTTTCATGTGCTAGTTTGCCATCTGTATATCTTCTTTGGTGAAGTGTCTGTTCAAACCATTGGTCCATTTGCCAATCAGCTGTTTGTTTTTTAATTATTTAGCTTGATAGAATTTGCATATATATTCTCTTTGTAGCTTGGTTTTTCTTCTCTGAGCAGCATCTTTCAAAAAGAAGTTTTCTTAGTTTTGAAGACCTTATATTTTTCAATATTTTGTTTTAGGGGGCATGCTTAATTTTTTGATTATATGGAATGTGTTTTGGGTGTCATATCTATGAAAACTTTGCCTAATACAATGACTCACAGATTTTCTTCTATGTTTTTATCCAATAGTTTTATAATTTTAAATCTTACTTTAGATTTATGATTCAATTTGAGTTGATTATTGTTTAATGTTTGAAGTTAAAGGGCAAAGTTCAACTTTTCTTTTAATGTTCTAGCACCATTTGTTTGAGTATCCTTTATCTTTGCAATTTTGCCAAATATTATCTCATACAATGCATATGGGTCTTACTCCGTGCTTACTGTTCTCTTTTATTAATCTATGTGACTATTTCTTCAAACATACCAGTTTTGATTGCTGTAGTTTTATAGTAAGTTTTGAAATTACATATTGTTAGCCTTCTGATCTTGGTCTTCTTGTTCAAAAGTATTTCAGTTCTTTTGTCTTTTTATATAGATTTTAAAATCAGCTTGTCATTATCTATAAAATAGTTTTCTGTGATTTTGATTGGATTCTGTTAACTTTATAGGTTAATATGGAAAGAACTAACATTTTAGCAATATTAAGTGTTCCAATTAATAAACACAGTATATTTTTCTATTTACAAAATCTTTATTTCATTTTTTCATCAGTGTTTTATAATTTTCAGCATGCACATGCTGCTCATATTATGACAGACTTAAAAGTATTGGCCTTATTCTATTGATACTGTTTTTGTATTTCAATATCCAATGAGGCATTGTTTGTACAGAGCAATACACTTGATTTTTTATTGTTGGCCTTATGTATTGTGACATAGCTAGACTCACTTTTTGGTTCCAGGAGCTTTTGTGAGATTCTTTGGGGTTTTCTATGTACACGATCATGTCCATAAATGGGTGTTTTACTCCTTCTTTTACAGTCAGTATCCACTTATTTATTTACTCATTTTGCCTTCTTACACTGGCCAAGAGCTTAGTAAAGGTGTCCAGTAGGAGGATAAGAGAGGAACTCATTTCTCTTTTCCATTCTTATTGTAAAATAATTTAGTTTTTCAGCATTCAGTATGATGGTAGCTGTAGGGTTTTCATACATGCCCTTATCAGATTGAGGAAGTAGCCTTCTATACTTAGTTTACTGAGGATTTTTATCATAAGTAGATATTGAATTTTGTTGAAGGCTCTTTCCGTATCTCTTCAGATGATCATACAGCTTCCTTTTTTTTGGTCTGTTGAGATGATGAAATACACTGAGTGATTTTTCAATGTTATACTAGCTTTGCATTCCTGGGATAAATTTCACATTTTAGTGATATATTATCCTTTTTATATCTTGCTAGATTGTATTAGCTGATATTTTGTTGAAATTTTTTCATTTAGGTTTAAGCGAGCTCATCCTGTGGATTTAATTGCTTAAATGTTTTTGTCTGAGTTAGGTATTACAGTAAATCTGGCCTCACAATATAAACTAAGAAGCCTTCCATTTCTTCTATTTTTTGAAGAAATATCTATTGAATTGATATTAATTCCTCCTTAAATATTCGAAAAATTAAACAGTAAAGCCATCCAGCCCTAGAGTGTTCTTTCTTGGAGGCAGTGGGTCGGGGAGGGGCATCCAGTCAGGTTTGAATCAACCTAATTGTGCTAACTTTGACCAAAAGCTAAGAAGTTTCAAAATGACTCAGTGGCCAATTAAATGCTTTCAAATTCACGGTTTATTGCCAGGCTTTCACACACTGATAACCATGCAAATACATTCAATACACACACACAGGATAAGAGAAAAGAAGAAAGAAACATGGTGAGTAACTTGGGAGACCAAGCAGTTTTAGATTTCTCTGGAAAACACAGCCTATATTAAGAGGAGGCCTCAGAGTTTCCAGGGGCAGAGCTCCTGCAGGTGTCTCACCATGGTCAGTTTCTTTGCTGTTTTTATGTCCCTTCACAGGAGTGTCCATGGTGTACCTCAGCCACCTTTTGGCTTCACCTTCTGTGGTGGGGTCATGGGAGTACCTGGCCATAGTAGGTGTTATCACCTCAGTCCCTTATACATATGTTTATCACTTTGAGATGTATGCAGTTTCACTGTGGACTGAGTCAGTTGTCATAAGTGACTCTCATTTTGAGATATTTAGGATTACAAAAAGTTATATATGATGGTTTTCAACAAAAATTCTATTTAGGAAGATAAGTAGGTAAATGTGTGGATAGATACATAGAGATTGATAGGTTAAGGAAGATATATTTCTTCTGCTTTCTTCATTTTCTTTTTTGCTTATATTTCGATAATAAGAATGGATTGCTTTTCAAAAATGAAAGTAATGTTTAATCGTAATGCAAGTAAGGGAACCTAATTAAATTCAAGTGTTCATCTGGACCAACAAAGGAATGAGAATAGTAAAAATCAAGAAATGTTTGAAAACAATAATGAGAAATACTTTTATGAGCTACACTACAATAATAACTAAAATGAGGTAGTACTTCTACAGGAATCAACAGATCAATTAAGTAAAAGAAAGGTAAGAAATAGATGAATGTATGAGAAAGAGAAAATTTAGTTATGCTAGAAAAGTTAATGATTTAGATGACTTTTATAACAGTAAAGAAATTCTGGGTTGTTCAGCTACAGATACTGGGACAAAACAAAAGTAACTTCTTAACTAAGGCACTGCAAAAAAGAATCAATCCCCAGGTAGATTAAATATTGAAATTTAAGATATTGAAGCCAAAACTGCCATTAGAATATACAGATGGATGTATGTGTGCTTTGGATTGAATCATATAGAAGCCCTAACCCTAATGTGATGTATTTGGAGGTAGGGCCTTTAAAGCCTTAGCTTTACTTAAGGTTAAATGAGGCCATATGGGTGGACCTTAATCTGGTGTCTTCATAAGAAAAGGAAGAAACACCAGAGATCCTTATCTCTGTGCACACAGAGGAAAGACCATATGATATCACAGCAAGGAGGCAGTCTCTGCAAACAAGGAAGAGCAGTCTCACCAGAAACCAGCCCTAAGGGTACCTCAGTTTGGAACTATCATCCTCCACAACTGTGGGCATATAAACTTCTGCTGCTTAATCCATCCAGTTGGTGGCATTTTGTTATGGCAGCCCAAGCGGACTAGTACAATGTGCAAGCGAAAGATGGAGGAAGCTAGCCTAAACCTATACCCAAGCTGGGGGTCAGGTGGGAAAGGGAAATCCCAAAGTAAACAGCCAGATTTGACATAAATAAAATTTAAATATTGTCTAGGTAAAAAAAAAAAAATACCAAAAACATCAAAGGCAGGCAACATGCCACAAAATATTTGCAACACATTCCTTAAGTAGAACAAACTAAAAACCAAAAGCAAATTACCTACAGATTGAATAGACAATTTCTGAAAGACTGAAAAATGCCCAGCAAGCATGTATAAAAGTGTTCCATCTCAAAAGTAATCAAATAAAAATTACGATAAGAAGGAAATTTCATTAGAAAATGTGAAAAAGAATGATAAACACTGTTTATCAAAGTGAGGGAGGATGGCACCATATAACATAAATGTGGGAGAATAAATTCAGACACTCAGTTGAAAGTCAGTTTGTTGACATTTATCCAAATCACGCTCCTTGACCCAGTATTACACTCCTAGAAATTTATTCCCAAAGAGAAATACTGTTTTCTTAAGAACTAGCATTTTAACTCCAGAAATAAGCTAAAAGTGCATATTTTTTATTAACAAAGAAACAGATAACACATTATGGATAGAAGTATATGAAAAAAGTAGGAAGGTCACAAGAAAAAGAGGCAAGGGGATTTGTGGATTATTTTCTCACCACACTGGGCAGATCTTGGATCAATTTAATGGCACAGAACAGTTTGCAGAATTGTTCAACAGTCTCTAGTTCAGCCAGGAAATGTATCTTTCCCAGTAATCATGTTTGAAATAGGTAGTAATATGCCTATCATACTCTTAAATACTAAACTAAATGTAGTAGCAAAATTTCAAGTTGCTATTTATAAGCTGTACAGCTTTATAGCTAATACCTACTAATCTCAACTGCTTTACGAGACAGTATGGACACACACATACACACAGTGGTGTGATCTAGAGGAGTTTAGGCCTCATGAAGGGATGCCAAGGGTGAGGTCAAAATTTCAGCTACATGCAATTCACAGCAGCATTATTCATAACAGCAATAACATCTAAGAGAAACTGGATGAAGAAATTTTATGTTCATAAGTAGAATATATAACTATTAAAAGTATGCCATAGGAGAGAAAAATTTAATGAAATGAAATTAGATAGGCAGTAAAAAGTTTGCTTCAAATGGTATGGACATTATGATTCCATCAGGAAGGATACAAACAAATATTTTTTAACAGATATTTATTGAGCCCCTATTATATATGTGACACTCTTCAAGGAGCAAGATATCAAAAGAAAATTATTTCAGTGACTTGAATAGAGGTTAACAGCATTGAGGAACTGTGGCATATCAAGGGGAATCCAGGTAACATCCAGATTAATGCAAGGTCATTGTTTTTATGGACTAGAGGATGGTCAATTATGTGTTTTTGTGGTTTTAGCTCAAGAAGTTATTGTTGTCTGTGACCCAGACTTGCCCTGATTCCTCTTTTCTCGACACTTGCTTGTGATTATTGGTGTAAAAAAGAAAGGAGGGAGGGGAGGGAAAACAGTAGGGTAGAAGAGGCAACAGGGAAACTGAGGATCCTTTATCATGTTGCTTTTAGCCATCTCAAAAAGCAGTGAACCGAACGTAGCCATCTACTTTCCAGGTGTTAACATGCTGGTAGGAGGAAAGTAACAGCATATAAAACAAATAAAATGTACAAGGCCAGAGGATATGTGTTGCAAAGAAAATTAAAGCAATTTAAGGAAGACAGAGGGAAGCAGGGCTCAGTGAATTGGTCCTGGTGGGGTAGGAGCAATGTGAGAAGGGTGATGGGGAAAGTCTCTCTGATGAAGGAAAGAAATGGGGAGTGAGGCACATGAGAATCTGGAGCAAAGTTCCCAAGCACAAGAAATGTTAATGTGCTTTGTTTAGCCTTTTCAAGACTCAGCAAGGAGGCTTCAGTAATGACAATAATAGATTGGAGAGAGGGAGAAAATAGGATCTGAATTAAAAGTGATGGAGGGAGGGGAAGGTAGACTACACTCTTGTACAAGATCATCAATACTTTTTCACTGCAGTAAAATAGGTATCAGATGGATATATTAATGATTAATTGGCAGTTTTAGGGGGTAGTTTAAATTAAAACAAACTTAGTAACTTTTTTACTGCAAATGTAGCAGGCGTTACCAAAAAACAAATTATTCTCAAATTCAAAAGTAAAATTATGTGACTAAAACGTTAAGAATTTTTGAGAAGGATAAAACAAGTTTAGGTTAAAGGAATCTAGACAAGAATAAAAAAAAAGGAGCATGAAGAACAGAAAACTAGAGACAATGCCATTTCACTTTACATTTCTTGGGAAGCACATGGTATTTTTGTATGATTTCTATAAAATTTTTCTGAAGAGCTTAGTATTCTACTTCCTTAAATGCACAATTTTATATTATGTTTTATGTACCAGAAAAACAATGCATAATGACATTTAAAATAATTTTATTAAAAAATAGTTTTTCCTAGCCGATTACTAGGCAAATAATTCTCGATAAGCTGAATATTTTTAATATTAAAAATCATAGTGTAGTTCTTACGGAGGGTGCTTCTCCAAACATTTAAGCTATTTTACTTTGGACAAATGGAAAAATTCAGAAAGCAGAGGATTCTGACAGAAACAAAATTTACCTTTATGGGTCTCAACAAAGAGTGTTATTTCTCCTTTAACTAGTAAACAAAATTCTGCTTTTTATTCCATATGAAGTTTATTTAGTTATTTTTTTTTTTCTGGATCATTTGCTTGCTATGTGAAAAGAAGGAAGTGAAATAAAAAGAACTAACACATAACGTCTCTCTTTTGCGGTTTTGCATCTCCTGATACTTAAAAAAAAAAAAAACACTTAACTTCAGTACCTTTCCTAGAACACAAAATTACAAGTTAATTGGGAGGCAGAACTAATGAGAAGAAAATGAATGTATTGCAAATAGTTCTTTCACTGAAAACATCACCTTGAGCGTAAGTGTTGTTTTTTTTTTTGGTCAAAAACAATTATTGCAAATGATGAGTCTTTTGAACCTAATTTTTTCATGCATATTTCTGCTTCTATTTTTTCCCTTGTCATAACTGTTATTAAAAATTTACCTTTTAAACCCTAAAATAAATTGTATTAAACTGATAACAATTTTATATCATATTAAAACATCAAGTTATAAAATTATAACCTCTGTTCGAAATCCACTCCCTTCACATGCTTTAGTGGTACCACTTTGCAGCCAAATGTTCTACCCTTGTGTACCCTCAAGGTAACACTTTGGATTATTCTTGTTATGGTTGTCTTGAGGCTTACTTTTCCTTTTACAATATGATTTTTCACATATAGCTTGATTTCTTATAAGTAAACAATCTCTATTGACACCATGCTGTGAATAACGGAAAATCTGTCCTATACACGACCTTCTACCTTTCTAAAATTTTAGATAGATGATGATGATAATATTGATGCAGGACAGGCAAGCCCCATAATTGAGGCTTAGCTTCGGAGAGTTCTTGGATTCATCTAGGAAACAATTCGGATGTGAGGGCGATCTGGCTGCGACATCTGTTACCCCATTGATCGCCAGGGTTGATTCGGCTGATCTGGCTGGCTAGGCGGGTGTCCCCTTCCTCCCTCACCGCTCCATGTGCGTCCCTCCCGAAGCTGCGCGCTCGGTCGAAGAGGACGACCATCCCCGATAGAGGAGGACCGGACTTCGGTCAAGGGTACACGAGTAGCTGCGCTCCCCTGCTAGAACCTCCGAACAAGCTCTCAAGGAAAGAATTCGAGGGCGAGCTGGTGGTGTTAAACAGCAACTTTTATTGAAGCGGCAATGCACACAGTAGGAGCAGAGGTGCTGCTCCTTGTGAGCAGGGATCCCTCATAGGCGATGTGCCCAGAATGGCAGCTTAGAGGCAGTTCTGCACTCATACTTATACTCACTTTTAATTATATGCAAAGTAAGGAGTGGTTTATGCAGAAATGTCTAGGATGAGGATGATAACTTCCAGGTCATTGGGTCATTGCCATGGAAAGAGGAAGTAACTTCCAGACGTTGCCAAGGAAATGGTAAACTGACATGGCACACTAGTAGACATGTCTTATGGAAAGCTATTTCCACCCCAGAACTATTTTAGCTAGTCCTCAATTTGGTCTGGTGTCCCAGTCCTGCCTCTTACTTCAATATTATAGATATAGATTTAGATATAGATAGATAAATAGTTTTAATAAATTACCAAAACATTTATGTCTTGATCCAACAATTTTAGATATTATCTCCACCTGCTCAATAAGGTAGCAACCCTATAATTTCCCCCATTCCTTTCTTCTCTTGATCTTTCTCTCTCAAAATCTCTCAAATAGGTTTGCTTTTATTATTGCGAAAGTTGTATTTGCTTTTCTATGTAACTATGATTTTTCCATGCTCTTCTTGGTTCTAAAACTGAAAACCAGTAAGTGACATTTGCAGTCTTACAACAATAAAAATATTTCCACAAAGCGAATTATGGTTGAATCCATACATAAGATGCTATCATCTAAAGTCACCAGCCTTCTAACAATAAAAAGATAATCTTCCAAGGATTAAGATCAAACACAATCCATAAAATTATCTGAGTCAAACTACATTTTGCTTGCCTTCTATTTAGACTACGACCTTTCTCTCGTTTATTCATCAGAGAAATACACTTGTCCTTTCTCATTCACATGTTTGTGCTATCTGTTGAACAATTTAGTGTGTGGAGACCTCTTCATAAGTCTTGGTGCTTGTGAAGAAATCCAAGTACCTCTTGGATTTATTTGTTATCTTTTATTTATTATTTATTTATTTATTTGTTTATTTATTTATTTGAGACAGAGTCTCACCTTGTTGCCCAGGCTGGAGTGCAGTGGCACAATCTCGGCTCACTGCAACCTCCACCTCCTGGGTTCAAGCAATTCTCCTGCCTCAGCCTCCCAAGCAGATGGGACTACCGGCACATGCCAACACAACCAGCTAATTTTGTATTTTTAGTGAAGACTGGGTTTCACCATGTTGGCCAGGCTGGTCTCAAACTCATGGACTCAAGTGATCCGCTCACCTCCCAAAGTGCTGGAATTACAGCCATCAGCCTGGCCCAGATGTCTTTGCTATCTTGGAGTAAACACCATTATTTTTCTGACCTCTTCCTTGGTAGATTGCATTTTAGTTTTTTTGTGATCCAAGATCATATAGTTGTTTTTTTGTTTTTGTTTTTGTTTTCCCCAGTAAGACTGCTAGGAGGTAAAATTTCTATAATTCTGTATCTAAAAATTTGAATCTTGCCCTTACAATTTCAGTAGGTAAAAGATTACAGGTGGGGTGCAATGGCTCGCACCTATAATCCCAGCACTTTAGGAGGCCGAGGCAAGTGGCTCACTTGAAATCAGGAGTTCAAGACCAGCCTGGCCAACATGGTGAAACCTTGTCTCTAATAAAAGTACAAAAATTAGCCAGGCGTGGTGGCTCACGCCTGTAATCCCAGCTACTCAGGAGGCTGAGGTGCAAGAATTGCTTGAACCCTGGAGGCTGAGGTTGCAGTGAACCAAGATTAGGCCACTGCACTCCAGCCTGAGTGAAAAAGGGAGACTGTCTACAAAAAAAAAAAAAAAAAAAGGCCAGGCGTGGTGGCTCATGCCTGTAATCCCAGCACTTTGGGAGGATGAGGCAGGCCGATCACCTGAGGTCAGGAGTTTAAGACCAGGCTGGCCAACATGGTGAAATCCCGTTTCTACTAAAAATACAAAAATTAGCCAAGCATGATGGCAGGCACCTATAATCCCAGGTACTCGGGAGGCTGAGGCAGGAGAATCACTTGAACCTGGGAGGCAGAGGTTTCAGTGAGCTGAGATCGTGCCACTGCACTCCAGCCTGGGCGACAAGAGTGAAACAACAGCTCAAAAAAATAAGGCTGGTTCAACATATGAAATCAATAAACGTAATCCAGCATATAAACAGAACCAATGACAAAAACCACATGATTATCTCAATAGATGCAGAAAAGGCCTTTGACAAAATTCAACAACCCTTCATGCTAAAAACTCTCAATAAATTAGGTATTGATGGGAAGTATCTCAAAATAATAAGAGCTATCTATGACAAACCCACAGCCAATATCATACTTAATGGGCAAAATCTAGAAGCATTGTCTTTGAAAACTGGCACAAGATAGGGATGCCCTCTCTCACCACTCCTATTCAACATAGTGTTGGAAGTTCTGGCCAGGACAATCAGGCAGGAGAAGGAAATAAAGGGTATTCAATTAGGAAAAGAGGAAGTCAAATTGTCCCTGTTTGCAGATGACATGAGTGCATATCTAGAAAACCCCATCATCTCAGCCCAAAATCTCCTTAAGCTGATAAGCAACTTCAGCAAAGTCTCAGGATACAAAATCAATGTGCAGAAATCACAAGCATTCTTATACACCAATAACAGACAAACAGAGAGCCAAATCATGAGTGAACTCCCATTCACAATTGCCTCAAAGAGAATAAAATACCTAGGAATCCAACTTACAAGGGATGTGAAGGACCTCTTCAAGGAGAACTACAAACCACTGCTCAATGAAATAAAAGAGAATACAAACAAATGGAAGAACATTCCATGCTCATGGGTAGGAAGAATCAATATCGTGAAAATGGCCATACTGCCCAAGGTAATTTATAGATTCAATGCCATCCCCATCAAGCTACCAATGACTTTCTGCAGAGAATTGGAAAAAACTACTTTAAAGTTCATATGGAACCAAAAAAGAGCCCGCATCCCCAAGTCAATCCTAAGCCAAAAGAACAAAGCTGGAGGCATCACACTACCTGACTTCAAATTATACTACAAGGCTACAGTAACCAAAACAGCATGGTACTGGTACCAAAACAGAGATATAGATCAATGGAACAGAACAGAGCCCTCAGAAATAATGCCACATATCTACAACTATCTGATCTTTGACAAACCTGAGAAAAACAAGCAATGGGGAAAGGATTCCCTATTTAATAAATGGTGCTGGGAAAACTGGCTAGCCATATGTAGAAAGCTGAAACTGGATCCCTTCCTTACACCTTATACAAAAATTAATTCAAGATGGTTAAAGACTTACATGTTAGACCTAAAACCACAAAAACCCTAGAAGAAAACCTAGGCAATACCATTCAGGACATAGGCATGGGCAAGGACTTCATGTCTAAAACACCAAAAGCAATGGCAACAAAAGCCAAAATTGACAAATGGGATCTCATTAAACTAAAGAGCTTCTGCACAGCAAAAGACACTACCATCAGAGTAAACAGGCAACCTACAAAATGGGAGAAAATTTTTGCAATCTACTCATCTGACAAAGGTCTAATATCCAGAATCTACAATGAACTCAAACAAATTTACAAGAAAAACACAAACAAACCCATCAAAAAGTGGGCAAAGGATATGAACAGACACTTCTCAAAAGAAGACATTTATGCAGCCAAAAGACACATGAAAACATGCTCATCATCACTGGCCATCAGAGGAATGCAAATCAAAACCACAATGAGATACCATCTCACACCAGTTAGAATAGCGATCATTAAAAAGTCAGGAAACAACAGATGCTGGAGAGGATGTGGAGAAATAGGAACACTTTTACACTGTTGGTGGGACTGGAATCTAGTTCAACCATTGTGGAAGTCAGTGTGGCGATTCCTCAGGGATCTAGAACTAGAAATACCATTTGACCCAGCCATCCCATTACTGGGTATATACCCAAAGGAATATAAATCATGCTACTATAAAGACACATGCACATGTATGTTTATTGTGGCACTATTCACAATAGCAAAGACTTGGAACCAACCCAAATGTCCAACCATGTTAGACTGGATTGAGAAAATGTGGCACATATACACCATGGAATACTATGCGGCCATAAAAAATGATGAGTTCATGTCCTTTGTAGGGACATGGATGAAGCTGGAAACCATCATTCTCAGCAAACTATCACAAGGACAAAAAATCAAACACCACATGTTCTCACTCATAGGTGGGAATTGAACAATGAGAACACGTGGACACAGGAAGGGGAACATCATACACCGTGGCCTGTTGTGGGGTGGGGGGAGGGGGGAGGGATAGCATTAGGAGATATACCTAATGTTAAATGACAAGTTAATGGTTGCAGCACACCAACATGGCACATGTATACATATGTAACAAACCTGCACGTTGTGCACATGTACCCTAAAACTTAAAGTATAATAAAAAATAATAATAAATAAATCAATAAAATCTAGTCTTTCAAATTTGGCTGTAAGTTCTTGAAGGCAGAAACCATATCATACCTTTCTGGTATGCACAATATATTTTAGCATGTTAACAGAAGCATGTCGAGATTTTGTAAATACCATTCAAATGTTTACAAAGAGAATGAGTGAATTTATTGCACATTTAAAAACAAAAGTACTAAAAACAAAAACAAATTTCTAGGTGCAACACTTTCAAAAATAGGAAGTCTTTGCTTCATTGAATTCTAGGTTTCAGAATCCCTGTCCAATGTCAACCTGATCCTGTTTCTTTGTAAATTTTTCATGACACATTTGGACGTGTTTCTTTAAATTCATTATTATTAGCAAGTAGTCTTTCCTCAGTTCTGGAAAATTTTATTTCTTATTTCTTCAATTATTTTCTTCCATTCATGTAATTTTCTTCTAAAATTTATTTTCAAAAATAAATTTATTTGAGTATTTCTGTCTTAACGGTTTTCCTACTAGTATGTATCACCATTTTCTTTTCCCTTTTTTTTTTTTTTTAGACAAGTCTTGCTCTGTCACCCAGGCTAGAGTGTAGTGGTGCCATCACAGCTCACTACGGCCCAAGCGATCCTCCCACCTCAGTCTCCCCTGTCGTTAGGGCTACAGGCATGCATCACGATGCCCAGCTAAGTTTTATATTTTTTATAGAGACAGAGCCTTGCCATGTTGCCCAGGCTGGTCTTGAAGTCCTGAGCTCAAGCAATCCATCTGCCTTGGCCTCTCAAAGTGCTGGGATTACAGGCATGAGCCACTGTGGCCAGCTCACAATTTTTTTTCAAGTGTGGCAAAATATACATAACAAAATTTACCACTTTACATTAAGTACATTTACATTTTGTACTGTAATTACCATCACCCATCTCCAGAACTGTTTAATCTTTCCAAAATGAAACTTTATATCCACTAAACAGTAATGCCCTATTCCCCCTATCCTGCCAGGCCCTGACAACTACCATTCTACTTTCTGTTTTTATGATTTTGACTACTCAAGTATCTCATATAAGTGAAATCATAAAATAGTTGTACTTTTGTGATAGCTTATTTCACTTACCATAATGCTTTCACAGGTCATGCACATTAAGTGTGTGTCAGAATGTCCTTCCTTTTTAAGGCTGAACACTATTGCATTGTATATAGACACTACATTTTGTTTATCTATTCATCTATCCACAGACACTTGATTTGCTTCCATTTTTGGCTATTATGAGTAACACTACTATGAACATGGTTATGCAAATGCAGATTAATTCCCTGATTTCAATTCTTTTGGGTAAAAACCTAGAAGCAGAATTGCTGGATCTCTATCAGTTTATTGCCATACATTCTGAAAAAGCTCTTCAACAATTATTCCAGCCATCTACTGAAAATTGTTATTTTAGCAATTATATTGAGTTTTTAAATGGCTGATAACTATCACAATCTATCCTATCATGAATAGATTTAAAACAAAAATGAAATTAAGGCATTGTACCAAAACCAAAGCTGAAAGAAATCAGAAGACAGTATTAAAGGTCATAATGAGAAAGTCCTTCAGGCTAAAGGAAAATGACCTCATATGAATCTGTTGTGATTTTTAAAAGATGAAAGAAAAGAAAGGGTAATAAAAAGTTTGAATATATAGAGTAATTATAAGTGGATACACACTATACAAAAACAGTTATACTAATGCCTTGTGGGTTTAAACATACAGGGTATAAAAACACTCAGCAAAAAAATAGCACAAAAGTCAAGATTTGAGTAATTGGTGTTAATGGAATTAAGGGCCCTTTAATTGTTTGTGAAATGACATCCTAATTTATATTGGACTTTGAAAAGACACAGATTCATTATATAATCTCCGATAAAACTACTAAAAGAACATAACTAATCAGTAAAAGGAAAACAGAATGTTTAATGTTAAAAATTCTTAAACAATAAAAGTAAAATAAAGCAAAATAAACATAGAATGGGTGAGAATGTATAAACTAGAATAGTTCAGTAATCATAGTACATAAAAACAAAGTCAATATCTCAAATAAGAAACAAAGGTTGTCATATCAGATTAAAGGAATAATTTCTACTACACTCTGTTTACAAGAGACATACCTGATGTATAAGAATTTAGAGGGCCGGGCACGGTGGTTCACACCTGTAATCCCGGCACTTTGGGAGGCGGAGGCAGGCAGATCACCTGAGGTCAGGATTTCAAGACCAGCCTGGCCAACATGGTGAAACCCTGTCTTACTAAAAATACAAGAATTAGCTGGGCATGGTGGCGGGCGCCTGTAATCCCAGCTACTCAGGAGGCTGAGGCAGGAGAATTGCTTGAACCCGGGAGGCGGAGGTTGCAGTGAGCTGAGATCGTGCCATTGCACTCCAGTATGGGTGACAAGAGTGAAACTCCGTCAAAAAAAAAAAAAAAGAATTTAAAAAAGTAAAAAAGATGTACAATACAAACAATAACATAAAAAGTTTATTTTATCTAAAGTAGACATTACAAAATAAAGCATTAATGAAGATTACCTTTTTTGATGATGAAAAGGTCAATCTTCCAGGAAGTTTTTCTTTTAGTAAATGTGAATTTATCTAACAACATGGCCATAAAACATTGATGCAATCCTTATTTTGCATTGCTTTAATATGCACAAACTTCAGTTACTACAGTTTAGTTAAATAACGCCATTCTCCCAACATGACAGTTCAAATTTCATTTACCATAATGTATTAACTATGAGTAATTACATAAAGTACAGACTTTGCTACTATAGCTGTTTAGTCCACAAATCACTGCTTAAATAGCTGCACATCATAATCCGTGCAAAACACATCGCTTCTTTGAAGGCCTGTTGACAATTGGTTGCTGCGTATCTAATTTTCAGTTTATGCACACAAAGCAGTGTGCAGTTGCATCATCTCCTTGTCCTCCAGTGATAAACCTATGTGACATTTTATAAAAATAGATAACTGAAGGAAAGAATTGGCCCACAAAGATGAAGGTACAGCAAAGAAATAAGAAGTGATAAGACTGGAAGTAAAATTTGAACAGACAGTAAATGGAGTTATAGAAGAAATGACCAACTGTGGGAATGTGGGCACTGCTTCTGTTTGAGTCTAGATATTCAGCCACAGCACCTTAGTGAATGCCAACTTATGAATAGAGTGAGGAAAGTGGTCATGATGAAAGGAATGAAGACATCCCCAAGAAGTAATATTGACAACAAAAATTCACATTAATGGAACCCTCAGAAATATTTCACAGAATTTATGATGAAGGTGTCATAGTAACAACATATATTGGGTTGTTTTTCAACTTACATTGGGTGGTAAAATTCAATAAATGGTTCTGGGTGGCTTGGATCGTCATATGGGAAAATAATTTTGAACCCTACCTCAACTATACCCCAAAATGAATTCCAAATAGGACATACATTTAAATATGAAGAGTAAAAATAAAGTTTATAGAAGATAAAATGGGAGGATACCTTTCTATATTTAACATAAGCAAAATCTTTTTAAATAACAACTTTTAAGCTTGTACATAATCACACTAACCTTAAAGAAAAGATTATAAGGTACATTCCCCTGAAACTGGAAATGGTGCTCTCCAAAAGCACCATTGAAGACAATGAAAACACATGCCACGGGATGAAAGAAAACATTTGTAATATGTATAATCAAAAATTGGCTTATTCGAAAGACAAAAAAACAAAAAGCCACCAATTTTTAAGAAAATGACACCACCATAGAAAGATGGGTAAAATATTTTAACAGGAGCCTCACACAAGAATATATCCAAATAGAGAAGTCAAATGAAAAGATGCTCAACTTCATTAGTCTTTAAAGAAATGCAAATTAAAATTATACTAAGATATCACTAAGTGCAGCTCGGGGTAGATAAAATGAAAAAGATTTAGCAATACTAATGTTAACAAAGATATGGGCTAACTAGAAATCTCAAATCCTCCTGGTAGGAGGATAAATTTTAAAAGCATTTTGGAAACTTGTTTGGTAGTTTATACTAAGTTGAAGATATTCAGTCCCTAAACCCAACAATCCTAGTACAATGACCCAAAAGATATGCATGCATCCATGCACAAAAACATATTTACAGTAATATGAATAGTAGCATTGTTTATGATAGCTGATTACTGAAAACTGTAAAAATCCATTACTGGAAACAATTGAAATGCCTGTCAACAGTAGGATAGATAAATAAATTGTTATATATCAATCTCTAGGCTACTACACAGCAAGAAAAATGAATAAACTTTTACTACATAAAACATGATGAGGAAAAAATTACAACCTAATAAAAAAATCATATTGTGTGATTTTCTTCAAGTTTGAAATCAGGGGAAGTCTGGAATGGAGTTAGGGTTTGTTACTGAAGGACAGCGCAAGAGCTATTTCTAGGGTATTGTAATTATTATTACTATTATTTTACCTGGGTGGTGATTACATGAATATATTCACTTTGTGATAATTTTGAGTTATATACTTACGATCAGTGTACTCTTCTGTGTTTGTGTTACATTCAAGATAGTATTCACTGGCAGGTTAAACTCATCTCTTCAAGTCTCCAATCTATTGGAATGAAGTTTCACGAGAAAATTATAAAACTCATAAGGATAGTAAAAATTTAAAAAAATTTTAAACAAATTTTAAATTTATGTTAAAGACAAGTTTAATATAAATCAGCATTAGATGCATAGACCTATATAATCTTTATTATATTATTCTGTTGTCTACTTATATTACCTCTTCTATTAGCACTGCTTTTATAAATTTTTTTTTTCCTTTCTTTACTCGAGAGATTCTTATTAAAACTGGAAGGTAAATATGAGTTTATTTCCATCTAAAATATGACTTAGAACACAAGTTCTCTTCTAGTTCTCTATGTTATTCATGTTAAGAATACATCGATTTGCCTGTAATCCCAGCACTTTGGGAGGCCGGGGCAGGCGGATCACGAGGTCGGCAGATCGAGACCATCCTGGCTAACACGGTGAAACCCTGTCTCCACTAAAAAATACAAAAAAATTAGCCTGGCGTGGTGGCGGGCGCTGGTAGTCCCAGCTACTTCGGAGGCTGAGGCCGGAGAATGGCATGAACCCAGGAGGCGGTGAGCGGAGATGGCGCCACTGCACTCCAGCCTGGGCAACACAGCGAGACTCTGTCTCAAAAAAAAAAAAAAAAGAATACATCGATTTGAGTTGCTTCCTAGTGCTTATCGAATGTGGTCTTGCCATTTAAACTAGATTATAATAGCAACACTGCTTTTTATTTTCCTACTTCTGAACATTTGCAGAGTTCCTTTCTGTTCAGGACCTTCACCCTAAACATGTACTCTCCTCTGCCTGGAATGTTCCCTTCTCCCTCTCTACCTAGCTGGGTGCTCATCAGCTTGCAGGTATCAATTTTTGCTGCCTGCTCCTCTGTAATACTCCTATGTACTTGTCTAAATATTCATAAAATTAGAAATAAGTTCTATTAATAATCATAACACATATAGAAGCAAGCAAATTGCCTTGCTCCTAGTAGATGCTCAAATATTTATTGAATACATGAATGTTAAGGAAGGTCATCAATTAGGACAGTGTTTACATATAAGTAATAAAAATGAATTGTGGCTTAAACAGTTTACTCTTATCGCATAAAAATGTCTGGGGTTAGGCAATGCTGTACACGGTTTGATGGTGCAGTAGGGCTCTCAAGGGTGTAGGTTTCCACCATTTTGCCTCTCTGCCATCCTTAGCCTTATAGACTTTATTCCTCATGTGTCTCCCTTCACGTAATTTTTCAAGATATTTTCCACAAACTCACACATCATGCTATTTCCAAGCATGGATGATGACTGTATATAACCAGAAAAAATTATTTTTCTAGAAACTCCCAGAAAATATCATTGTCCAGAACTGGGTCATATTATCACCCCTGGGTACAGAAGAAAAAGAAATGAGAAAGTCAGTATCTCACTCTTCCATATTGTATATTGTGGGAGATGGACAAAGGAAATTAAAAGTGGGAATACCTTTTGAGTAAACCCACAATCCTGGTCTTCTACAAAGTCCAAAAATGTAGATTTCCATATATCAATGTGGATGAATAGTAGAGTTCAGTGAGTACATATCAATGAGTTGATGGATTTTCAGCACTTCAATAAACATACATTCAAAACATCATCAAACCTACTAACATTCCTTAAAGGCAAGCACACCATTGGACACATTCCAACCCATTTCATGTCATTACATGACTATGTCTGAAATGGTGAGCCGTGAAGAAGGGATAACAATTCTCTGTGAAAATAAAAGTTAAAAAAAAAAAGAAATAAAGCAGAGTATATCAAACATATCCCATGATTTCTGCCTGGCATTCATCCACTTTGATAATTCTTTTTCTCTCTGATGTAGATATCATTCTTTTTTTAAATCAGCACAGGCAAACTGAGCTATCAGATATTAGATAACAACTATAATTTTAAATAATCTCATAGTTCACAACTTCAAAATGTAATATTATGACAGAATCAAATTAATCTCTAGTTTTTTAAATAATGAAGCAGTTCATTTTTATGTATGTCTATTGCTGCACACATACTACTCTTTAATTTTGATAATATTCAGATTTCAAAAGTGTAGTCTTAAATAGTTATGTCCATCACTCTGGAATTCAAGGTTAGACAAATTATTAAATAATTTGAGAGATTTCTGAATATTATGCCACAGGAATCCAATATGATTTTCTTGACATTGAAAGACCTCTGCTTAGAATCACTGTGAGTACTAATGCATTAGTTTAATAATTCAAAGTTACACTACTGAATGACTCACTAATTTCAGCCTTGTCATCATCACTCTCCCATAAAAACGAAGTATCAGAAAAAATCAAGGATTTATATGGAATAAATTTGCTGCCTAGATAGTTCTAGATTGTTAATGAGCAGTGACCCTGCCTACCTTAATAGATATAATTAGTTTTTCAAAACACAAACAGTAAATTTAAAAATGAAGAAAATACATTTTCCAACTTTGGCTATTTATTACACATTTATTGAGAAAAAAAGCAACAGACTATACAGTTAATGAAGAAACAAATCCCTAATTCCACCAGTGGTAGGCCATATGCCAGATAGGTTTTTGTCACAATCCTACAGCAATGTGGTTTTCCAGAGCTATTTTCTAGTTCTGAAACTGTGTATGTATGTGTGTTAAGGTCATACTGTATACTAAATTGCTTTTTCTATCTATATGAATACATATCATGGTATATTTCTGAAAGTTATTTAATGAATGTATTATATAGTTGTTATATAATTTATTTTATTTCCTGTGATTCATTTTCAAAATCAAATGACTTTAAACTATGTTGAATAACATTACCAAATTGCAGGCCAAGAAGTCTTTACCAAAATATGCTCCCACTGAGTGGCAACCATTTTATGGGCTGTTCCTTTTAATTCCCAAATTCCATTTGAAAAAAATAGGCACACAATTGATGATATAATTTTGATATAATGGAATTTAGGTATGCCTAAAGATTTACACCTAGGTTAGTGACTTTTAATAAGCTTTATTAAGTCAGGGAACCTGAGTGTATACCACTATGCATTTCACAATCTAAAATAGTGCAAGGCAGGTAGTGAACATTTAATACATATTTACGAATAAATAATTAAATGGATAAATGTTTTTCTTCTAATTGCTTATTTATATTCTAAGCCCACTTTGCTCTTTTGAGATATTTATCATTGCTTTTTATTTTTGAAATAAAATATATTGTTATGTATTTCCAATCTATCCCCTTTTTATATGTGTTATAAATATTATTCACAGACTAATTGAGTTTTATATTGTTCACTTAACTTAATTCTAAGTTAGCATAAAATTTTCTAAGATTAAAAGTAACAATATAATCACATACACAAAAACACGTTTGTTAGCGTTTGTATAACTTTAGTTTAGTAAAGGGCTGACCCAAAGACAGACACAATGAAAGAACATATTACTTGTTGTGACTATATAAAAACAATGGGCAAAAAAACTCCACCACAAACATGAGAAAACATTTCAAAAGCAACGGCAAACAGAATAATATATTTTGAATACATGTAAAGAAGATAATGTTCGCAGATTTCATATACATGTATTTCTTGATTTTTTTTTTTTTTAAAGAATAACCAGGCCAGGCGCGGTGGCTCATGCTTGTAATCCCAGCACTTTGGGAGGCCAAGGCGGGCGGATCACGAGGTCAGGAGATCGAGACCATCCTGGCTAACACGGTGAAACCCCGTCTCTACTAAAAATACAAAAAAATTGGCCAGGCGTGGTAGCGTGTGCCTGTAGTCCCAGCTACTTGGGAGGCTGAGATGAGAGAATGGTGTGAACCCGGGAGGCACAGTTTGCGGTGAGCCGAGATGGTGCACTCCAGCCCGGGTGATAGAGCGAGACTCTGTCTCAAAAAAAAAAAAAAAATAACCAACCACTTAACAAAAAGAGCATAGGATGAAAGAAGGACTTAGCAAAAGATTTAATGGCCAATGAATTAGAAGGTTTACTAATAAGTTAATGGGTGGGGTGCAAGTAAAATAGAGGTGCGATAAGTTCACTCCCAACAATGTTTCTCATCGCCAAAGTCTAAAAGTGTTTCAAAATTACTGTGGGTGTGGAGAAATAAAATGAACACAGTCATTCCCTATTTTGGAAGAAAAAGGCAGGAAGACCAAAGTTGCTGATCAACTTATTTTAAATATGTAGCCCAGAGGTGGCAGTACTTGTGATATGTAGATGAGTAATTTGCCTTCACAACAACCTCACACAAAGCTAGAGAAGTGCACGTCTTGCATGAGAGTGAGGGGAAACGAAAGAACAAACATGAAACATATAATTCACACATGAGGATAGATAAGAAAACTTTTGAGTTCTTCCTACAGGTATGAATCGGAGATATGAATTGGGTTTCTTCTACTAAGCATCCGGCTTTTAACTATTAGATCATTAACACAGTTCCTAAGGACAAATAATAATTCTCAAAAGAAGTACAGACATCCCACAGATGAAAGAAAACATTTTCCTAATTAAGCAGTGGTTTGCAAGGCCATTCTGCCCACAGGAGAGAGAGTACTACACTACTTACTACACACAGAGCTCTAGTTTCTACTCCCCTGATAGACAAAATAGGAAACTGTTGTTTCTCTTGATAACTGCTCCCTTAGCTATCCAAACTGTAGAAGCTTGGAAATTACAATTTGCACGGGACTAATTAAGCTTTAAATACATCATCATCTGCCTCTGGAGCAGTGGCTCTGAGTTTTAGCTGCACGTTAGAATTCACCTGGGCAGCTTTTGAAAACTAGAATGTCTAGGACCCTTCTCAGACAATTGTATCAGAATCTCTGGGAGATAGAAGAGGGAGGCATCCAAGTTTTTTGTTTGTTTAGCTCAGCAGGTAATAATGATGCAAGATAGATGTAAAAAATATTTCTATATAGGAAAGGGAACCTGTAATGTTCTTAAAGATTATCTACCAATTTATTTATCTACCTATATTTATCTATCATCAATTTCTTTTTGCTATCTAAACAATAGCAAAGCATACTCATCACTTTCATAAGAAGATTGCGGTTGCCTTTCACTTCTTTTCAATCTCTCTCCTATTTCAATCAGGATCCTGTTGATGCTGTCTAGCCAAAAACCGCCTGTATTTGAACAAAGTTAGTTTTATGGATTCTTTGAAATAGGAAAATATACCATGAGAAGCTATGAAGCGTCTCAATAAGGTATTAGAAAGGACTTATTATAGGATATTGTCTTACATCAGGATTTTGAAGAGTTTTTTAAGGAAGCATGGCATTGTTCTAGGTCAGATGCTATTAGCAAGTCAGGGTTGGTTCTACAATAGAGTAGCTGAATGAATCTTATCAACGAGGCAGGAGCAACGAGGCAGGGCAAAGCTGTGATGAGCAGAGAAGCAGCATATTGTCCAGGAAATAGGGATGTGGGCCATTTTTTTGTAAACTGGACAGTATTCTTTTTATGATATTTGATCACACAGAATTATGGATGGTCTTGTTTCTGTCTAGCTTCGCTTATGGTTACAGAGTGACCTTGTTTGATGTTGGTTCTCTGTGAAATTGTTTATGCTCAACAGAAGGACACTACAACCTAGTGGTAAGTTCCAGGCCAGCTCCCACCTTCAGGGGAGCTCCCACTGATGATCTCATCTTTCCTCACTCCCTCAATCTCAGTATTCCAGTAATACTGACACACTTGCTGGCCACTCACCATGGAAAGTGTTTTTTTCTCTCATGGCTTCTGTCCTTGTTACCTCTCGTGTGTGGGACGTTACTCCATCATACCTTTACATTACTACCTACTCCCCACTTGATTGCAAGTCGAATATCCCTTCTTCGGAGACACCTTTTCTCACTATCTTAATAAAAGCAGCCCGAACCCCAACCATCTCTATCTCAATTACTCAGTTTATCTTCTGCAGTGCTCTTAATTCAGACTGCAGCTTTGACAACAGCCCGTAAGTATTGATGTATAATAGTAAATTATCATTGTTTCTAAATTATCTTAATATAATAGATTTCCTCTAATTCAAGAGTTATTTCAGATTGTCTTAGCAAGAATTACCAACATTAGCCCCATTGAATCTTCTTGACTCTGACCACTTGCCCAGTGTGCAACCAGAGATGATACAATATTCTGATGAGTTTAAGCCTGGACCACAAGGACTCTAAAGGCCACCTCCGCTCATGCACCTTACTCCCCCTGGCTGAGGAGATAGTAATTCTACTGAACTATATGAAGGAAGAATGGTAAAATGATGGAGATACCAAACAATTATTAGAGAATGACTGGTGGAATATTTTTAGTTAAAAGTATTGAGATTTGTTGAGTTTTACATTTACAAAACATGCTTTTCAAATATGACACAAATTAAACATAAGTGATGTTTTCACATTGGCAAGATGACTGACATAAAGCTGGCACTATGATTCATTAGTTAACTGTTGTGCAGGTATACTTTTACACGTCAATGAAATTCGATCTATGCAAGTTTAGGAATTGTTTTTCTGCCTGTTTTGCAAACTCTCACACTCATACTATTTACACACTGCTGTAGACCTTTGTACATCTGATTGCCATTTGCCATTTCCTCCTCTCCTTTATGTCTTAAAATAAGCCCTGGATATAAATAAAATCATACATCATAGATTCTCAATTGCTTTCCTAGTATGAGCCCCTCAGCAATGTACAAATTCTAAATTCTAAATAAGTGGGCATTTTTAGGTCAGGACAAAAGAATTCACAATAAAAAGGCAAACATAATGAACAACAAAAATTTCGAGTCAAATATTTAAATGTTTATCTCCTCAAAAACAATTTTTCTCTTCCAGACTCTAATCTCTCTCTCTCTCTCTGTCTCTCTCAGACACACACACACACACACACACACACACACACACACACACTCTCTCTCTCTCTCTCCCTTCATAAGGTATCAGGGTATTTCTGCATTTTCACAAGCAAAAACACATGCATAGTCTCTTTATGAGCTTGTTTGATATTTTGTTAGTAAATAATCCTGGACACAGAAAATCTAACCCGATCAAGTCTGACATTTACTTTATTAGTCTCAAGATGATATCTCTTTTCTTATCTTCTTTACATGCCCAAATATGCCAAAACCCATCTTTTTTGTTTCCTAAACTCTTGCTGATATTCATCATACATTATTAAACAGAAGAATCGTATTTTTGTAACAGAAAAAATATCCTTTCTGAGGTTGGAAAGAACAGAAGAGAAACTAATCATCCCCCATAATTGATGTATTCACTGGATGTCTTGATGTTGATAGTATGGAGTCAAAACAACAAGGAGGTGTTGGTACATAGATGTGACTGCCTCTATAGAGAAAGTACAGATTAATGGGAAATGGCTAAAAGCCCAGGTTCTAGGACCAGATGCCAATGTTTGAACCCAGTCCCCACCATTAACAAATTATGTTCCCTGATCTGTAAAACTGCAATGAAAACATTACCTATTGCATAGGGTTAACATATGGATTAAATAAATGTATATGTATACAAACATTTTGAATTTTTACTCAATATATCCTGGTCATATTATCACCAGTTGTTTATCATTGTGGCAGAAGGATGTGTGGAGTATTACATATTTTCACATATTTAACTCTGGGATCTGCCCTCATTTGACATGAGCTGTGAATTGGCCCTATATTGGGCAGTTATCAAGCAAATGCTTAGCTTTCAAATTTTAGAATTTCAGCCCAAATGCAATACAGAAAAACTTTGTTTGTTTCCTATAACTTAATCACATTCTAGGTAAATAGACCTGTGGAGCTTTTCTTCTGATATAGGCTAGAAACTTGTGTGAAGGGTAATTGAGTGCAGACATTAATTTCAGAGAGTATAAACTCTTCCACTCTATCCCACTCCCACTTAAATATCTGGGGAGAGAAGAGTAACCCAAGAGAGCTTGGAGATCCTGCACCTATGGACTGCAACTCAAGGAGCATCCAGCATGGACACTCACGGTCTAAGCACGGCTGCATAAGGTATCCAGGCAAAGTGATCTGAGAGCATCCCCTCTACCCCAGGATCCCCCAAAGAGGCATGCATTTTAAACGAATGACAGAATGTCAAGAGACCTTTGTCATTTCAAGAGTAGAAAAAGAGAACACCAGGAAATAGAATTTGACATCGAATTTGACCTTGAAATAGAATGAAGAGATGGTCACATTTTAATGTACACCATCAGGGCGTTCATTTAATGAACACATCAGGGCGGGAGAAACTACTCTAGAATGAAAATGATAATTTCTCTAAAAATTGCTGCAGGATGACCATGCCTAAAGATAAAACAGGATGAGTCACATTTCAACAAAAGGCAGAGTAATTCACTTTGAAGAAGAAAGATTTATTCAATGTAATCCCAGCCAGGAAATAAATTACATGTCCATCACTGCTGAAAGGATAAACAAACTGTGGTTTATCTAAACAAGGAAGCATTACTCAGCAATAAAAAGGAAAGAACAATTGTGCATACAACATGTGAATGCATCTCTCCAGTGGCCATATAAGCCTGAGTATCTCCATATCTTACAGCATAGAGATGTCTATAAGTCTCCAGGCCTCCTTTTTCTTTGAAATGTCAGCACATAGCTCCAGAGTTAGGTAAATTCCTCTGGTGCTCTCACACTATCTGTATAGCTAAATATTAATTTCCCAAGCCTTTCTTCTAGCCAAGGATTCCATGTTTTTAGAAAAATTTACTCAGTAAGTACAATATTTACATAAATAAAAATATATGTTCTCTAGACTCCACAAAACTGTAGCCCATTATCCCACATGAACATAGACGCAAAACTCTTTGCGAAAATATTTCAAAATAAAATCTAGCAATATATAAAAAGGATAACAGACAATGACCAAGAAAAGTTTATCTGAGGAATGCAAGGCTGGTTGAATATACAAAAACCAATCAATGTAATCCACTATATTACTACATTAAAGAAGAAAAACTACATGATTATCTCAATTATTTCAGAAAAAGCAGTTGACAAAACTCAACATCCATTCATGATTAAAACTCTGAGCAGATCAGGAATAGAAAGTATCTTCCTCAACATGATAAGGAGTATCTCTAACAAATCGACAGCTGCTATCACATTTAATAGTGAAAGAGTTAATGCTTCACTCCTAAAATTGAGAATAAGGGAAGGGTGTCTCACCACAAGTACTGAACACAATATTGGAAGTCTTAGCCAGTGCAATAAGGCAACGAAAACAAAGCCATTAAAAAGTACACAGATTAGAAAAGAAGAGATAAAATAATCCCTATTCACAGATGACATGATTTTGGACATAGCCAATCCAAAGAAATATATAAGAACAATTATACTTAATAAATAAATTTTGTAAGAGCATAGACTATAAGGTCAATTCTTAAAAATGTATATACTAACAATGAACAGTTACAAAGTGAAATTTAAAACAAGTACAGTAGCCCCTCCCCAAAAATAAATATGTAGATATAAACCAAACAAAACCTGTAGTTTCTATCTGCTCAAGACTACAGAATGTTTATTAATCTAGGTATACCTCAAAAAATAAGAGACATACCCTACTTAAAATAAGAGTCAATAAGTAGAGATGTAAATTCTCCTTAAATTTGTCTATACACTTGATGCAATCCCAATAAAAATTCCAGCAGAAGTTTTGTAGATACTGACAAGCTGATCTGATAATTTACATAGAAAGGCAAAGGACTTGGAAGAGACAAAATCATTTTGAAAAAGAAAAATAAAAGTTGGAGTAAGCACACACTATCTGATTTTAAGATTTACAAAAAAGTTGCAATAATCAAAGACGTATGGAAGTGTCAAAAAATATAGATGCAAAGATCCATGATACAGTATACAGACTGATATGCTTAGGCTTTGGGTCCCCACCAAAAGTTCATCTTGAATTGTAATCCCATAATCCCCATAATCACCACGTGTCTTGGGAGAGACCAGGTGGAGGTAATTGAGTTATGGGGACAGTTTCCCCCATTCTGTTCTTGTGACAGTGAGTGAGTTCTCATGAGATCTGATTTTTATTTTTTTTTAGACGAAGTCTCGCTCTGTTGCCCAGGGTGGACTAGAGTGGTGCGATAGCTCACTGCAACTTCCACCTCCCTAGTTCAAGCAATTTTCCTGCCTCAGCCTCCCAAGTAGCTGGGATTACAGGCGCATCGACATGCCCGGCTACTTTTTTATATTTTTAGTAGAGACGGGGTTTCACCATGTTGGCCAGACTGGTCTTGAACTGCTGACCTCAGGCAATCCGCCCGCCTCGGACTCCCAAAGTGCTGGGATTACAGGCGTGAGCCACCACACCCAGCCAAGATCTGATGGTTTTAATAAAGGGCTATTCCTCATTCACTCTGCACTTCTCCTTCCTGTCACCTTGTGAAAAAGATGCCTTGTTTCTTCTTCACCTTCTGCCATGATTGTAAGTTTCCTCAGGCCTTCCCAGCCACACTCAACTGTGAATCAATTAAACCACTTTCCTTCATAAATTACCCAGTCTTGGGCAGTTCTTTACAGCAGTATGAAAATGAACTAATACACAAAGTCTGAAGTAAAAGCACATAAAAATTTCAGTTTATTTTGGACAAGATCAAAGGCAATTCAATGGAGAAAGCCCCTAATCTTCTCAATAAAGATTGATAAGATAATTGAACATTCATATGCCAAAAAAAGTATTTTGAACTAAATCTAATACCTCGTACACAATTTAATTAAAAATGAATCCCAGATCTAAATGTAAAATGTCAACTATTAAACTTTTAGAATAATACACACGAGAAAATACGCATCACCTGAGTTTAGGCAAAAATTATTAGATATAGCACTAAGAGCATAATCCATAGAATAAAAACAAGTTAATTGGACATTGCCGAAATATAAGCTTTAGCTCTGCAAAAGACACTGTTAAGAAACTGAAAAGATAAGACAATAATTGATAGAAAACATTTGCAAATTGCACATCTGTCAGAGAATTTGTATCCAGGACATATTAAGAACTCTATACATAATTGCTTAAAACAAGATGTAATCCAAATGTCCGTCAGTAGATATATGTGTAAACAAACTGTGATACATCCATACAATGACATACTACTCAGTATCTAAAAGGAACAAACTATTGACACACAACTTGGATCTCAAATGAGTTGATCTGAGCATAAGAAGCCAGTCTTGAAAAGCCATACACTGTATGATTCCACTTAAATAAGGTTCTAAAAAGCACAAAACCATAGTTATTGAATACAGATTATTAGTTCTTAAAGTTAGGGATGGTAGAAGGATGTGAATACAGAAGGATACCTTGAGAGATGGTTTTTCTAGGGTGATGTAACTGTTCTGTTTCCTGATTGTAGTGTTGCTTACACAAATCTATTCATGTACATTTTTATGCATTTAGCATAGTCAAAAAAAAGTTCATTTAAAATATTCTTACTCCTCTTAAGACAGTTTTCAAGACATTACTGACTCATGCCTTTAATGTCAATGCCTTGTGATTTCCCTCATATTTCTGCCCCTTTAAATATATTTTCAATGTATCAATTTATTCATAACATTATTAAATATTCATTTTGTGACAAGCACTTTTCTAGATTCTTGGTGATATGAACAAAGTAATGATATCTTTGGGCATGTTTTTTCCTGTTGGTAATTTGGAAGATCATCTTTATCACTTTGGCCTCTGGCAGCAATTCAAAACTCTTAGCTGTTTTTCTCTCTCTTTGACAATTTTTCTTCAAGACATTTAACCAGTTGACTGACATACTGGCAACAAATAAATTTGTATGTGCCTTTCTTCCATGCATTCCATCTTTCCCAAGTAATTTATGACTCCCTCTAACTTTATCTAAATTCATCTCAGTAGTTATTGGCAACCACTGGTTTCAGGAACTAACTGGGTTTAAAATTTTTCCACACTGTTGGAAAGTGAATAAACATTAACCCATGAAATGGAAAAGTCACAACTATATAATAAAAGGTCAAGTTTTTGTTATTATGAGTATTTATTATTGAAACAGAGATAAATTTTAAAAGGTCATGGAAGAGGAAATCTTTTCTTCTTTCTTTCTTTTACTTTTTTTTTTTTTTTTTTTTTTGAGACAGGGTCTCATTCTGTCACACAGTCTGGAGTGCAATGGCATGATCATGGTCATGGCTCACTGAAGCCTCAACCTTCCAAGCTCAATTGATCCAGCTCAACCTCCCCAGCAGCTGGGACTACAGGAGCAAACCACCACGCCTGCCTAATTTTTTGATTTCCTGTAGAGATGAGGGCTTACTGTGTTGCTCAGGCTGGTCTGAAACTCCTGGGATCAAGAGATCCTCACGTCTTGGCCTCCAAAACTGCTGGTATTACAGACATGAGCCACTGTGCCCAGACTAATCCTTGTTTCTAAATGTCCATGGGCTCTACTGAAGAATAGGATCTCCTTTTGTTTCCAACCATATTAACTAATATTTTATGACATTTAAAGAATTAATGTTCCTTTACTTAGGTGGGTCAACAGTACTGTGAGTTTTTATAAATGCTTTATCACTAAGATATACTACTAAAATCTTTACTGATGAAATACAATAATGTTTGAAATTTGCTTCAAAATGATTTGTGAAGAGGAGAGAAGTTTCAAAGAGTATAGATCAAACAGGAGTGGGAATGAGTTGATCATTTAATCTTGGGAGATGGCATGTAAGATTCATAATACCACTTGAAATCATAATACCCAATTTTGTATACAGTTTGTATTATCTATAATAAAAAAGTTTTAAAAAGAAATAAAGGAAAAAGTTAAAACTTTTCTTCTGTAAGAAAGCTTCTCTCACACCATATCAGTTACATTCAGCTTGCCAAAATAGACACAAATTTAATTCAGCTCAACAAATACTTCATGTATGGTGTTTTGCAGCCACTAAAGAGTTCTTGCTGGGAGGAAGGAGACACAAATAGCCTAGATATCGAATTGTATTTCATCTAGAGATAATCAACAGTTTAGACATACAGTATTTGAAGGAAAGTGTGTCTTTACTGCTACCATCCCTAAATCAAGCCTGTACAAAGGCTGGTCTACTATTTGGTCCTTCTCACACCAAAGTCAACTCATAGGGAGAAAAGAGATTTCCTCACCCACCAAGTGTCAGAAGGTACTGACCTGCTAGTGGACATAGGTCTCTAAACAGACTATTGTTCCCAGAACGATTGCTGGTCCTCATAGCATGGCTTAATCTTCACAGGATATGTCTCTACAGTATCCAGCTAAGCCACAGGTACATGATCACAAGGAGTATCCAAAAGTATAAGAATAAGGTGATGTAATAGGAGAGAAATACACAAAAATTTTTGAGCTATGACTGCTTGATTTGAGTTCTAGGGGTAAATAAAAAATCACAGTCACTTGGGTTTCTTTAGATAACCTATGGAACCTCCCTATAAAGTACTTCACAGTATAGCATTTGGTAAATGACTTCTGCAAGACAAATCTTGAAACACTTCTTTTAAGCCTTAGCATACATGCAATAGCATTCCCTCCCTCAGTGTTCTTCCACTTAGCTGCAGCTTTAGCATTAATTGAAAGATGTTCTGCCTGATGTTTTAAACATAAAATTATTTAATTCATATAAAAGTAAATAAAACAAGCACAAAGTCACTTCTGATGTTTTCATCTTTAGCTTTATATTTTGAGCCCAAAGCTTCTGATTTCTATATCTGAAGACATTTTGTTGGCATAATTCCTTCTGAAATGGAATTCTGTGTCTTCCTAACTCCTTAAGTATTTATTGGGCAGTTCCTTTGTGTTGGGATCTGTTTTACGTCTTGTAAACAAAGCAGATGAGCCTCTGCCCTCATAGAGCATATATCATAATTTAAATAATTGCAGACTAGCGTAAGTAGGAGAGAAGCAGAGTAATGTGACAGAGAAAAGTGTGTGTGTGTGTGTGTGTGTGTGTGTGTATACAAGAAGGGAGAATACCAACCTTTTAAAAAGGGCTTTGAGGGAAACCCTCTCCAAAAGATGATGCTTTACCAAGACTCGAAGTGTGAGAAGCCAGCCATGAGCAGCACTAGAGGACAAACCCTCTAGATAGAGAAAACAGCATGCTCCAATGTCCTAAGACAGTAAAGAGCTGCATTGTTCAAGAATCAGAAATAAAGCCTTGTGTGGAAGGAGCTTAGTGACAATGGGGGACAGCCACAACAGGCCAGATCACAATGGCCGTGTCGGCTATAGCAGTGAATATGGATTTTATCTTTTGTGCTAAGGAGAGCTCTCAAAGGTCTTTAAGCAGGGCTGTGAGGTCATATAGTTAAGGTTATATAAGATCACTCTGGCAGTGTCATGCAGAAGGCATTACAGAGGGGCCACAGTGGATGCAGCAACACCAGTATGAAGCTATCCAAGAAGAAAGAGGAGAGGGAATTTGATTAGGTGGGCACCAGACACAACAGAGAGGCTGCAACTTAAAGATATACTTTAGATAGGGACAAGATTGCTGATTCATTGAATATGAGGAATGAAGAACTGGGAGGTATCAAAGATAAATTTTAGGTTTCTGAATATGTCAAATAGTAATGCCATTACTAAAATGATAAGGGCATGGCAAGGTTTCAGGGAAAGGGACATCAAGGCTTACTAATCAATAAACGTATGCAACTGGATATATTAATGGGATAGCTGTATATATACTTACATGTTATTGAGGTGAATCCAGGCGTAAAAATACAAAATAGTTGATCTTTAGCATTCAAACAATTTTAAAAGTTATAGAAATGAATGCTGTCACTTCAAGAAATAGTAGAGCTAGAAAAAACAATTATACAGAGAAAATTAATACAGGAAGAAGACTCAGGAAAGAGACTGAGAAGGTGACACCAAAGAGGTGGGAGGAAAGTGATGTCATGAAAACCAAAAGGAAAGGGGTTCAGTTCGGGTCCAGAGAGTCATGTATTGCTTCATTTTTACTCGACCAACAATGTCCTTATATAACACATAGTTCACACAGAGTAACATGAATTTTTGTCTTAGTCACTCTTCTAAATCTCATTCAAAAGATTTTTATTTGACCTAGAAATACATTTTATGTCCACTGTCATTCTCCTTAACACCATGCTATTGGAATTCTCTGCTAGTTTGAGCTAGCCTCACCATCTTCCTTTACACTCCATAATTTCACAGCTTTTTCTTTCTTTCTTTTGGAGACAGGGTATCATTCTGTCACCCATGCTGGAGTGCAGTGGTCCAGTCATAGCTCACTGCAACCCCAAACTCCTGTGCTCAAGCGATTCTCCTGCCTCAGCCTCCTGAAAAAAAAAAATGGACTACAAACATGCACCACCAACCATAGCTTTTTTTTTTATTAGTTTTTTGTTTGTTTGTTTGTTTGTTTTTTTGTAGAGATGGAGTCTCACTGTATTGCCCAGGCTAGCTTTTTCTTATTTTTGTTCTTCTACTTGAAATTTCACTTCTACAACTTTTTAAACTTGGTTACGTCTCTTCACCCTTTAATAAATAACTCATTGACAAATTAGGACCCTTGCCTTTTAAAAAAAACTGCTCAAAATGTTTTTAAAAAGAGTAAATATCTCCAATGAGCTTGGATCTCATGGCCCTATGACTTTGTGTAATTTGGACACTGTCATTAAGGTACCAGCATTGCAGAGCTCCTGTGCTGGGAGCGCATACAGATCAGCATCCACATCTCTGTATTTCTTTCCAATACACCAGTGCATCTTTCGTTAACTACCAATCCCATTACATTAGTAATCAACAGCCCAACAGCCTAACCTTGAATACTCCTCTCAATACTGAACCCCACCTACATCCCTCCCTCTTGTACCCAGATCATTACTAGTCACATTACTAGTCACATACGCTATCAGTGTCACATCCAGATCTTGTTCTTACCCACTCTCTAGGAGTGTGTGCTTCCACTCTCTCAAAATTTGCCTCCTGCACTCTGTTTCCTCGCCTATGAACAGGGGCATTGGGCTGGATGATTTCTGAGGTCCCTTCCAGCTCTGACATTCTGTGTGTAATTAGATCACTGCACTGTGACCTGTCTATAAATACAGCAGGAGTTCAGAGAGGGTTAGAGTAATTGAAGAAAGTTTCCTAGAGGAAATGTGGAGATTGAATAGGGTCTTGAGTAATGGGAAGAATTTAAACTGGCAAAAAGATTGTCCCATGTTGGAGAAACTGCATGACTCAAAGCAAGAAGGGGGCAAGAAAAGATATGTGCAGAGTGACTGATGAGAGATAAACCTGACTGCCATAGCATTGTGTGGATTGCTGGATAGTGAGAAATGAACCTGAATCAAAAGCAAATAATAATAAATAGAAAATAAACAAGCACCTGAAGGTGACTGAAATGAAATCTGAGTTCAGTAATGGCAACAATATTCTGCCCTATACTTTAAAAAAAGTGTTTGGAGGCTAAAGGAAAGTCCAAATTGGGGGATTTAAAATGAATTTGTAACTCTACTATAAACTCATTTTATGGCAGTGAAGAATCACTTTAGTGGGTTTCAATATACCTAACTATGAAGTAAAGATAAAACAATTTATATGATTTGTTTTGGGGGCTTGACCCATACCTAGGGGATGATCCTTAGCTGGTGGTGTTATGCCAGCAAAAATACAAAAGTGGCACTATCTTTCAATCATCATCATTCTTATGCTAAAGAACTTGGAAACGAGGAGGTTTCCTTGCTGAAATCTTCCTTGTTTAAATCAGTTTAAATCTTTATCTAGACCTGTTAATAGGTAGGAAGAAACAGAGGAAGGAAGGAGAGAGGGAAAGAGAGAGGGAAGTCAGAAGGGAGGAAAGAAAAATGAGGAAAAGGAAGGGACAGGAAAGAAAGGGAGGGGAAAAGGAGGGGAGAAAAAGAAAAAGGAAAAATCTTTCATAGTAATGCCATACCCCTAAATCCTAACCATTTATATCACAGAAATGTGACATGTTTCTCAGTGCAAAACAGGCCACATGTACTATTCATATGATCATTTTCTCACAATTTGAAACTTTTAACTAAGTAGAGAAAAATAAGACACTTTTAACCTAGATATCATCACCACATGAAATATCTGAATAAAGCTGAACAATGTGTATGCCTTCTTTAACTCGAGGAATGGAGATAAGTAATATCTAATGTGAACTATACGCATGTCACAGAAATTAGATATAAGTAATATCTAATGTGAACTATATGCATGATCTGGGTACGAGAGGGAGGGATGTAGGTGGGGGTTCAGTATTGAGAGGAGTATTCAAGGTTAGGTTGTTCATTACTAGTGTGATAGGATTGGTAGTTAACGAAAGATGCCCTGGTGTACTGGAGAGAAATAGAGATGTGGATGCTGATCTGTATGCACTCCCAGCACAGGAGCTCTGCAATTCTGGTAACTTAATGACAGTGTCCAAATTACACAAAGTCAGAGGGCCATGAGACACAAGCTCACTGGAGATATTTACTCTTTTTAAAAATATTTTGAGCATTTTTTTTTAAGCCAAGCGTCCTAATTTGTCAATGTGTCTAACATCATACCTTTAGAACAACAAACCTCAGGAATAGGTATAATTCTCATAAATAAGGAAAGTGAAGTTCAAAGAGCTTAAGTGATTTCCCAATGTATCACCAATTGAAAATGGCTGATCTGGGATATGAATTCCATGAGTACAATACTCTCTACCCTTCATGGCCATCACACACACATGCACTCTCTACCCCATAGCAGGCCAAGATAACTTCTTTACAGCAAAGCTGGGCTCTTAAAGTATGGTCAGAAAACTACCTGCATCCAAATCACCTGGGAAGCTTCTTAAAACTAAGATCCCAGACCCTTCTTCAGACATACATCATTGTAACATGTTCTCCAAGTGATTCTGATGTGCACTAAAAATTTGAAGCAATGCGAAAACCAAACTGCTTTCCATAAATCACATAATACAAATGCTGCATGAACTTTTAAAATGAATTCTTCCAAACCACATCTTTGATACTTGAGTCTCTATTTTCATCAAAATCTAATATCTCAGAATTTAAACTGAAGCCGTTTGGCCACTATAGTTGACTTTCCAAAATGAGGCTTTTAAAGGCAAGCCAGAATAATATCTGTGAACTGAAAGACTGAAGAGTGGTCAATAACTGAAGAAGCAAATAAACCAAAATTTTAAAAATGGAAAAGTTTTTAATTTTGTGGGAGACTATTATGACATGACTAAGAAACAGAAAAAGGGTGACTGAAGACTAGGACCAGTGAAGAAAGGACTTTGGGAATTCAAGCCAGGTACATATTAATATTTTTAAAGATCAAATTGATTGAGGTATAATTTATATAGAAATAAAACAAATGCATATAAATGTAGAGTTTGATTTTTGTCAAATGTATACAATATGCAATCCCAAATATAAACACTATATAGAATATTTCCACCACCCCACAAGATTCTCTTATGCCTCTCTGCAGGCAATATCCCTCACCCCTAGCTCCAAGCAACCACCAGTCTTTTTAATCATGCCACTTCTAAAATGTCATATGATGAGATCAAACAGTATGCGAAATCTTTGAGTCCAGCTTTTTTCTTAAGGATTATTTTTGAGACACATTCATGATGTTACGTATATTTCAGTAGTTTGATCCTTTTCGTTGATGAACGTTTTGGGGCTTTCTTTAGGTGATAGTCGAGTGTCCAGAAGAGGGGCACAGGGAAAAAAATTCTTATACTCACAGGTCCTAGAGGGAGAGTCACTGCATGTCAAGTAGGGGCCACATGAGAGGGAGCAGCAAAGGAGCAGGCTCAAGTCAGCAGATAGGGAGTGGAGAGAGAATACGCATCCATGGGCAAATGCCTCTATTGGAGGTCAGGGTGGAGCACACCAGCAAAATGTGTGAGGGGATTTGACTGGTGACTTTAAATATTACCAGATGTCAGTCAGGGGAAGGCAAGTCAGAGAACTTGATGAGGCTCTGACCTCATCACACTTGTACACCTGGTTACCTGGGAGGGGCGCTGCTCACAGCTTGTTTGTGGAGATGTCGAGGCAGCAAGAAAATACAAAGTTTTAAAATGTGTAATACAAACAGTAGTATTCCCTTGGAAGATACACCATAATTTAGTCATCAGTTCAACTCTTGATGACTGTCTGGGTTTTTTTCAGTTTGGGGATATCATTAATAGAGCTTACATGAGCATTTTAGTGAAAGTCTTTGTATGGACATATATTTTCATTTCTCTTGGGCAAATTCATGGAATTGTTTTATGATAGGTGTGTTTTAACTATATAAAAAACTGTCAAACTGCTTTCTATAAATTGTACAACAAATGGTTGTACAATTTAACAATCCTATCAGAAATGTATGAGAATTCCAGTTGCTACAAATCCTCACCAACACTTGATGTTGTCAGTATTTAATTATTCTAGTGATTGTGTAGCGATATCTCAAAGTATTTTAAATGTATTTCCTTGATGATTAATGATATTGAGCATTTCTATGTGCTTATTGGCCATTTATAAATTTCTTTTTTAGAAGTATCTGTTCAAAAATGTTCACCATTTAAAAAATTGTCTTCTAATTATTGAACTTTTAAACTAAAAAATGTATATGCTTTCCTTATCAAGTTTATGTGTTGTAAATTTTTTTCTAGTCTATCACTTATCTTTTCATTTTCTTAATAGTTTCTTTCAAAGAGCTAAGGTTTTGATTTTGATAACTTATTAATTTTTTATGGTTCATGTTTTTTGCATCCTACGTAGTTAATTTTTGCTTCTGCTAATTGGTGAAGATTTTCTCCTGCTTTTCTCTAAAAAAATTTGTTACCAGGGATTCTGCATTGGGATGGATCCTTTAATCGAGGAGATAACAGAGCTCGAGCTCTGTACCAGCAATCTTGGTTTTTGTAATAGTGAGCGAAGAATTGCAAACTAACACCCACATGTAAGCTTAAAGCCAATTTTACTGAAGCACAGTAATAGACTCTCAGAAAGAGAGTGGGCTGATTTCACTTCATGTCACTTCTGCTTTAGAGCTCAGGGTGTTTTTATGGGGTTTGTGGGAGGAGTTGAGGCTTGGGCTGTTTGAGTGACAGAATGATGTCATTTGACTGGCAGTTTATGGTTATATAACTGAAGTTAAACTGTGCATGTTTTACCCGTAATTTGTTAAGAAAAGCCCTCTAGACTGCTGGGCGGGGGGGACAAAACCACATCTAAATTATAATGGCTGTATAAGCAGGATGGGGTTCTCCGCGCCCGCCCCTCCCCCGCCAAAAAAAAAAAAAAAGTAATAACTACATGGCTGGTAGAAGATGCCCAAGGTACTGGCAGTGAATTTCTGTGGGTCTGCAGCAACCTCAATTCTTGCCTCCTCAGAAGAAAGAATTCAACTGAGGGGCATATGGCAGAAAAAGAGGGCAAGTTTCACAGAAGGAGTGGAAGTTTATTTTAAAAGCCTTTAGAACAGGAAAGAAAATAAAGTATGCTTGGAAGAGACCCAAGCAGGAAACTTATAGAACAAGTGCGATGTTTAACCTTTATCCTAGGACTTTATAGGCTTGCCTCTTTCCCACGATTCTTCCCTTAGTGTGGGCTGCCATAGTGTGGACTTACTTTCTTTTTGAGAAGGAGTCTTGCTCTGTCGCCAGGCTGGAGTGCGCGTTCTCGGCTCACTGCAACCTCCGCCTCTCGGGTGCAATGCGCCGTGCCCTCCTTACCCTTAGGAAGTGAGCACGGCAGTAATTTTAGGAAGTCGTAGGCATACTCATCGGAGGCTTTCTTCCCTTTTCCCGTGGAGTGCCCCCAAAAGAGCATACGCCACCATTTTGCCTTTTAATGCACATGCCCGGGCTCACCCGCCCAATACTTGAGATTGGAAGCCCATTTTTGCTTCTCCCTGGCACCTGCATTCAATTAAAACTTCAATGCAACAGGTGTGGACCATCAGGAAATGGCCTCTACCTGGTGCCGGCTACCAATTTATCACTTTTAGAGAGTCAATGTGATAATTGACCAACCATCAGCCAACATTCCTAGTGGGTGGGGGAGAGCCCTCTCAGGCCCCCCTCATGCCTGTCTAACTACCAGCAACAAATTCTTATCTCAGGACCAGCTGGTTGAAATCCAGGTCACATCTCCTATGCATACCAAGTCTGTATATTAAATGAAAAACAGAAGAAAATTGATTTTCTTTTTTTTTTTTTAATACATACATATATATTCTGGAGAAGGGGACAGCTGCCTCTCTTTCCCTTACAAAAAAAAAAGAACTTTTGCTTCCTGAAGATGCAATAGATCCTAGGTTCTCACTCTAACCTTTTGAAATGTAAATACGTCTTTCCAGGGGCCATAATAAGCCCCACCTCATCCCCAACTTGCTGTGTTATTGGTTTTTATGACCTAGAAGGTGTTTCAAGGTCCTAAGCTTCATTTTTTTCTTAAAATGTAATCACACATCCCCAGAGTTAAGTTAATCTATCTATACAATTGTCTCACTATATATATCCAGGTGTAAATTAACTACCTAAGGGTTGCTTTTAGCCCAGGATCCCAATTTACAGAAAAATTTGTTCATTAGGCCCTAACTCTGTAGAAACACACCAAAAAAAAAAAAAAAAAAAAAAAAAAAAAAAAAAATTCTCTACAGTCCACAAGTTTTACAAATTTTCATCTGGTTTTTATATAAAGGTAATACTAGCCTTGTGAAATGTTTTTAGGACTATTCGATGCTAGGCTGGGTGCAGTGGCTCACGCCTGTAATCCTAGCACTTTGGAGGCCGAGGCAAGGAGATCACTTGAGGCCAGGAGTTCGAGACCAGCCTGGCCAACATGGTGAAACGCCATCTCTACTAAAAATACAAAAATTAGCCAGGCATGGTGGCACATGCCTGTAATCCCAGCTACTCGGAAAGCTGAGGCACGAGAATCACTTGAACCCAGAAGGTGGAGGTTGCAGTGAGCCGAGATCATGCCACTACACTCCAGCCTGAGTGACAAAGTGAAAGTGTCTCAAAACAAACAAACGGACAAACAAACAAACAAAACTATTCGATCCTTCTCCATTTACCAAAAGAGATTGTGAAAAATTGGTCTTATTCTTGAAATATTTGGTTGGATTTCTGAGTGAAAATATCTGGGCCTGGAGATATTGTTTCTGGAAAAGTTTTTAACAATGATTGAATGTTATTAAAGAAAAATAATTATCCAAACACTTGTTTAATATGGCAAGTCAGACTTTATTAAGGGGGGCCATGATGAAAGATATAGGGGCCACTGCAATGCAGTCTCACTGTGGGTGAGAGACATTGGAACCCACTTTGACTCCAAGAAAGACAAGTGGGGATTTATAACCAAGGACTAGAGAGGGGGGCAGTAGAAAGAAAATTACTAAGAGAAAACATCAAGCATCAGAGCTTCCTGGCTAGAACTTAATAGGATTATTGCTGAAGGCAGGCCAGGTGATAAGATAAGGGTGGTCAAATGTCAAGCCTGGGATATCCACTCTAAGCTGATTTAACAGAATTCTAACTCAAACTGTATTCTACACAGAGATGGAAGTCCAAGTTCACACAAAGTTAAACAGAGGACTCAGAGGAGGCTTACTAAAGTTCTGGTGAAAGGAGAGAGTCTTTGTCAATATTTTCACTAGTTTTAGCACTCTTGAGAATATCTATTTCATCTCGTGTGAGTTTTGCTTGAGAGTTTTGAGAAATTGATCCATTTTGAATAAATTTTCAAATTTATATGTGAAGAGATTTTATAGTATTCTCTTATCTTTTGGGTCCATAGCATTATCTCCTATTTCAATCCTAATACTGATAATTTGTATCTTCTCTAGTTTTATTCATCACCTAAAAAAATAAGCTTTTAGTTTCATTAATTTTCTCTATGGTTTTCCTATTTTAATTTTCTTGAGCTCTGTGTTTATTATTTCTTCCCTTCTGCTTGCATTTGGTTTTTCTTTTTTTTATAGTTTCTTAAGTTGGAACTTTAAGTTATTGGTTTGATACCTTAATTCTTTTTTAATATTAGCATTTAATGATATAAAGCTTCCTCTAGCACTGTTTCAGCTGCTTTCCACAAATGACTGTTGTATTTTCACTCAGTTCAAAATATTTTCCAATTTCCCTTGAGACTATCTCCTTAATCCTAGTATTTTGTAGAAGTGTGTTACTTGAATTCCAAGTGTTTGCAGATTTTCCTTTTATCTTTCTCTTATTGATTTCTACTTTAATTCCTTTAGGATCATGCATGAATTCAAATCTTTAAATGAGTCTGTCTTGGTGTCTTTTCCATGTACACTTGTAATGAATATGCATTCTGCTGTTGTTGAATGGTGCTATAAACGCCAATTAGACCAAGTTTGTTAATGTTCTAGCTAACTTCTGCTATATCCTTGCTAATTTTATGCCTATCCATTGCTGAAATCAGAGTCTTGAAATCTCTAATTATAATCATGAATCTATCTATTTCTCCTGTAAATTCTCTGTTTTTGCTTCATATATTTTGAGGCTCTCGCAGTAGGTACATACACCTTTAGTATTGTCAACTCCCCTTGCTGAATTTACCCTTTCTTTATTACGTAATAACCCTCTTTATTTCTAAAAATGTTTAAGTCTTTTGATATTTATTAATTTAACCATTCCAACTTTCATTTGATGTATGTTTTCTCATTATATCTTTTTCTTTGAGACAGGGTTTTGCTGTCACCCAGGCTGGAGTGCAGTGGGGTGATCATGGCTCACTATAACCTCCACCTCCCAGGCTTAAGCAATCCTCCTACCTCAGCCTCCTGAGTAGCTGGGACTACAGGTGTGTGCCACTACAGCTAGCTAATTTTTTTGTACAGAGAAGGTCTCTCCATGTATGTCTTTTTGTTACTGAAACAGAAAGGGTTCGGTCTAGGTCTTGCTGCTCACCACAGGGAAAGCCAGTCACTGAGGCAAAGATTGCCAGGGAAGAAGTCTTTAATCAAGGGCTGCAGCCAAAGAAACAAAAAATTCAGTCTCAAATCCATCTCCCCGGCTGACTAAAATTAGGGGTTTATATAGCAGGGAAGAAATGTAACCATATTTAGGAAAACAGGAACTCAGGAGGGGTAAGAAGGCAATGATGATGAATAAGGGACCTGATGTCTCATTGTCTGGATGTTGTGATCTGGTGTGTTTCAGTTCCTTGATACTTTTTGAGAGGGCTGGGGGCTCTTTTCTTAGGAAGAAACTCAGATAAAACAAATATAAGTTTCAAACTTTAAGACCAGAAGGGTAAATTTCTATGTTTATCCCCCCAAAAAGCTGTCTATGGACTATTGAGTCAGTTTCAGTCCCCCCTTTTCTATATATCAATGCCTCAATCATGGGGAATGTAGTTGTCAATCTTTCTGGCTGCTTCAAGCTGAGGAGGGACATAGTGGGCAGCTCTATACCATGGGTGACTCTGTGGCCATTCAGGAATCAAAAGTTAATCTAACACCATAGTTTTCTTCTGAAACACAATCATTTTCCCTCCAGTCTCTCACTTCCACCAAAGACAAATCACAGCAGGAACAATCTACCAGCAAAATAAGCTTCAGTCCCACACACTTCACCTAATAACCCACACAAAGTGCAGCAAGAATCATTGTCCACATAGGCTCTCTTAAACTGCCCTTACTGGAACCTGTCCCAAGGCCGTTTCAATCAAAGCCCTGGGACAATTATCAGTTCCTCCAACTGTGTCCCATTATAAACGAAAACAAATTCTTATTGAACTTATGCAAACAAACACATTGCCGTGAATTAACAACATTCATAAATAGTTTACAAAGTCTTGAGAAATTAGGCAGAGAGAAAGAAATATGCCTCAAATTCTGTTAACGAAAGTATATTCTATTCGTTATACTTAAAGCATACTTAAAAGCTATAAATAGCTCAAAAGAAAAAAAAACTCCAGACTATAAAACAAAAAGAATCATCAATATTTCAAACCAACAAAAAAAGCCATAAAAATTATTTCAGTCCTTGGTTAGTCAGTCTATGCAATCAACTACTGTTCTGCTTCATATGAGGTTAGCAATCTTTATGAAAATATCAGCCTTTCAATTAGTGACCTGCAAGCTTTCTTTCTAATCCAATAGCACAATCTCCAAAATTATCAGAAACCTGCATTCAAGAGTCTTTTTCATGAAGTCCCTCAAAGAAACAAGTCCTGGATTGTAACTGACTATAAGTCACTTTTTGAGATGAAAGCAAAACAATTGTGGATGACAAAATTCTTAACACAGCCATAGCTAACGACATAGTTGACAAGGAAATTTGGTTATTTCTGTGGCATACAACAAGCTACCATAATAATCATAATTGTTACTGATAACATATATTAAGACATATCAGAATTTTAGGAATCTCATACAATCCTGGAACACTTGTTAACAACACAACTATATAAATATAAATATAACTGAAAAGAAGCTGTATTAGTGTATTTTCATGCTGATGATAAAGACATACCCCACACTGGACAATTTACAAAAGAAGAAGTTTATTGGGATTACAGTTTCACATGGCTAGGGAGGCCTCACAATCATGGTGCAAGGTGAAAGGCATGTCTTACATGGAGGCAGAGAAAAGAAGAGAGCTTGTGCAGGGAAACTCCCATTTTTAAAACCATCAGATCTTGTGAGACTCATTCACTACCATGAGAACATCACAGGAAAGACCCATCCCCATAATTCAATCGCCTTACACCAGGTTCCTCCCACAACATGTGGGAATTGTGGGAGCTACAATTCAAGATGATATATGCGTGGGGACACAGCCAAACCATATCATTCTGCCCCTAGCCTCTCCCAAATCTCATGTCCTCACATTTCTAAATCAATCCTGCCTTCCCAACAGCCCCCCAAAGTCTTAACTCATTTCAGCATTAACTCAAAAGTCCACAGTCCAACATCTTATCTGATACAAGGCAAGTCCCTTCTGAGAAGTGAAGCTAGCTGGACTTTCTGGGTCGAGTGGGGACTTGGAGAACTTTTCTGTCTTACAAGAGGATTGTAAAACGCACCAGTCAGCACTCTGTAGCTAGGATTGTAAAACGCACCAATCAACACTCTGTAGCTAGGATTGTAAAATGCATCAATCAGTGCTCTGTAGCTAGCAAGGGGATTGTAAAATGCACCAATCAGCACTCTGCAAAAATGCACCAATCGGCACTCTGTAGCTAGCAAGAGGACTGTAAAATGCGCTGATCAGCACTCTGTAAAACTCACCAATCAGCGCTCTGAAATGTACCAATCAGTACTCTGTGAAACACACCAATCAGCAGGATCCTAAAGGTAGCCAATCGCAGGGAGGATTGGAAAAAGGGCACTCTGATAGGACAGAAATGGAAAATGGGAGGGGCCAATAAGGGAATAAAAGCTGGTCACCCCAGCCAGAAGCATCAACCCACTGGGGTCCCCTTTCACCCTGTGGAAGCTTTGTTCTTTCTCTCTTCACAATATATCTTGATGCTGCTCATTCTTTTGAGTCCATGCCACCTTTAAGAGCTGTAATACTCACCGCAAAGGTCAGCGGTGTCATTCTTGAAGTCAGCAAGACCACGAACCAACCCACTGGCAGGAACCAACTCTGGACACACTTCCACCTTTGAGCCTGTAAAATCCAAAGCAAGTTAGTTACTTCCTAGATACAATGGGGATACAGGCATTGGGTAAATACAGCCATTCCAAATGGGAGAAATTGGCCAAAACCAGGGGGCTATAGGCCCCATGCAAGTCCAAAATCCAGCAAGGCAGTCAAATCTTAAAGCTCAAAAATGATCTCCTTTGACTCCATGTCTTGCATCCAGGTCGTGCTGATGCAAGAGGTGGGTTCCCGTGGTCTTGGGCAGCTCCACTCCTGTGGCTCTGCGGGGTACAGCCTCCCACCAAGCTGCTTTCTTGGGCTTTTGTTGAGGGTCTGCAGCTTTTCCAGGCACAAAGTGCAAGTTGTCAGTGGATCTACAATTCTGAGGTCTGGAGGATGGTAAACTTCTTCCCACAGCTCCACTAGGCATTTCCCAGTAGGGACTCTGTGCTGGGGCTCTGACCCTACATTTCCCTTCTTTACTGCCCTAGCAGAGGTTCTCCATGAGAGCCCCACCCCTGCAGCAAACTCAATCCTGGACATCCAGGCATTTCCATACATTCTGTGAAATCTAGGATGAGGTTCCCAAACCTCAATTCTTGACTTCTGTGCACTTGCAGGCTCAATACTATGTGGAAGCTGCCAAGGTTTGGGGTTTGCACCCTCTGAAGCCATGGCCTGAGCTCTATGTTGGCCTTTTTCAGCCATGACTGAAGTGGCTGAGACACAGGGTACCAAGTCCCTAGGCTGCACACAGCACGGGGACCCTGGGCCTGGCCCACAAAACCACTTTTTCTTCCTAGATCTCCAGGCCTGTGATGGGAGGGGCTGTGATGAAGACCTCTGACATGCCTTGTAGATATTTTTCCCATTGTCTTGGGGATTAACATTTGGCTCCTCATTAATAATGCTATTTTCTGCAGCTGGCTTGAATTTCACCTCAGAAAATGGGATTTTCTTTTCCACTACATCATCAGGCTGCAAATTTTCCAAACTTTTATGCTCTGTTTCCCTTTTAAAACTGAATGCCTTCAGCAGCACCCAAATCACCTCTTGAATGCTTTGCTGCTTCGAAATTTCTTCTGCCAGATACCCTAAATAATCTCTCTCAAGTTCAAAATTCCACAAATTTCTAGCGCAGGGGCAAAATGCTGCCAGTCTCTTTACTAAAACATAACGAAAATCATCTTTGCCCCAGCTCCCAACAAGTTCCTCATCTCTATCTGAGGAGATCCTCAGCCTGGACCTTATTGCTCATTTCAGTATCAGCATTTTTGTCAAAGCCATTCAATAAGTTTCTAGGGAGTTCCAAACTTTTTGACATTTTCCTGTCTTCCTGTGAGCCCTCCAGACTGTTCCAACCTCTGCCTGTCACCTAGTTCCAAAGTTGCTTCCATATTTTCAGATATCTTTTCAGGAATGCCTCACTGTACTGGTACCAATTTAGTGTTTTAGTCCATTTTCATGCTGCTGATAAAGACACACCTGAGACTGGGCAACTTACAAAAAAAAAAAAAAAAAAAAAAAAAAAGATTATTGGACTTACGGTTCCCGTGGCTGGCAAGGCCTCACAATCATGGTGGAAGGTGAAAGGCATGTCTCACACGGCAGCAGATAAGAGAAGAGAGTTTGTACAGGGAAACTCCCCTTATTAAAACCGTCAGATCTCGTGAGACTCATTCGCTGTCATGAGAACAGCACAGGAAAAACACACCCCCATAATTCAATCACCTCCCACCAATTTCCTCTGACAACATGTGGAATTTATAATTTAGATGAGATTTGGATGGGGACAGAGCCAAACCATATCAGAACTTAAACACCACCTCAGATTTGAAAATACTGTCTGCAAAATTATTGCATAACAAATAAGCCTAGTAAGCCTAATATGTTTCTCAGACTTCAGGGAAACTAACATCCATAAAAGTTAGTTTGAGGTCAAAAAGACTGAATATAGAACTTGGAATTTTGCTTTTGGAAAGTCCGTCAAATATCAAAGGTTTAAGACACTTGATATCATAAAATAGCACCACGAGTTACTATAAAATAGTTATTCATTTAGCCAAAATAAATATACAAAAATGTTTACCCTTTGATAGTGAGGACCCTCAGTTTCTCAAACAGTAAGTCCTAATAAAGATAATATGAAGCCAACGAAATCTGTCTCTCTCACGCCTGACATTTTTTTCTTCTGTAGTTTTAAACAGAAATCTCTTGTTATCTCTTACCTAAAAAATTTGTTCAAAACAGTAAAGCAAATCTTACCATCTTACCTTTATATGGTATAGCATTAATGTTAAAGACAATTTTAACAAAACCTTATAAACTAATTTATTTAGTTGTAATCAATTTGATCATAAAATTTTCATAAACATTTTATAACCTTTATAATTTTCTATTAAAGAACAGATAATTTTCCAAGAAAACTCTGTTATTCTGACACATGGGCCCAGATGTGAGCCTTCCATTAGTGTGCTTTTGGTATTAATGTTTAATTTATAGAAAACTCTGAACTAATCTTATCCCTCAAAATTGGTTCTTACAATCTCATGCTCCCACCTCTTCTGCAATAGTCCCTATTTGACAAGATCCTTCAATTGTTGCTTCACCAGCTGGAAACTTCTGTGGCCAGCAGCACCTCTGCTTGAGTTTTGCTCATGCCCACTGTGCTCATTCCACCCACTCAGGCTGGCAGTCTGTGCTTGGCTCGTGCTACTGGTCTGGGTCCCACAACCATGAAGGGTAGGCCAGGTGCAGAGCAGCGAGGGGTGTATAGGTAAGCAAGTGTGAGGTTCGGCCACTATGCACAGACAGGCATACTGGCTGTGGCAGGGGAGGCAGCTCATGGTGCTGGTACAGGCGCCGGCTCCATGCAAGGCTGCAGCTGGACCAGGCGTATCCCAAGCGGCTTCCACTGAGGGTGCTGGTGTCTGGATGAGGGGAACACGATGGTGCCTGAAAATTTGGAGACACCAGCAACCACAGAGCCCCAAGGCAGGGGGCATGCTATGGCTCTCTCATTCCCACCACCTGCAGCTCAGTGAATAGGGAGGAGCGTGTTTAATCTCTTTTAGTCGCGCCACCTGCCTTTGTCCCATGGCTCCCAGGCTGGGCTAGCACTGCAGCTGCTTCCTATCACATGGGAATGCTGACATTCCCAATGCTGCCCAATGCTGGCAGAGGGTGGGATAGCTATAATGTCACAGCTCTGGCTGGGGGAATCCCAAGGTCTGGGTTCCCAGAGGGTTGCTGCTCTTCACTCCCGCAGTCTGGTGAATGGGAGCATGTCACAGCTTGGTGAGCTGGCCAGGAATGTGTTACAGCTCCTTTTGCTCCCACTCATAGCTCAGAGAGCTGGCCAGGAATGTGTTATAGCACTTTTTATGCCTGCCATTCGACAGGTCCTGAGTTCTTATCCAGTCTCCAGGAAGAATGAGGTTACACGGAAAACAGGAGGGTGAGCAAGGTGGAGAAAGTTTTATTGAGTTTTAATCAGCTCTCATTGGAGAGGAGACCTGAAGTGGGTAGCTCCTACCTGCAGGCAGGTAGTCCTGACATGTGGCTGAGCCCAAGGTTTTTATGGGCTCAAAATGGAGAAAGTGCATGCTAATTGGTCCATGGGCAGACCTGGAAAAAGCACCATTTGATTGGCTGAAAGGCATCAAGGAGGTTTGCACTCTGGGTCGTGGATTCTACCTGGAACTGGCAGCTTGGTTTTCAGACTTCGGGCTGTCCCTGGTTTGAAGGTCAGGTTTCACTGGGGACCTGCCTCTATCTGTCTAGGAATTTGTCTACCTCCTGCCACTATCACCTGGGCCTAGAGGGATTCTGTAGTTTTAATTTCTGGCCCTGTGTCTCACAAAACAGTTCATTTTGATTATCACCATCTCCAGAGTCTGAAGATGAGGCTTTGACTGGTGTTAATGCTCAAGATTTAGCAGGAGTTGGTGCCTTCTGCAGACCCAGGAGTCAAAGCACTGTAACTTAACAGTGCAAAGATTAGTTAATGAAATACTTATACTGCAGAAAGTTCTATCATTCTCTCTAACATGTCACAAATTAAAACATTGTGATTTAGTGGAGTTACTTCCCCCATCACTTCAAACCACTGTATTAAAGTAGTAAGGTGACTCATTACAAATGTCTAATTACTACCATTCTAGGGACAAAATTGTGACCAAAAGCATCAAAAATGTGATAGATACTATGCCCAACTTATCAAAATAAAAACTAATGTTTCTCTCCATTATTAAAAAAAAGGGCAAATGCAATATCAGTTTCAGAAATTCAGTATGAGAACAACTTAAATACTATGCAACAAAACAAAAGCAAAGTAAGAACGAGTATACAATAATTTCTTCCAGCTTCTTAAAAGAGCATCATTACACATTTCCAAGATTAGTTTGTAGATACAGTACTGCTAGCTGATTAGATAACTTTTACTAATAAAATCTTCAAACCAGTGCAATACTTGCACATATTTTGTTTTCAAGTACATACATAAAGGCTAATCAGTAATAAATGGCTTGGGATAAAAAATCACTAGAAAGTCTCACATAATTTTTTTAAAAAATAACTTTTCCTACTTATTCCAAGTGAATGTCAGTTAATGTTAATAATAGTAAACACAACTAAAGTAGTTTGAGATAAATTCCAATCAATAATCAATATAATTCCCTTAAAGATGAGGCCAATCTTTCCTGAACATTAAAACTCTATACCCATATCATAGTTTTTCCTCATTAAAGGAAAAGATCTGAAATTAACTCAAATTATTGATTTAATTGAATCACCTTGGAAATAAAACACCATTTAAACATTTCTACTGTCATCTACTTTCCCAAATAACAAAGTGTTAATATACAATGTACTGTTTCTGTTCAGAACTTATAAAAATAAGCCTTTTAGTAATTTATTTTTGCCAAGAACCTTAAAGCTATCGTAGCTCTCCAGATCATCAGAGGTAAGCAAAACTAATCAAATTTTAAATAGCCAGTGTCCTCTATCAATTTTGGAAGCTTGATAAAGTTAGCTTAGGAAATTTAAATAAATAGAGCAAATGGAAACCAGCCCCCAATTTTTCTCCTACTCATTTTACCTTGGAGGCTACAGTGTTACTCAGAGCCTAAAGTAAAATCATATAATGAATATTTTGTTCCTGAAACACCATGTAGTGTCTTCAAGTCCACCAATGTCACTATACAGTCACCCCAATTAAAAAATTCCACTTTAGGTATGTGACCAATAAGTTCTTTAGTGCTAGTACTATCTATTCAGAATAGCAAATCTAGTGTGAATCAATGCAAGCATGTATGTGAAAATTTGGCTCCATGCTAAACCTGGTTTCACACTTAAATAGATTTTAAAAATTTCCAAACTTCCAACATATTTCTTTATAATATTTTATTTTAACATCATCAAAACTAACAGCTTTAACTATGAGCAATGTTAACTGGTCAAATTTATCTAATTTTCTATTAGGTTTTAAAGAATATTTTATTACATAAACTTTTAAACTTCCTATTTTCTCTGTATGTGTATAAAAATAGACACAGAGAAAGAAGAAAAACTATGTATGACATACACAGACACCTATGACACGCTTGGACTTTGTGATTTTTTTTCTAGGTTTTGTTATGTTTTGTTTTGTTTTTTGAGACAGAGTCTCGCTCTGTTGCCCAGGCTGGAGTGCAGTGGCGCCATCTAGGCTCACTGCAAGCTCTGCCTCCCGGGTTCATGCCATTCTCCTGCCTCAGCCTCCCGAGTAGCTGGGACTACAGGCGCCAGCCACCACACCCAGCTAATTTTTTGTATTTTTAGTACAGATGGGGTTTCACCATGGTCTCAATCTCCTGACCTCGTGATCCAACCACCTTGGCCTCCCAAAGTGCTGGGATTACAGGCATGAGCCACCACGCCTGGCTCTTTTTTTCTTTTTAATAACTAGTCAGTCATTTTACTTGAGGACAAAAATTCACCATACGAATCCTTTCTCATTCAAAATTATTCACACAAGCCCGCAAGAGTGTCCATTCTGAAACAGTCAGACTGCTTCCCTCTCTCAGTCTGTTGGGCTTGTTCAACCTGCATATGGAAAAATTCCTTAAAAATTTCCCCAGTTGAGAGGAGCAGATGTTGCTATCAGGGTCCACAAAGGTCACTCACCTATACGGAAGCAGATGTCCAATTTCAAAGGCAGTTCTTCTGAGGTGATCAGGAGCATGATTGGGGCTGGCAGCAGTGGGGCCAGAAACAGACAGAAACTCACCTGCAGTCAATATTTGGAAGGCAGCTCCTTAGCAGGACTTCTGAAACTCCAGGCCCACAGCAGTCAAGCCACGAGCAAAGTGTTCCTGGTCATGGAACTAAACTCTGTTACCTAAATATCTGTGGTTTAGTCTAAGTTCTGCTGTTTGCTGCACAGAAAGCCAATGACTGAGAAGACAAGTACTGCCAAGGAAGAAGGTTTTAATGGGGTGCAGCAGCCAAGGAGATGGGAGATCACTCTCACATCCATCTCCCTGACCAACTAAAACTAGGAGTTTATATAGCAGGGAAGAAGTGTAACTATGTGTAGGAAAATAAGAACTTGGGAGGGGTAAGAAAGCAATCATGATGAATGTGAGACCCAGCATCTCCTTGTTGGGTGTGATGATCTGGTGAGTTTCAGTTACATGATACTTTTTGAGAGGCCTGGGGCTCCAGTTCCTGAGGAAGGAACTCAGATAAAACAAATGTAAGTTTCAAGTTTTAAGCCCGGAAGGGTGAATTTCTATGTTTATCAAAAAAAAAAAAAAAAAAAAAAAAGAAAGAAAGAATATCCCTGGGACTATTGGGTCCATTTCATTTGTTATTCTTTGACTTTTCACCTATCTATTGTTAATTTAAAGTGAGTTTCTTAAGCATTTAGTTAGGTCATATTAGTTAGTTTAATCTCCAGCAATCCCCATTTATTAATACATGTGTTTTGACCAGTATTATTTAATATACTTACTGTTGGGATATAGGTTTATCATTTTATTATGTCTTTTCTGTTTATTTGCTTTATGTTTTAATTTCTATGCTTTCTTTTCCTGCCTTCTTTTAGGTATTTTGCACTTTTTTTACTATTCTATTTTACCAATTGTGTTGTTATTGAATCTTATTCTTTTTATAGTGTTTTAAGTCAGTGGTCCCCAACTTTTTGCTACAAGGGACCAGTTTTGTGGAAGAAAATTTTTCCACAGGTGGTGGCAGGGTATGGTTTTTGGATGAAACTGTTCCACCTCAGATCATCAGGCATTAGACTGTCAAAAGAAGTGTGCGACCTAGATGCCTTGCATGTGCAGTTCACAACAGGGCTTGCATTCCTATGGGAATCCAGTGCTGCTGATGATCTGATAGGAGGTGGAGCTCATGTGGTAATGCTGGCTCACCCTCCACTCACCTCCTGCTGTGCAGCCCAGTTCCTAACAAGCCACGGACTGGTATCAGGGGTTGGACACCCCTTGTTTAAGTGGTTGCTTTCAACATTACAATATAATACTTAACTTTTAGCCATCTACTTATTTTCTTTTATTCTATTTGACTACTTCAAGTGGAACGTAGAAACTTTACCACCAGATAGCTCTCTTTTCCTGTTATACTTATTTGTTTTATGTAATATATCTATATGCACTGAAAATCTATTAGGTAATTTAAAACAATTTTGTTTCAATTCTCAAACATGTTTAAAGAACTCAAAAAGAGATTAATAGTCTATTTTGTTACATCAATATTTACTTTTTATCTTGCTCTTCTTTCATCTTAATGTTTCAAGTTTCCTTTTGGTATCATTTTATTTCTGTCAAAATAATGTTCTTTGGAATATTTTTAAAGTAGCTGTGCTGGCCATAGATTCTTTATTTGAGAAGTCTTTATACTTTCATCACTTTTGAAGGACATTTTAACTGGATATAGATGTTTGGGTTGACAGTAGTTGTCTTCTAGCACCTTACAAATATTAAGCCACTTCTTCCTAGCGTCAGTTGTTTCTGATGAGAAACTTGTTGTCATTCAAATAGTTTCCTTATAAATAATACATTATTTCTCTATAGCTGCTTTCAAGATGTTTTTCTTTGTTTTTAAAATTTAGTACTTTGATTATCATGTGACTAGGCGTGAATTTCTTTCTTCATGTTATTTTCTTTGCAGTTCACTGAGATTACTCAATATGAGAGTTTATGGCTTTAGTCAAATTTGCAATGTTTGTGTATACATACACAAAATATATTAGTATGTATATATATATATATACACACACACATATATACACGTATATCTGTATATATACACACATATATATAAATATATACACATATACTTCTGCACTATACTTCTTTTTCTTTTTTCCTTGTATAATTCCAATGACACAAATGTTTTACCTTTTAGTAGCCTCCCACAGGTCCTTGAGCATTATTTTGTTTTGTTTATCTTTCCTCTGTCTGTTGTTCAGCTTGGATAATTTCTACTGATCCATCTTTAAGATTGCTAATTCCTCCCTGTCATCTCCATTCTGATTTTAAGCTAATTCAGATATTGAGTTCAACAAATAATTTTTAATTGTTTTTGTAATGAACATATGTCAAAAGTTTTATTTAATTCATTAATTAATGAAAAAAACAAAAAGATGTTTAGACCAATTCAACAAGATTGAAGAGAGTAACTAATATCTTCCAGTTCACTAAATTGTAAACTTTGTTGTTATCTTTCTTTCTGCCAGACAGACTGTTTTTGTGTTTTTACAAAATGAACAAAAATCCAACTACTTACATGTAACTTCTTTAAGTTCAGGAATTCTGAAGAAGAGTAAACAATGAGTAGAAGAAAGTGCATTATCTTAGACAGTCCTTAAGTGGGCTTTTTTCCCCATATGACATTGAAAAGACATGCCACTTACTTAATTGCCTTATTTCTTATTGCCAAGTTTTGGTAACTTTTCTTAACTTTGGAAGAAAGGTGACTATTTTACTGGCTGATTAAGAAACATTTAAGAAATTCTGCATAATCACATACAAGAAAGTTCAGAGTCTACAAAATTTTGAGACCATAAAGTGTTAGTATTTTCTATTTATGCTGAGAAGCCATGGTAATGGCTTGACTACACATCAGCTGTAGCCACAGAGACCTTGAGTCAGGGAAGAATGGATTCAACTTTTTAAAATATTGGAAAGCCCAAGGCCTTTTATGAGATTCCTGAGAACTCTAAACGAACCAGTATTATCATATCCTTCTCTGACTTGGAGCTCTTGCTTTTGCTGAATTAGTTCAATTGAGGAATTCTCTCATTTTCTTGCTGTTATTGTCACTGGCAGAAAATATGTACCCTTTTCTAATTTGCACAACACAAAAATAAGACAAAACCTACTCACATAGGCATTTATGTGGACTTCACTGGAAAGTTTAGGAAGATGGAAGAATCTACATTTCATATGCAAACAACGTAGGCATTGGCAATTCCTGTTCCCAAAATGATGCCTCTCCTGTTCTCTTATCAGATTTTTCCTCCTCTATTATTTTGTATTTCTGATTGAAAAACCTGTTTAATTGTCTTTTTAAGAAAATCATCATGGTTACTAATAATGTAGATATTCAGAGTTTTATCTTCACATTAAGTAGTTTATTTAAAAAAAGTGGTCTTCAATAAAATTTAATCCCTCCTTTCAGAAAATGTCTAGTGCTAGCCAATAAAGGAAAAATTTCATACATTTTTGTAAGAAAGAATTAAATCTTTCCCCTTCTCTCACTCAAAACATTGTTCATTCTGTCCATGCTCTCATTTCCAAATGATTTAACCTGTTTCTCATCATGGTCAGGAGCCTCTTGCTGTTTCCATAAGTCTCCACTTAGGAGGTGCAGTACTCAGGGTCAGGATCAGGTTAAGACAAGAGATGCACTTTTTCTGAGCTCTAAAATCCAAGGGGTCACCAAAAAATTCATCGATCAAAAGAACATTTCCATGCACCATTTATTTGCAACGTTTAATACACTAAATTGATGCCAAAAAAGAGAAAAATCCATGAGGAACAAACCATCCAAATTCCAAATAAAAATAAGGCAAATATAATTGATTATTATTATTTTGCCTCAGTTTTTAATATTGCTTCACAAAGCACTGTTAATTGGTTTTTACTTTTGTTTAACTGTTTTCTATTTTACCGTCATGTTTTGCAATTAATTTTTATTTCAAAAATTGTTCTTCTAAATAGTATTAATCACTGAACATTGCAATATGCTCCCAAATTCCACACCCCAGACAAGCTTTCCACCTATTCCACCTCAGCCCTCTAATCAAGGTGAAAAATAAGGTTGGGGATCTTTCTGAGAAATAAATATACATGTCATAAAAAGAGCTAAACTCTGTAAAATATTTAAAGAGGTTTACGTATTTTCAGAAGCCAAATATGAGTGACCAATGCCTGTGACACAGCCCCAGGAAGTCCTGAGAACATGTTCCAAAGATGGTTGGGTTACAGCTAGATTTTATACATTTTAGGGGGTCAGAGGCTATAAGCAGCCATCAATCAATACACATAAGGTATACATTTGTTCAGTCTGGCAAAGCAGGACAACTCAAAATGGGGGTTTCCAGATCACAAGTGGATTCAAAGATTTTCTGACGGGCAATTGGTTGAAAGAGTTAAATTATTATTGAAGAACTGTAATCAATAGAAAGGAGTATCTGGGTTGAGTTAAGGAGTTGTGGAGATCAAAGTTCTTATTATGCATCCCCAATGGCTTGCAGAGGAACCCTCCAGGTAGTAGCCTTCAGAAAGGACAGATAGTAAATGTCTCTAATCAGATCCAAAAATGTGTCAGTCTCTTATTTAATCTCTCCTGGATCAAGGAAAAACTTGTAAAGGGAAAATGATTCTCTTTAGAATGCACATTTTCCCCACAAGAGGTATCTTAGCAGGGTATTTCAAAATATGTCAAAGAAATATATCTTAGGGTAAAATATTTTCATTTCTTTCAAGGCCTGCTATCTGTCATGTGATGCTATACTATAGTCAGGTTGGAACTTGATATCTTATTGTTACAAAGTGTTTTGTCAGTCTTAAGATATCTGTCTTAATCTTAATGCTGGTCAGTTGTGCCTGAATTCCAAAGGGAGGAAGGCATAATGAGACATGTCCGATTCCCCCTTCCCATCATGAACTGCACTTGTTTTTCAGGTTTACTTTGGAATGCCCTTGGCCAAAAGGGGGATCTGTTCAGTCAGTTGAGGGGTCTTAGAATTTTATTTCTGGTTTACACACAAATATAAGAGAAGTTTCTGAGAAATAGAAGAAGATAGAAAGTTGATGTGGGACATAGGAATTAGATTTAAAGTTGGGTTGTCACGCTTCTAAGCCCAGAAAACAAGTGATAGTAAATAGTATTCACAATCTAGGTGGCAGAGAAAGCTGATGGGGTAAAAACCTGTTGGGCTTCAGTCTTCTCTTCTGAAAACTAAGTGGGCTGCACTTGATTAACTCTCCTTGCCCCTGGCTGGTGGTGAGAATGTGTTATGGAAGTGAACAGGGGTCCACTTACTTGGTGCAGTAAGACCAGATATCCACGCTGACCTTTGCAGCAGGAAAAAGGAAAGCATATATTTGCAGGGCACCAAGCAAGGAGAATCAGGCAGCTTACACTTATGTCCCAACCTCCCCAGTGGCTTGCAGATAAGGGGTAAAGTCATGGGTAGATTTCAGGAAAGCAGAAGTTACAGGAAAAACTTAAAATCAATACATGGAGGTTACACAGTGGTGCTGGCCTAAAAGTGTGGGATGTCTTGAAGAGGGGTCTTATAGGTCACAGGTAGATTAAAAGATTTTCTGATATACAAAAGGTTAAGGAAGAAAAGCTTGATTTAAAAATTTGGGGTCTGCAAAGAAGAATGTTAGCTCTGGCTTGTGGGGGTGAGTTTCTCCAGGCCTGGGAGGAAGAAATTTATAACAAGGAGTGGTGGTCAGAGGTCAGTCTGCAGTTCCTCCTTGTCTGAAGCCTACCTGCTGTGCTGGCAGATCCACTTGGTGGGGATCTGTTTCTGAAAAACAAGTCAGAAACATATGTTAAGATGTTATCTTTAGTTTCTATAGGAAAACCAAACAACCTGTGATTGTAGCTTCCTTGGCTATTGTATTAGGCTACTATTATCTTGTTGCTTTACAGGTTGCTTATTTACTTGTTAGGGATAGCTAGGAACCTAGAATTTCCCTTAAAATAACTCAAGATTTTCCTTTATTTCGATGTTTGGCAGGGGACGACGGGTACAGGCCCCTAAGAGAGGGTCTCTGCTCTGTCTCAAATGGTCTGAGTAGATTTTTTAAAACATTGATTCCCCTAGTCCTACCCACAGATCATTAAATTATAACCTCCAAGCTTGCGGCCAAGACATCAGCCTTTTCAACATTGCACCCACCTCCTTGGAAACTGCCCATTTGATATCCATACAATTCATTTTCAACGACCCGCAGCTCCTTCTACATCCTCAAGAAGCCATATATCGACCCTAAATTTAAAATACCTGATTTATTCCATGAGGTTTTGCTTTTGCTGTTACTTTATTGCTCAGTTCTAAAATATATATTTGGATTGTCTTCACTTTGGATCATATTCTACTTTGTTTCTGATATTTCCTATCATTCTATTTATTTCAATTATGTCTCTTTGGGAGGCCAAGGCAGGCAGATCACGAGGTCAGGAGATCGAGACCATCCCAGCTAACACAGTGAAACCCCGTCTCTACTAAAAAAAAAAAAAAATACAAAAAAAATTAGGCGGGCATGGCGGCAGGCTCCTGTAGTCCCAGCTACTCCGAGGCTGAGGCAGGAGAATGGCGTGAACCTGGGAGGCGGAGCTTGCAGTGAGCTGAAATCGCGCCACTGCACTCCAGCCTGGGCGACAAAGTGAGACTCCGTCTCAAAAAAAAAAAAAAAAAAAAAAAATTATGTCTGTGATTGCTTGCTGAAGCATTTTATAATAGCTGATTTAAATTCTTTGTCATAGAATTCCAACATCTGTAAGATCTTGGCCTTCTCATCCGTTCAATGCCTTTTATCCTGCACGTGGAAATTTTCTTAATTCTTTATATGCTGAGTAATTTGGGCTTGTATCCTAGACATTTTGAATATTATGCAATGAGACTCTGTCTTGTCTAAATGATACTTAATATTGATATTTTTGTTTCAGCAGATAATCAGCATAGTTGGGTGCACAAAACAAATTTCAACCAGTTTTAGTTTATTGTGGTTTTAATTCATTTCTATTGCCACTGCCTTTATAATTCAGATCTGTCCCATGTGTACACCAGCCAGTGGCCAGTCTGGGACCTAGGCAGTAGTCTGTCTTTTAGTTTAGTTTTCAAAAAATATGGTATGTTGTTTAGGTTAGGATCCATACATGATCAGGTCAAGGGTGAGCCCATGAGATCATACACAGCTTTATAAATTCACAGTTCTGAGTTCTTCCCTATCTGGGATTATCGCTATACTTTTCAGTTTTCTGGGGCTTTCCTTTTTGATCCTTTAACTAGAAAGCTGAAGCTTTATTTGTCCTGCTGTGCCACACACTTCCTGTGAGTGTGACCACTTCTGGGATTGGTCACACTCACAGGAAGCAGGGTGAGGACAAATAGGGACCAAAATAGTGACATTTTATTCCACCTTCTTAGGACCACAGCTGCTCAACTGGAAAGGAAAGTTTGCTCACTCTGAGTTTTAGGTGCCTGCAAGCTGCCTTGCTTCCACTGTGGCCATCACTCCAATCTCTGCAAGTGGATCTGCCTAGGAACTGAATGGAATGAGAGATAATTTTAAGTAGGAAGACAAAAAGAAGTACAAGAAGGAAAAGAAAACCGGGATTTCTCCTACCAACTCTGAATGTTAGGAAACCACATTTCCATTCCTCTAGTCAGAACTGGTGGGCCCCTCCTGGAGTGTTTTCTGTCTACCAAAATACACACATCCAGATTTTAGGCAACCTCAAGGCCAGGAAGGTGAAAAAGGGGAAAAATGTATAATTACCACAGTGTGGTAGAACTTTAAATTCTGGCCTTTCCAAATCTGCCTACCACAAACTACTTGTCTGTGTCCACATAGAGCTTTTCCATGCATTCTACTCAGGTTGTATAGGTGTACTCAGTAAGAAAGATAAAGTACACTTTATCTTACCCAGAACCAGAGTCTGTTTAGGAAGTTTAAATGCTTTTGAATAGCAATTGCTTAAATGGTTCTGCTTAAATATTTTTCAAATGGTTATTTTTGTCAAAATAAATTTTATTAGAATCTAATATCATCACTACTTTATTAGGAGTACGCTTGATTTTCTCATCTTGATGGCTTTATATATTTTATAGCAAATCTCCTGCCCTTTATTTAGTTATAAAAATATCTAAAATTGAATTGCATATATATTGAATTTGTACTCTGAGATATATAATTTTAAAGCACTTTACATGTATTAACTCATTAGTCTACAAAACAAGCCTGTGAAATAATTATTGCTCTTGTTCAAAATTAACAGAGGCACAATAAAATTTTAAACAGATTATTTGAGAAAACAGCAATTCACAAGTCAGGCATGTCCAAACCAGGTATGGTTTTGAGGCTTCGCCTGAGGAACTGGAGGGCAAGGTTTTTGTAGGATTAACACAGAATTAAAGCAAATAAAATATTTGATTGGTGACACTTATACAATTGCCTTATTTGTCTATCCTGCTGTAGAGTGTTTAGTTATATAAATTGGTTGGCAGCTTCTGATAAATTAGCCTTAAGCCCGATTTTCTTTAGTATGTGCGTTGTTAAGAAATAAGCTAAATTTTGTTTATGTGTGCAAATCAAACAAGTTTAAGGTCACTTATGAGGCCTACCTGTCTTTGTCTGCTTAGAAATTCTCCAGGTCTGGTCCCCATTTTAATTTACTTTAACACCCCAAATTTGTAGATGTGGACTCTGAAGCATAGAATGGTTAAAGATTAAAAAAAAAAAACTTGCTGAGAGTAACTCAGCTGGAAAGTAGAATCAGAACGAGGATTCAGATATTGGCAGGTGGATTTCACAGCCTTTTCTCAACCAATATGCTATGCTGCCTTTCATATATACAGTAAGTAATAGGTGCTATGAACTGAATTTTGTCTCCCTAAAATTTGTGTATTGAAGCCTTATCCCCCAATACCTCAGAATTTAATTGCATTTGGAGATAGGGTCTTTATAGAGTTAATTAAATTTGCAATGAAGTCATTAGGGTAAGCCCTGATCCAATGTGAATGATGTCCTCATAAAAAGAAGAAATTTGGACATCAGACATGGCCAAAGGAAGACAATGTGAAGATGCAGAGGGAAGATGGCCAAGTGCAAAGACAGAAACCTGGAATGTATTCTTTCCTCAGAGCCCTTGGAAGAAACCAACCCTGCTGGTATCTTAATCTCTAAAATCTAGCTTCCAGAAATGTGAGAAAATAAAATTTTGTTGTCTAAGCCAACCAGTCTGTGGTACTTTACCGTGAAAACCCTAGCAAAGTAATACAGTGGTAGAAACTTCATTCTCAAAGCACCTAAATGTACCTTAAATATTAAAGGTACTGAGTAAACATGTGTTTATCCATGAAGATTTGACTCGTTTAAATAAATTGAGATCATCAAATAGTTAACTCAATTTGTAGCTCCGGAAATAGCAGTTTTAAAATATGGCAAATTACATTTGCCAATGTAATTTTTGGATCTCTAGTTTGAGCTAGTTTTCTAGCTTATAGAAACTAAGATATCTAGATCTGAGTTTAGAGCTCATTTTTACAGAGAACTACATAAGAGGAAAACATTTGAAGAGAACAGATCCTACTAGAAAAAGAAAAGAGACACAAGCTAAAGAGATAAAGGAACTGCAGAGACAGATTCTCAACATTTCAATTTGGTATAGAGCCATCATTTTTTTCTCTGGCATTTAAACCATTTGTGCTGAAAATTCAAGTGCTTGTCACAATATATTGATTTTTTCTTTTTTTTCCCCACAATCTAAACATACTGACATTTCACTAGCACTTTTTAAATAGTTTGAGATCTACTGCATTTGTCATTTAAAATTTAACTGATGTCTATAAAACTAAATGCTTCTAGTAACACTTTGGTGTGGTTGACTAGTCCTAAAAGACATGGCTAGGAGAAATGGGACATAAGATTGGGAATTTTATAATAAATCTTTGAATATATTATATATTGACTTCTTTCAATGAGTAACTAAAGCTCAAGGAGAACGTTGGCTACATGAGATTAAGATTAGATCTGGCTCCTTGCTTCAGTGTGATGAAAATAAGCAAACCTTACAAGCTTTGTATCTTTTTTCTTTTATATTCCTGTGAGAAGTAGCAATTATTCAGGGAGACAATAAAAATAAAAAGACAAGGAAGCTTTGAAAAAGACAAAAACTTGAGCCTCCCATCACTATCATAGATGCTGACTGAAATCAACAAAGGAACATAAACAAAGAGGGAACATGTGTAACAAACACAGAGACTAGGAAATGGTGCCATCAAATATGTCAAAGAGTTGTTATTGGATATGGTATATGTGAAGACATATTAGAAGAAAATCCTAATAATAAATATCAAAAGAGAAGGAAACTTTGCTTTCTTGAGGAAAAAAAAAAAAGCAGTATGATTGAAGAAATAAAAGTGAAGTATATAGACTATCTACTTTGTAATCTTAACGTTGAAAATAATTGACTTTAAGAAATAAGATTCAGATGAATAGATAAGACTACAAATACAATAGACAATTGTGTAAGACAGAAAATGTAAATCAATTAATAATGCAATATTCAAAAATATTACACTAGAAGCAGCAAAATAACTGACAAAAGTTTAATTAAACTATGATCAGAAACGTTGTGAACATTGAGCAGAGATCTAAAATATGGACAATGGATCTTACTAAAGAAATTTCCAGGGAGATGAAACAAATGACAAAAATATTATGAAGCCAATATACCTGAGATGAAGAATGGCCTAAAGGTGAAGCTCACGGGAATAACATAAACTAGAAAAAAAGGAGGACTAAAGTCATTTAACTTTTTACCTAGTAATTTTTATTTTTAGAAAAGGAATTAAGAATTCACTACAAACCCCAAAATAAGAGACTGAAGCATAATTCTAATCAGTTGAATTTGCCTATAAACAGACAATTAAGTGTCTTGTCTTCTAACATTTATTTGATTGTCCATTCAACACAGAGGATACTTTGCTGAGGAAGATAGATAATACAGGCAAGAGAGCCAGGTACAGAAGGGGGCACCTAATTTAGGTGGGTACGACAAACACAGAGAACAAAATAAACAAGAAGTCTCATCATAATCTAGCAATTAATTTCCCTGAACTTATTACCATTCATTCCTTTCTATTATTAACTAAGAATGTTGACTCTTGCATATAGGAAGCAGTACAAGCAATCCAGCAGTGGCTGGAAAAGCCTGCATGCTGGGGAACAGCTGACGGAAAGTAAAGAACTTAGGGAGCCACACTAGGACCCTTCAATTAGAGAAGCAGCCTCTGGATTCAGCCCAACTCTGAACGTGGCAAAATTATTGTAGTGGCAGTGCTAATCTTAGAAGCTGGCAGTCTTCCAGTTTCTTTGAAGCGGTCCCTTGCTTGGCATCTGCTCCTGGTCTTTGAACTCCAGAGATAAGTTTGCCTATTGACAAAACCAAAACCATTTTATTCTCATGGGAGTGTCTTTTCTATGTGCCCCTGTGCTAACTTTTAATGCTCAGAATAAGGGAGGGAAATAAAGTTTCCATGAAAAAAATAGAATGATGCTCTGGGTAACTGCTATACAGTATGCACCACCAGTGATTTTTAAAAATTTTGACGCTAGAGGTGTCTGAAGTTGAGTCAGTTGAATGCCAGTATTCTCTGAAGAAGAAACATATATGCACTTTCACTACTGATGAAGCCAGAGATACCCAAGGATCCTGAAATATTATACCTTTGATTTCAGGAGCTCATCCAATGGCATTGCATAAATCCTTCTTTATATAAATTAGTCAGCATCACCTCCTGTGGTTTCCAATCAAACCAATCTTGAATGTCCTCAGTAAAAGATGTTGGTAACAGGTGTATAAGTGCAGGTGCTTGGGTTAGGTGCTAGTGAATTACATTATCGACTGTGTCGATTTGTGACTGTTGAGACAAAGAGGAAGGCTTTGCAGAAACATCTAATTGTAGAACCATTAAAATATTTTTCTTTGATTTTTCATAGTATTGATTTGCAGTTCTCTGCCATTGCATCTGAACAGGTAAAATTGGCTCTTTCTTACTCTGATTCTGCATTTCAGATTCCAGATTACTTAAAATTTGAATCTTGGTGTTAGTGATTAAGGGACAATGGGAAATAGAAAATAGAATTGTTCATATTCTTTGCAGCAATAATAGATAAAATAAGATGTGATAAAGTCACACCTAAAAATTATCAGCTGTATATGAAGAAAAGTCTCAGAATTTACATGACACAGCTGAATAAGCCATTTTGCTCAGTATAACTGTTGGGTTAAGACTGGAAAAATTAAATTCTCTAGGACTCTTATAGGAACATTAAGGCACTATAAGGAAAGATTTGGATCCTTAAAAAAAATAAAACAGCAATAACATAGATAAGCCAGAAAATTTCAAGAATCACATCTCCCTAATAGCAGTTTTAAAATATGGCGCGTACATCTTTTTATTTTCTCTTTTTTTTTTTTGAGACAGAATTTTGCTTTTTTTGCCCAGGCTGGAGTGCAATGGCCTGAACTCAGCTCACTACAATCTCTGCCTCCCAGGTTCAAATGATTCTCCTGCCTCAGCCACCCAAGTAGCTGGGATTACAGGCGCCCACCCCCACTCCCGGCTAATTTTGTATTTTTAGCAGGGACAGGGTTTCAACATGTTGGTCAGGCTGGTCTCAAACTCCTGACCTCAGGTGATCTGCCTGCCTCGGCCTCCCAAAGTGCTGGGATTATAGGCATGAGCCACTGTGCCCAGGCTCCTTTGACATTTCCACCACTGAGATATAGGAAACATATTCCTTTCCACCAATCAGGACCCTGAAAATACCTGACTTGAATGTGGCAGAAGTTACACTATGCCAATTTCAAGGTTTCAGCCTCAAGAAAATTGCAGCTTCTGTCTCCCTCCCTCCCCAAACTTTCCTTGGGATACTGAGGAACCCAACTACCACACCACAAGGAACCCCAAACTAGCCCAAGTAAGAGATCACATGGAATGGCCTTGTGTAGGTGTTCTGACCCTAAGCTATCAACTTCCAGACAAGTAAGTGAAGATGCCTCCATGTGATTCCAGTTCCCAAATGTTGAATTATTTCCAGCCTTCACTTTACCCTGCTAAGACCTCAGAGACCGTAAAGCAGAGATGATGCATCCTCACTATGACCCTTCCAATTTTCTAACCCACAGCATCTGTGAGTATAATCAAGTGGTTTTTTTATAACACAAAACTTTTTAGTGGTATGTTATTCAGCTAAAACTTTTTAGTAGTATGTTAACTGGCACATACCTACAAACATTTTTATGTGGTATCCCCCTGCAATCTTACAATGAACTTTCTGGCCATAAGAAAATAACAATCCATAAGAAAATGTATATATTTTTTCATAGGTTATGAAAACTCTCAAGACAATCTGAAAGTGTTTAATCAATAACAGCAAATTAGAAATTTGGAGCAGATAGGCTGGGCGTGGTGGCTCATGCCTGTAATCCCAGCACTTTGGGAGGCCGAGGCGGGCGGATCACGAGGTCAGGAGATCGAGACTATCCTGGTTAACACAGTGAAACCCCGTCTCTACTAAAAGTACAAAAAAATTAGTCAGGCGTGTTGGTGCCTGTAGTACCAGCTACTTGGGAGGCTGAGGCGGGAGAATGGCATGAACCCAGGAGGCAGAGTTTGCAGTGAGCCAAGATCGGGCCACTGCACTCCAGCCTGGGCAACAGAGGGAGATTCCGTCTCAAAAAAAAAAAAAAAAAAAAAAAGAAAGAAAGAAGAAAAAGAAATTTGGAGCAGATAGAATTTATTGCAACAGCTCACCTGAAATATTGTAATTTGTATGGTAGTATGGTAGTTCAACAACCAGCTACAGGTCTATGCAGAATTAACTACACAAACCTGAACCAGTAATGTCCAAGGCTAGCTTACAATTAAAGGTCTAAGAATTCCCTAGTCATTATGCAGAGGAAGGGATTTAAAAACACTAACAGACATGAATTTTATGAATTCTGTGCTATACATATATTTTGCCTATCTACTGCTTCATTCTTGTATGCTGTTAAAATCCACTAGACTCTTTCTTTTTCCACATCAAGGGAATATGTTGGAATCTTTCAAAAGTGCTGTACCCTTTTTATTTCTTCAACAGCAAATTTTGAATTTTCCAATTTAGCCTGAAAGGAAGACTGATGGAGCTAAGAGAACAATTTATATTATCATAAATATAATTGGAGAGTGGCCTTAATTGTGACTATTGCTCCACTTATGTGCCTTGGTACTTGAAGCACAGTATTTGACCTAGCAAACATATTGCTCTCCCTTCTAGAACAGGGGGACATCCAAAGCCAACCTCTCTCATCTGGTATGGGAGCTCTATACCAATAAGGCTCTGATACTTTATTCCTGCCACAATTTAAACTGTAGATCAAGCTTGCCCAAACCACAGCCTGCAGGCTGCATGTAGCCCAGGATGGCTTTGAATGCAACCCAACACAAATTCATAAACTCTCTTAAAATATCTCTCATGAGATATTTTCCAATTTTTTTAGCTTATCAGCTATCATTAGTGTTACTGTATTTTATGTGTGGGCAAAGACAATTCTTCTTCTTCCAATGTGGCCCAGGGAAGCCAAAAGATTGGACACCCCTGCTCTAGAGACTTTGATCCCTTGGAGCCTAACAAGTCAACAGACTGGTTTATTACATGAATGATGAAATTCTGACAGGATCTAGTAAGCACAAGTAATAAGTTCCCTACAAACTTGCAAAAATATGTGGATGATGGTGTACATGAGATAAATCTCACAACAAATACAGAATACTAGTACCTCAGTGAAGTTGTTGAGAATATATTGGCCTGGGCTGATCTGAGACATGCACTCCAAAGTGAAGACACAGCCTACAACTTACTTAACTAAAGATATTTAATAACTGTTGTGCTTAGTTCAATTTTACAGGTGACATATACCATGTTTAAACACCCTTCTTCCGTTAATTAGATGGACAAAGTGTTTTATGCTTAGAGTGGAGGCCCTCCATGATAGCTTCTAAGATGGCTCCCAGTGATTTCCTACCTCCTTGTATTTAAGTCCATTTTAATTCCATTCCCTTGAGTATGAACTGGACCTACTAGTATTCAGCAAATAGAATATGGTGAAATTAAAGAGATTTCACTTCTACAATCAAGTTAAAATACAACATTTTGGCTTCCTTTATCCTTTCTCAACTGCTCACTCTGATGAAGCCAACAGTTCATAATGTTATGAACTGTGGCATGAAAATGTTCACACGTCAAAGAAGTAAGGGAGGTCCCCGGCCAACATTGAGAAAAAGAACTGAGACCCTCAGTCCAGTAGCCTTCAAGGAACTGAATGTTGCCAACAGCCACATGAATGAGCTTGGAAGCAGATTCCACCTCTCCTCCCCATTCAAGCCTTCAAATAAGACATCAGCCTTGGCCAACATTTAAATTCAGCCCTATGCAGGAAATTGAACCAGAGGACTCAGTTAAGCTGTGCCCAGATTCCTGATCCACAAAACCTGTAAAATAATAAATATTTGTTTCAAATCACTAAGTTTTCAGGGTAATTTTTCTTTAATACAGAAACAGGTAACTAATACAACACTTGAGATGGGCTAACAATCTGGTGCTTCCACCCCAACGCCCTTATTAAGAAGTTATTGTTCAATATATCTGCAGCAGACTGAAGTGATATGTGGTACCTGATGCAACCATGTGTAAGAGTAGTGGAACAGAGGACTGTTAGGTCAGGATCCATTTAGAGTGAAACCATTGTTTTTTTGAGAAAGAGTTCCTGATCATAGCAAAGCATATAACCACTGGACTTTAATGGCAACACAGACCAGAAGTTTTCCAATATTTCTAGCTAAACACATCCAACAGCATTTCATCAGAAACTAGTTCCAAACAGAACCTGAAGTCATAAAAAGTTACACATATACAGCTATGGTGCATCTTCACTCATTATATAATGACTTTATAGTATAATGACCAGTTGATGAAGATGAAAAACTGGAGCCTGATTTAAAGATGCCATCATACAACACAGTAGAGCCAGCCAGATCCATTTTGCAGCAGTGTTAAAACTTTTCTCAGGGATTATCAGGCAACAAAGAAAAGAAATCTTCTCACTGGCAGATGTTCAAAAACTATACCTTTTTTTTCACTTTGCCTCAAACGAGTAGATGGTCTCGGGTCAAGATATATACTGATTCTCAGTGACCAATGGTCTGGTCATATGTCTAATAAAGGAATAGTAATATGAGAGGGCTTTGTGGCAAAAAGTTTTGGTGAAAAAATATGTGGCTAAAGAGCTAGGAATGGACTTAGAGCAGTTCTAGAAAATTGTTGGTTTGTGACAGATTAGATATTTAAACAAACAAAAAACCCCGCAAATCTTTCACAACAGATGTCTTCAAAAGTGCTGGCTCAGAGTCTGAAAATATGTGTGTCCTATGTGAATATGCACCAGAAGGCCACCATTGCAAAACAGCCTCTCCATAATCAGAAGGACACAGTGAGCCTCTGTGGATGTCCGTTAGCCTCCTTTCCCCTCCAAGCCAGGGTTCATACAATGAGCTCAAGAAACAAAGTAGTTAAAGGGAAGACATGGGACAGATTCATGCATTTAACCATATGAAAATTTCCCTTACAAGGTTTGGCCTGGCTATACCTCTTGCTGAGACCAACTCCAAATCCATTATATGACACCATGCATTAGTGAACCAGCCAGCTCTCTGGTAGTAGGTTGATTACATGTGACCCCTTCTATCATGAAGGGGGAAAAGATTTGTCCGCACCAAATAGACACTTAATCTAGATTTGAAGTTACTTTCCCTGCTGCTGTCAATATCATTCATCCATGAAATTACTCAATGCTTTGTACTCTGCATCCAACCAAGAAACCAATTGAAAGTAAAAGAAGTAAACAGGGGGCTGTTTGTGAAATTCACTGGCCTTATTTTCTATCAATCAGCTATAAGTGACTGTTTCCCTAAACAATAGCAAAGTCCATTGAAAGCTGGGGGACAGCACAGCTCAATGGTAAGATGCTGTTTCTCCCACAGAGATAATCTTTCACTATCCCATACAAATAAACCCAGTGCCATGAACAAAGGAGTAATGGTAGAGGAGTTAAACATGTCTGTCAGGATTATAGCTAATAGGCCACTTTGAAAATTTTGACTTCTCTGGGTTGTATAGAGGGCTTATTGCAAGGGAATAGGCCCCTAATCATGGTTTCATTAAACCGTAAGCTAAAAACATAATCCGTCTTTATGAAACTCTTAATGTTAATGGGAAAATTCTGAAAAAGGAATTTTTTTAAATTATTGGATTTGACCTTCCAGGGCAAATATGATGGGTATTTAGGAATATTCAGGAAAAAGAAATGGTTCTTGTTGGCTGCCTTCTATTCTGCCATCACAATGGTCAAGGCTTTCTTTTATTAAGATTAAGTATTGTCCTTGCTCCTCCATATGAGTAAAGGAGCATAGTGAATTCAGGTAGAATATAGAAGGGGTAGGGGAAGTAGTAATTTATGACTATATTCCAGTTGCAAATCCAAGGGCACTCACTGGTCTCTCTATAATTTCATAACTTCCATAATAAATGTATTATGTGTTTTAATATACATGTTTCTTTCACCCCTCTAACATACATAGGATGTATTTATAATGGGAAAACTACTATTTTTCTCTAATGAACATAGAAAACTGAGATATGATCAACACATATAGAGAGGAAGATTAAGCATCACCAAGATATTTTGAGTTAGAAATTAGAGAAGAAATTAAGAGTCCCTTAGGCTGCAAGTAAAATCAAACTAAACTCAAACTATTTTTAGTCAGTCACACACCTGAAAGTTCAGAAGTAGAGCAGGCTTTCCTTCATTTTCCTCGGATTTTTTCTCATTTCTTCTCTCTACATCGGCTTGCTACTCGGGTGGAAGCCAATGCCCTGGGCAGAATAGACAATGAAGCTGGGCACAAAACACCCACAGTAAAAGAGACAATTACTTACTTCCTATCTCTCTGAAAAGCCAGAATTTTTTCCCAAGAAATATCTAAAGTTGTTTCTCTCAAAACTCACTAGTCAGAATTAAGGTATAGGATTTATTCTAAACAATATCTGACAAGGGAGATTTATTGCACATAAACATTTGAAGCTGTGATGGTCATTTGTGAAGTATATGTGTTTGTGAAGAAAGAGTTAAAATATAAGAATGAAAATTGGGGTGATGTTTAAAAGGGTGAAAGGGAGGCAAATACTAAGTAGACCATCAACAATGTACATGACAACACAGACCATGTAACATAAAATTTGAATGCGGGAACTGGGAATAAAAAATGTGTTGTCTCCTATTGGACAGAATGTGAGTGACTTTATGACAGTATTATGAAAATAGAAGGATCATACCAGAATCATATTAGTTCAGGCATCTTTGGGTGTAGGGAATAATAGTTTCTTTGCATTTGCACAGAGGTGGATCTCCAAAGGCTATATCTGTGCTGCATGATTCTGTACCCTTGGTCACAGCTGTATCACATAATGGTAGACTTTTGACTCACTGGAACCCACGTAGATGCTTTCTCTAGAATTTTGTGTCTGAATAGAGTGAACCAAAGACCAAAGATCCCTGAGGCTGTCATCCTCTTTGCAGTGACAGGGAAAAAAATATCTACAAACTCCAGCTAGTAAGAATTTCAGAGCTTCTCTTATCCATGCGTCTCCTGCAGTTTGGTTGTGTAGCTTCCATTAATGCTGTGATCAAATCGAATCACCTAGTAAAACCTATTTTTTTGCTGAAGTTATCTGATTTCTGTTACTCACAACCTTATATACTATTAAACAATACAGGTATGCTGTCAGGTTGGAAATCACTGATATAGTTCAAACTTTTAAAATTAACAATGAAGAAAATGAATTCCAGAAGTTGTAAGTTGCTTTATGCAAGGACATTCAGTTTCTTAGAAGTTAAACCGTAATTAGAACCCACACCCCCTAATTCTGCCCAATGATATTTAGGGATAGATATAAAAATTCTCACAACACAGCCACAGCTCTAATTTAGGACTTTTTTAAAAGAAAGTTTCTACCAGTGTTTTGTAGGCACCCTGGGAGATTGCTGACCTTACTGCAAGTGCTATGACCCACTTCCTGACATTTTCTGGGATTTAGTAGCCTTCTCTTCTTCTACTAGACACATTTTATTTTGAGACCTCCACCCTTCTGCCAACAAAAGCTTTTCCCATTTTAACCTTAGGACATCTGAGGAATAAAAAAAAAAAAGTTAGTGATTGTAAACCACATAGGTATGCCTCCTTTATGGTATAGTCTTGCAATGTGTTATAAGAACAACTGTCTGTTTTTGCAGATATAGTGATGAAAGAAGCCTGAAAATACCCTTAAAGGTAAGCATAACACAACAAAAAAGGGAAATGAAGAGTATAGCATTGGCATACATTTTTTAAATTGTTTAGTAAAATAAGCAGACTAATAGGTCTTAAAATGTAGGTTCAGTCCTGAATTATTAATAGTTTGGATTTTGATGGCATGTTGACCTTCAGTCAATTTGTTTTATTTCCTTGAAATAACAGTATCTGATCTTTGTCAGGTCTCATTCAATTCTTTTCACCTTGGCCTAAAAATATGTCAAACTTTTAAGAAATGTAGTAAGAATGTTGATGTCTGTTGTTCTTTTAGATTAAAGAATCTGAAGAAACGTTGATGCTCTTATGATCCCATTTCCCACCAAGGACACACATTTAAAGACATAAATTGGCTGGGCACAGTGGCTCACGCCTGTAATCCCAGCACTTTGGGAGGCCAGTGTGGGTGGATCACCTGATGTCGGGAGTTCGAGACCAGCCTGACCAACATGGAGAAACCCCGTCTCTATTAAAAAAAAAAATACAAAGAAAAATTAGCCGGGCATGGTGACGCATGCCTGTAATCCCAGCTACTCGGGAGGCTGAGGCAGGAGAATTGCTTGAACCCAAGAGGCAGAGGTTGCAGTGAACCGAGATCACGCCATTACACTCCAGCCTGGGCAACAAGAGTGAAACTCCGTCTCAAAACAACAACAACAACAAAAAAAAGTAAGTTAAGCTGTCTCAAAAGTACCAATATGATGTATATTTCATAGGTCAATCATATTTTGTAGGTCAACAGTATTTCCATTACTTGGAAAATGGAAATAAAAGGGAAATACAATAAAATATACTAATAAAGCTGTAAGAGTTGTGGAGAAAACAGTTGATCTATAAAACATTTTAAGGATTTCAAGTAGTATTTAACTTCATCTAACAGATATGAGTGAGACAAGGGGATTGATGCTCATGTGATCAGAAACTGCCATCTAGATTACAAAGGGTCTGTGTCACATCCAGGCATGAGTAGGTACCAATTTGTCTTCAGCTGGCATTTCTCTTATGTTTTAAGCACCCACCTTTCACCTCTCTGTGCCCTAGAGGTCACTTCTGAATACCTGACTATTCAGGGTTTCTGTTCTACTATATCGCAATTTTAAGCAATTTTCTTCATATACCTCTGATTATTGGTATTTCATCTTGTCAATACTAAGAGTTGGATTGAAACTAAGCTGGCAGAGAACTTCTTGCCAATGTGTTAACTGGCAAAGGTAAATTTCTGCATCACCCACTTCTAACGGAATGCCCATTTTTACAGGTAGTTCCTAGCGTAGTGCTTCAAGTCAAATAGTGTTTGAGATGATGGAAGATTTTGGCCCTCAGAAGGCTCAAAAGTGGGCCCACAGTTCTTGACTTTCCTCTGGTCACATATTGTGCTTCTGAGAAGCTTTGTGTGATTTATGAGAATGAATGAGGGGTAGCCCAATCAGAGCCTGACATATAGGGTGAAGCCTATATTGAATGAAGTTTAGTTCAGTCCATGTGTATACCACATTATCAATACCCCCGTGTCTTCATCTGTAGACAAAATAGGCAACAGATTAATTGAATCTTTGAGGAAGCACTAGCCTTTTCTTAGATTCTTAATTTCTGGCAGCAAAAAAGGCAAACAGTTGTCTGCCTCCTATGATTCAGCAAAGAATTTATTTGTGATTCCTGAGCAATAAGCAGAGCACATTTCCTACAAGGATTTGGTAGGGGGAAAAAAGGCATTTTATTAATGTGGTTGAACACTGATTGAGCTTGATCAACAATACAGAACAATCTGCTTTCTAGGTAGTGGTCAGAGAAAATGGCTCCAGACTCTGTGCCTGTCTTCTTAGTACATCCTCTAGAGGAGATCATAGTCTCAGTCAAGGGAATTTAAAGAGTCATATCCAATAACTCTGACAACTCACAATAAATCTCTCTGATTTGTACCACTCCTCAGGCAATTAGGACCATGTGCCCTTTTAATGAATCCCTGTTTTAAATTCCATTTCTAATGACTGAATGCCTGTCCTAGTTTCCCTGTTTCTGTCTTAATTCCCTGGATTTTCATTACAGTAGATTTAGTAGACTAGGGGTGATAAACCCCAATCCAGAGACAAAATCTAGACCATCACTTGTTTTTGTAAAGAAAATTTTATTAAACAGTCATGTTCATTTGTTTATGGAGTGTCTGTGGCTACTATTATCTTACAATGGCAGAATTGAGTATTTATAGTGACTACGTGACCTGCAAAGCTAAAAATACTCACTGGCCCTTTACAGAAAACGCTTCCTAATCCCTGACCAAAACCGTGAGTTTTTGCCAGTTCCCCTGGCATCCATCCCAAAGTTTTTATCTTTATTCTATGGCTTCATCTCTTTGATGGCTGCCTGAATATCTTCCCTAATTTCTTTGCATTATTTCTACTTCATATAATTTTTAATAAACTTATTAGATTAGAATAATTTTAGATCTACAGAAAAGTTACAAGAATAGTATAGCATTCTTATATACCTGTACTCAGTTTCTTTTCATACCTTTATTACAACTATTAAAGAAATATTGATACATTATTATTAAGTAATGCTCATACTTTATTCATATTGTCTTAGTTTTTGGCTAACATCCTTTTTCTGTTCCAGAATTTCATTGAGGATGCTATGTAGCATTTGGTCTTCATGTCTTTTTAGGTTCCTTTAGATTGTAATTGTTTCTAAGAATTTATGTGGTTTTAATAATTCTTACTTTGTGATGACCTTGGAAGTTTGGAGGAATATATTGGTCATGTATGTTGTAGAATATTTTTAAATTTAGGTTGTCTCATTTTTTCTCATGGTTAGACAAGGGTTAAGAGGAAGGCCACTGCTCTGTTTTAAATGTGTCCCCACCAAAATTCACGTGTTAAAATTTAATGGCCGATAGTATTAAAAGGTGAGGCCTTTAAGAGTTGATTAGGCCATGATGGCTCCTCCCTTCATAAATGGAATTAAAGCCCTTATAAAAGAGGCTTCATCTAGATTTAGCCCTTCTTCAACCTTTCTGTACCTTCTGTCATGTGAAGAAACTGTTCTTCCCCTCTGGAGGATCATCAAGGTACCAATTTGGAAGCAGAAGCCCTCAGCAGACAACTGAACCTGCCAATGCCTTGATCTTAGACTTCCCCGGCTCCAGAAAAAAAAGTAATTTCTGTTCTTTGTAAATTACTCAATCTATGATATTTTGCCATAGCAGCACAAACGGATGAATACAACCACATGCCGTTCTCATCAAATCACATCAATTGTATGTGCAATCAACATGACTTATCCCTCTTGATGTTGACCTTCATTACTTGGATGAGCTAGTGTTTGCCAGTTTCTTCACTGTAAAATTATGCTCCCCCATTTCATGCTGTACTCTTTAGAAGGAAATCACTATGCACCATCCTTTGCATTTTTATCAGCTTCTCTGTAGCCTCATACTATTTTTATACTTTGTCACTTCCAAAACCCTAGCTGGTTTTTTGCTAATGCCTGCATAGGTTTGTGTTTATTTTCTGTCACCATACACTGGATACCATGCACTACCATCTCACAGGACTTCTGGCTCACTGCTAAGTACCTGTGTCTGCATGGCTTTCCCATTCTGCTGGACCTCTCCACTTTACATATGCTATTTTTCTCTGCTTTAAATTATGATCTTGCCAATCAAAGTTAATTATAGCAAAATAGATTGAGGTATGAAAGTTGAAAGATAGAAAGAATATGTATGAATTATTACCACTAACACTTATGACATGAAAAAATCTGACAGTAATTCCAAATGAGTTGGTGGAGATAGAAGGACATTAAAATTACTCTATTTAGCAAGCACATGAAAGCATATAACTGAAAGCTGATGAGAAAACCAGATTTGTACAATTCTCGAGAAAAGATAGGATCTTGGGTAAGATAATGGATATTAATAGTGTATAATTACATACAAAATATAGCACAGGCATATAATTATCTAATTTCAGAAAAGGTAAAAATTTAACAAAGCTTACAGCACATTGGGACAAGAGATACCATAAGGACCCATAAAGAGGAGCATCAGGGAATATCTCACAAAAACATGCATTTTAACCAACTGAAAATTGCAAATTTATTGTAACAAATAAAAATAAAAGTGAAGATGAGTGAGGAATCTACTCAAATAAGAAAACTACTTGCTTCTGGACTTGTTAGAATATAAGGTAAGCTTCATGAAAATCATGTTGGGGGTCAAGTAACTGCTTTTAAGAACTGGAGATCACAACAATCCAGGAAAGCATTTTAGCTGCTACTGAGCTTAAGGTTGGAAGTAAAAGTACGCCCTGCCCTTGGATGTATTTACAGAAATGGTAATGTTTATTAGTATGTGAGAGTCAGCCATTAGGTGTTACTACCTTAATCTGTATCAAAATGCATAAGAAATAATTGAATTAGGTATTAAATAGCTTTTCAAGTTAAAAAAATTTTTTTCCTAATTTAATCTCCAACCAATTTGAGATTCGCTAACAATTTCTTTTTTGGTAGCTCAAGTCCATTAACTCAAACTTCTAGCATACAAAGCATCTCAATTTTAGTGACTACATTTTTTTTTTCTCAAGGGTGTTTGTTAGTTTTGTGTGAATTTCTATTTAGATAAACAGCAAATTATGTTGATAAATACTGCAGTTAAGTGTGTGGAGGATTCCAGCTGTGTGTTTTCTCATCTGTGAAGAGGTTTGGGAGGGAAAGTTAACCTTGTTCTTTCTGTTTTTTGTAAAGTGAAGCTCTAGCCTTTGGGATAGGTGATAATTAGAACGAAGAGTAGGGCATTTAACCAAAACATTTGACTACCTAATTAGACTTAGTTTTCTTCAGATTGCACAAAGAATGCTTCAGGCTTCCTGATAGCAGTGGGCACACTCCTCAAGCTTCCATTGGAGAAGGTCTTAGGAGGCTTGCCTGAGAAAGGACTGCAGAGTGGACTTCACTGATGCTGGTGGCATCAGGGGTCATGCAGTGCCTGTGAAGGAAGGATGTGGCTTGCCTTTCTGTCAGATTTTGTTTTCATCTTCTGGCTTTGTCTCTGAACACATCTAGATTTCTTTTTTCTTCCATGAAACACACTGTTTTCAAAAAGAACTCAGAGTGAAAATCTAAGGCTATAATTTGCTTTAGTGAAATATACAAGATGAGTGTCTAAAGTATTTCCTCAGAGGCAAGTCTGAATTCTACTGCCTAAGATATTAGAAATGATGATTGGTACACATTATTTACCCATCTGACTTAACTCTCTTCAAAAAGGTACATTGATACATACATTTAAATATTTTATATTGACTGAATATCCACAATCTATGCTTATAGTTTTATTAATATAATTTATCTTTCACTGGCCTTTTAATTCTTGACTTCCACCGCCTTTAACTTCTGTATTATTGACACATTTTATAGCTCTAGCTTTAGGGTCATGGTGTTCTCATAATTATCTAGGTCAACAATTCTTTATTGATTGAGAAATAAGATTATTGAACTACTGGTCATCCTTGTAAACACCATGTTTCTTGGATTAATTTCAACTGATTTTTCATCAGATTATAAAAAGTATACTAGATTGAAATAAGGATAATTCTCAAGCAAAATCATTCATTTATCATCATCTGTTTAAGAATTTGAAATACAAATCATGAGGATACAAAGACACATACTTTATCTTAGTCTAAAAACCTTAGCTATGTTTTCATTTGCATATGTTTTATTCCACCCACCTCTCCTCCCTCTACATCTCCTCCCCACCAATAGATTAATGATGCCATAATATGTATGCCTATACTTAGAATAGTGTTGCTGTGATGGATGGACACAGAAATGTACTGCACAGATTCTGGCTTGAAAGAATTGCTTGTTACCTAAACTACTGGAAGCTTCGTCAGCCCCTCTAGGGATTGCCATAGCAGTGGAAAATATGATCACCTTGCCCAAGGGTGATCCACATCTAATGGTCGATTGATGCCAGGTTATAAAGGCCTGATCACTTTGGCCTAGTGTGGCATAACACTGATGAGTTGTTTTTGCTCCAGCAGTTCCCAGCTGACTATGGAGAAAGCCAAGATGCACTGTGTCCTGTATCACAGCTCTACTACTCCCATGTAATCTTTCCTCTCCTTTTCCTTTCCTTCCTACAACTAAACTCCATCTGAGTCTGCTTTCAGAATCTACAAGCGACTTGCTGGTGTCCAGCAAGGTAATAAATAGACCTTTCCAAACAAGCAGTCCAGTGCTAGATGCTAGCTGCACTACATAGAGATCTTACATAGTACACTCCATGCAGCTAGAACTACATATATCTTATGCACGTTAAAGAATAGTGACAATTCTAACATTCCCTTAAGATTTGTAGAACTTAAAAGAGGACAACAAAGACAAAAGGTGTGGCAATGTTGTATAGTGGCAGAGCAATAATTCATAATTCTTAACAAAAGAAGGAAGTCAAAACTAGAATTATTTTATTCATTTGCTATAATAAAAATAATGTTGCAAATATTGGCATAAAACAAAAGGTGCCTAAGTACCATAGAATAGTGAGAAGGTATATGTGGTCATTGAGAGCTTCTCTGTACAGGTGATGATTTAAGGAGGTGAAATAAAAATGATTTAAGACTATCAAGCAGTAGGAAACAGCTACTTATTTCATCACTGTTGAAGAGTCAACACACTAATCTTGTAAAGACCTGGGGAAGGGGTCTCTTGTTTATGTTAGCATCATCTGAAGTTTGAAACCAACACCTAACGGACTTCTTGAATTAAACTAGGCCAGGGATTCCTTTAGAATTAAAATGGGAGGAAAAAGTTTTCTAGGTACGACTGTTTCAAATTCCCTTCTAATGAGAAGATTAAAGTGAAATTCACTACCAAAGTTGGAGAATGAAGAGATGTGTGACAAGAAATAAACTGGCCATTCCAAATACATCCTCTGAGGCTTGATTGGCCCACAAGGGCAATGATTGCAGAATACAGAGGGGACTAAAAAGTTACAGGAAGGAGGCCGGGCGCAGTGGCTCATGCCTGTAATCCCAGCATTTTGGGAGGCCGAGGCGGGTGGATCACCTGAGGTCGGGAGTTCAAGACCAGCCTGACCAACATGGAGAAACCGCGTCTCTACTAAAAATACAAAATTAGCTGGGCGTGGTGGCATATGCCTGTAATCCCAGCTACTAGGGAGGCTGAGGCAGGAGAATCGCTTGAACCTGGGAGGCAGAGGTTGCAGTGAGCCGAGATCCCGCCATTGCACTCCAGCCTGGGCAACAAGAGCGAAACTCCGTTTCAGAAAAAAAAAAAAAAAGAAAAAAAAAAGTTACAGGAAGTAGGACAGAATTTCAAACTTTCACCAGGAAACAATTTTATTAAAAACATGAAAATTATATTTATGATTGTTCAATGAATATTAATGAAGAACATTTGCAGGGCTGTAAATTATAGAGATATACAATTATAACAATAATAAACCATTTATTCTAAACCTGAGAATGACAATTTATGTGAAAGTACTTTATAAATTTAAAGAAAAACAAAATGTTACTTAGCAACAACACACTCAGCAAATATATTAATTGCATGGTGAGTGAAACTACTGGAAACATTATCATTTTTATTAGTAGTAGTATGAAAAGGTCTCTTTGTCTTCGGTATACATCAGTTTTACATGCAGTAATAAATATTATAATTAGGTATATTTAAATACACATTTGTATGTGTATACATTGATTTCTGAATCAATATTTCATAGGTAATGTAAGCACAATCATACTTCTGGTTAATCTCAAAAAAAGAAATGTTGTTTTCAGACATTCATTGTAAGAAATCTAGTCAAGAGTGATGATTTATTTTATTAACTAATATTGTATGGAAACCTATCAATTTACCACTGGCTTTTATAGTTGCTAAAGCATGAGGGACCTCGGATTATTTAGGAACTCAATGTCATATTCCACATTCTCTTCAGAAAAAGTAATCTCAGATGATCGGCTATCAAGCTTCTGTCCAAAACTCACAGGAAAGAGGAAATATTTATGGAAACTTGACAGATTTTCAGTCTATTCATTTTATCTTTAAATGAAGCTGAGCTCCTTGAGGGAAACATTCAAGTATCTTATGATTTGATTTTCTTGTCTAGTTACAATGGCCTTTCATAGCAAGGATAATATTTAAAAAGTAGTAATGTAAGGTATTCTATTATGTCTTCTTCTTTTTTTTTCTCTCATTTTTAAACACTTGGTCTTGGATCAAAGTGGTTGCAGAATATGATTAGAGCTATAAAGCTGCTCCCCAGAAAAGAAAAAAAACTCTATAAAAATGTGTAAATATGCACACTTCGTTTTACATTTACTTTAACTATACACACACCCCCCTGATAATCATTCATGGACTTTAAGGGCAGAGATAGCAAGTTGAAACCTTCTATAGTAGTTCACACTAATTCTAGTGTTTTTTCTTTAAGCCTCCTACTGGCTATTGGTTTCAGCTAATATTTTACTGTGAGTTTATCAGGAGTTTTGTACAGGATATTGAATTTCCTCACAGGACATTTTACAAATTACTCAAATAATTTTCTCATTAGATCTATTAATATAGTGTTTTTAAAAAACATATTTTTTCTCATACAAGAACACTTTTGTATCCTCAAACTAGGTCTACTTGTTCTATTTTTATTTACTGCTGGATTTTAAGGGTTCTCTAATACAATCACTCTCCCAGAAGAAGGCTTCTCACCACGTCCAGTTTTAAGTATTATTCTAAAAGTGTAGCAATACAGTAATACTTCAATAACAGAAAAAAAACATATAAATTTGTAGAACACATTTTGGTAAGACAAATATTAAAAAATTTCACTGTTGCTAAAGATATGATAGTTTCTCCAGAGAATAATCTAAAGAACAATTTAAATAAAAATTTTTAGTAAAGTGGCCAATTATAAACAAAGTTTACAAAACCAGTATAATATGGTTTGGTTGTGCCCTCATTCAAATCTCAGCTTGAATTGTATCTCCCAGAATTCCCACATGTTGTTGGAGGGACCCAGCGGGAGGTAACTGAATCATGGGAGCCTCATGCTATTCTCGTGATAGTGAATAAGTCTCATGAGATCTGATGGGTTTATCAGGGGTTTCTGCTTTTGCTTCTTCCTCATTTTGTCTTGCTGCCGCCAAGTAAGAAGTGTCTTTGCCTCCCACCATGATTCTGAGACCTCCCCAGCCATGTGAAACTGTAAGTCCAATTAAACCTCTTTTTCTTCCCAGTCTTGGGTATGTCTTTATCAGCAGTGTGAAAATGGACTAATACATAGCGTTTCCCACATGTTAACAAAAATTACTTGACAATATAATGAAGTTTCTATTCACAAAAATAAATAACTTCTATTCTTTAATAAGAAGTATATGAAAAAATGGATGGCATTTTAAGAGTTGCATAAGTGAAAGGAACATATTTTTGTACAGTAGACTCCAGATTATTCTAACTAAGATGAATTTAGTGACTACATAAAAGAGATTGTGCTGGAACTTGATACAATAATTTATCAGAGTAAATTATAAAGGTAGTAATATAATAGGATTTGTTTTATTAGATGTTAAAATGTTTCAGAAAATTAGAGTGTAAGAAATATACAATTTTTATGAAATAAACATAATAGAATAGAAAGTCCATAAGCAGATCCATATATTATAACATATTTATTAGTAAGATGAAAATTTAATTCTTTGTCAAGGCTATAATTTAACAAATAATGTAAAAAATACAAATTTAGATTTTCATATCACTTATTACCCAAAAATAAGTTCTATATGAATAAAGATGTAAATAAAATAACAAAAAGGCAAAACACTAAAAAAATTAATATTTGTGCTCTTTTTCTGGGTAGATAATGTCTTTGTAATAATAAATGTAAAGGTAGAAACAAACAAAAGTATTACTGGATTTTACTACTTAAAATTTTAAAACATTTGTATATCAAAATTACCTTAAAACAAACTGGGAAAGATGGCAGCATTTATTACAAACATCTAATATAATTATGTAAAAAATTGTTTAAAAGCAAGTTGAAGGACAAAATGACTTTAATAAAAGAAATAATCTAAGCACATAAAAGACAATTCACAAATAAAGAAAACAGAAAGGACAATTAAAAATGTTTCAAATGTTTACTAAAAGTAGCAATCATAAAAATATACATTTTAAAAAATAAGATGATATTCTTATCTTCTATCATTAGCTAATAAAGAATGGTGAAATCTAGCATCAGGGATAAAATGGATTATTATTCACTCTAGACCACTGCCAAGAGAATAATTTAAATATATATAGTCGCTTATTTATATCTATCCAAAATTACCTTTAATGAGTGAATATGCTAATGTTTCATTATTAATATCTCAGTAATTTGTAACCAAGTTCAAAATTTTGAGCTTAACTGTATTTTTAAAATTTTTCTTCAATAAATATTTTGGTAGTGTAACAGAAAGAAAAATTAATATTAGCTTGGACAACATGGTGAAACCCTATCTCTGCAATAAATGCAAAAATTAGCCAGGCATGGTGGCAGGTTCCTGTAGTTCCAGCTACTCAGGAGGCTGTGGGTGAAAGAATCAGCTGAACCCGGGAGGCTGAGGCTGAAGTGAGCTGTGTTTACGCTACTGCACTCCCGCCTGGGTGACAGAGCAAGACCCTGTCTCAAAAAAAAAAAAAAATTACAAAAAATTGAAAGGTATCCATCCCCTCCCATCAAAAGTATCAAATTGAAACTGAGGTTTAATACTTCTTTGCCTTTGAATTAATCGATTATCAAGGTAATGGGCAGACGCCTCAGAACTTATTTCTAAGTTTTAAAATCACACACTGTTAGCAAGCTTCCTCCATCTCCAAGATGGCTGGTTTGGTTATTGCTAAGAATTGTGCCATGATCGCCACTGAATAGAGGGAAATGAAAGATATAAAGGACTTTTTTTGCAGAGGAAACACCTGAACCAACAAAAGTAGTCCTGCTTCTAAGAATCTAGAATTAAAATAAGCACACTGGTAAATAAAATATGCTTTAGTTCTTTTGGCAATGAGAAGCGAATGAACCACTGTCTGACAAAAGACATACGTAATTATAGTGATAGGAGGCAGACAAATTCTTAGGCAGATAGGAACGGGACCTCCGTGAAACTCAACCTTCCAGCCAAGGACAGCCTAAAGCCTAAAAACCAAGCTACAAATTCAGGATAAATTCATGGACCAGATTGAGAACTTATATTCCTGTTTGGTACACTCTCTCCTGATTCGTCCTTATCCCTCACATTTTACATATACCTACCTTCCCCCAGTTGATTTTTTACACTATCATCCAGAATGGGGATTACATTGTCTTTCTGAATGGTGCTTTTTCCAAGCCTACCCAAACCAATCAGCATGCACTTCCTCATGCCAAGCCCATAAAAGCCCCTGGACTCAACCTCATTGCCGGCAACCCACTTTCGGGTCCCCTCTTACTGCCAGGAGCTTTTCTGTCACTCAATCAGTTCTACTCTGCCTTACCCACTCTCTGATGTCTGCATATCTCATTCCTCTCAGTTGTGGGACAAGAACTCGGAACTCACTGAACTACAAAAGAACTTAACATTCCTACTCGCCAAACTACAAGAGTAAAAGAGCTATAACAGTAGCTGGTCATGTCCAAATGGTTTGTCAATCTATGAGAGGAGATACTGTAGTTAATAAACCAGCAGAAAGATAATGCATATTGGTCCAGAATTTTCAAGAACAGATTGGGTCTCTTTAGGTTGGAACTGTTCATTCATGGATCCACTAGAAACAAAGAAATTGTACTTTCCCTGCAGGGTAGATCATGGAAGGGTATTATTTTTATTCATGTATTGATATATTGGTTCATTTAATATGTAGTGAGGATTATCTAAATACCTAACACTGGACCAGCAACTACAAAAAATTAAAAAATATATATATATTATAAATTACTTCTAGAAACTAAAAGCATTACTCAATATTAATGTATCAAATTTCATTCCTGATCATTGTACTAATGGCTCCGTTCTCTAAAAGATTCAATTCACACATGGGATTCATATTATGTTTCTCTGATACAAGGCAGTGCAAATGTATATTCAGCTGGATCCATTAAATTCAGCCTCAGGCAAGAAAGACACCTTTTGTTCAAACAGCCAGTCTGATTGCTCCCTTGTACCTCCCACTGCCTTATGATATGATATTCCCGCAACTGTCTCTGGCTCCAGGTTACGGCTTTACATCCTCCATCCTTGGTTCCTCAAGTAAGGAAACACCATCCTCCTAAGCTACGTTCTTAACTAGTTCTGTTAAGTTCTATGCTGTTGAGTTTAACAGATGTCTCCCTAAAAACAAACTGCAGTTGAAAAACATAATAAATCTAGTTTTTCTTAAAATCAAGCTAACACATTCCAACAATTGAGTAGATCCAATCAATTATGTCACTTAGGCTGACAAAAATCTCAGGATCAAGCTCATATTAATGTCAGAATGAACTGTCATTCCTTATTTATGACTTTTCTATTGACAATCCATTTAATTGTTATGTATTACAGTCAAAAAATATATCACATTATAAAAAAAGTATTTTTCTGAAGTGAAGGGAGAATAAAGTTTGACAAAGATACTTGTGAAAAATCTGACACAGCCATACAAGTAATTATTCTTGTTACTTTTTGTTTTCATTAATTTACCCTGTACCTATTTGACTTTTGGCAATTAAGATGTATTTCTCATATATTATTTATTTTAATAAGAAAGTAGATAGAGACGTGTGTGTGTATGTGTGTATTTTAGCATCTCAGGTTTTAATATACATACAAGCTGTGTTTTTCAATAATGTTTTAAAATTAAGTGTTGGACTATAAAATATATGGGAAAATTATTTATTATGAGGGACAACACTTATTTCCTACTTCCCCATGTTCCCAAATAGATCTAAGATGATCTGTGTCTCTTACACACTTCTTACACCTCCTCACAGAAAATAGTGAATAAGCAAACACTTAAAAGTCTGCCTGTCTGCTTTCATTTCTCTGTCATTTGGCTCCAAACTTGGGCAAAAAATTAGACACAATATCTATCGGTGTCTTATCACCTCAGCAGTGTTAATAAACTATTTGTTGTTTAATAAATAAGTAAATAATTAACTATAAATAACAGTTTATAATTAACTATTTGTTGACTACTAATAAACTATTTGTTGATTACTCATTCCCTGACCAACTGGAGCTAATGATCTCTAGTTTTATATAGGGACAGCTCTGTGAAACTTTAGAACTACAAAGATCCATCCAGATAGGACACAAAATATCTGATATTCTATTGAATAATATTCTTATTGACTATTTTCAATTAGCGCCTTCCCCACACCATTAACTCAAAGCATACTGTATAATTTTTTCTTTATTTTTCTGCAAAGGTATCCAGGAACAACAAAATGAGTCTTAGCTTTAGACATATATTTTGTTTGCATTTTAAAAATTTCAATGGGATAATATTAACATATAACTCCTTAATAAACCCAAGTTTATTTCAGTCTACGATCCAGTTTTTTCTTCAGTTAGAACACAGTTACCTGGTTTTGTCCATGATACAAATATAGAAAATAAAGCATGTGGAAATGCTTAGCATTTTTATTCGACACCAATTTTACTGAGTGACACTATCTATGAGGTTGTTCAGCATGGAAAAATATAAAACATTTCATAATGGCTAAAGTAAGTTTTTACTCTAAAATGATTGTTTTGCTATTTAGAACACATCCTAAGACAAGCATTTTTCTCTGTCATTCCGTTTCTGTTTGCCACTCTTTATTTTAAATTAGAATCAAATCTTTTATGAATATGTAACTTGTTCAAGTGTAGGACAATTGAGCTCAAAAAATTCTGTCAATTGCAGTCCTCAAACTTATTTTCCTGACAAAAAGAAACCAATTTATATCTAAAAGAAATATCAATTTCCTCTCACAAACTATGCAAGGTTAACCCTGCTGAATAAAGACAGAAAATACCAGATGAAATCAGCTATTTGTACTTAAAGAGTTAGCAGCAGCAGTACAGGAAGTTTAGCAAATAGGAAAGAGTAGTAAAAGTTTTTTTTTTTTTTAAGGAGGGGTGTAATATTTTTTTTTTGTAAAACTGCTTAGTTTTTTAAAATTCTAGCACAGTTCATAAGCCACAACTGTTAAAATTGGTGAACAATATATCTGATATTCTATTGATAGATAGCTGATAAGTCTGTCACAAATGAAAGGATACATAGAAAGATGCTCAGAGATAGATAAGTAGGTAGAGATATTTTATTGGTATTTCTCTATACATGTTATTTGTAATAGAGTATTTAGTTGTATTTAACAGAGAAAAACTTGCAGGGAATCTCAAGTAAAATTGAATGATTTACTAATTCATTTTTCAAATGCCTTTTTCTCAAAACACAATATTTCTTTAAAAATTGGGAAGATACTTTTTAAAACATTAGGAGAGTGAAGTTGCTTTTTTGTAACAGTACATTAGACGTTTACAAAGAAAATCCGTTTCTCATAGAAGCCTTCTCAAACACTCCAATTTATCTCTTACTTCCCATGTTTGTTGCTATCTCATTATCCTGATTTAATTCCTTTAAGGCATTTATCACTAAAGGGATTATTTATTTACCTCTTCATAGTGCTTTCTGTCTTTATTCACTGGAGTGTAATACTCCTGAAGACAGCAACTTTATACCATTTTTAGACGCAAGTATGTGTTGACTAAATACCATGAAAGATGAGATAATTGGTACTCACATACTTCCTCTCACCTCTCCTCCCCTCCTGCCAAAAATTATTATTACATTACTATTTTTACATTGTCAAGATGTAATACAACTATATTTTGTTCCATAATCTTAATTCCCACATGTGCTTAGTCTTAATTCTGTGTGTAAATTAGTTAAGTGCTCACCATCATTCTCCTTGCTGCCATTCCCATTTTCAGGTCTCAGCATTCTGATTCAACACTGAATCAGCTGCATTTGGTCACTGGGAAGATTTTCCAAGATGAGTGACCGAATGTTATTTCCCCGAGTTCTGACGTTTGAGGCTGTCTCTCCATTGCCCTCATACTTGAAACTCATATCAACTGGATGTATTATTATTGAGTCACATTTATTTTCTGCACAATTGTACATGCATCATTTTTTTCTCTTTGGGACTTTATCTCGCAGTAGAGAAGTCTGTATCAGTCAAAACCGTTCACCCTTACAGATTATGTGTCTTTGTACCTGAACATATGAACATTTCTCTTGCTCTAGAAATTTAATAATTTGCCAGGCCATGTATTAATGTTGATCATTCCAGATTATTTTTTTTCAAGCACTCAGTACTCTTTTCTTCTTCAGATTAATATTTTTTGCTTTATTTCAAAAGAACTTTTCTTCATGACAACTTCGAATTTATTTTTTTTCTCTCCCATTAGTTGGCTTCTTCTCTACTTCAAGAAAACACACTACGGTTACATCTGCTCCATTCACCTCTCTTCACATTAAATTTCTGTCACTTTGTTTCCAGCTACTTGTCATCTATGATTTGTCAAGCTTTTCCCATAGGTTATATGGGAGAGAGTCATTAAACAACACACAAATAAATATGAAATTACAACTTTTACTTATCAAATGGCAAATTTGATAAGTGCTGTAAAGGAAAAAATTCAGTGTCTTGATGGAATTACAGGGGCCCCCAATTTATATCAGGTAGTCAAGAAAGAGTTATCAGAAGTGACATTTAAGCTGTGACACAAAGGCTGAGTCAGAGTTCATCAGATGAAGAATTAGGAGAGAATCATTTCATTCAGCAAGAATGGCATGTGTAAACTCTCCCCCTACACTGAGAAAGTGCATGACATGCTTGAAGAACTAAAAGCCATAATATCCAAAGTGCAATGAATGCCAGGAATAAGTAAAATGACTTAAAATGATTTTTGAGAGGTAGGAAATGTCACCCAGGGCACAGCAAAAGCTTCTAATTTTAATCTATATCTGATTATAATCCAATCAAGGGTTTGTTTTAAAGGAAGGATATGAGGAATGTGTAATAATAAAATAACACTTTGGCAATTGTATGAAATTTGAGGAGTAGGACAGAAGAGTGAATGAATAGACTAATAGTGGTTATATTCTGGTTAAGAATTGGTGATGTTTGCATGATGGTGAGAGCAATGGACATTAAAAGAAATGGATACATTTAAGATACCTTTTACAGTTAGAATTGACAAGATTTTCTAATGAGTTAAGTGTTGTGTATGTGATAAAAAAGGATGGCAAGAAAAATGTCTTTATGTTTCCGACTTATAAAAGGATGGGTAGAGACATCATTTACCAAGTCAGGAAAAATGAATAATGCTGTTTGTTTAGCACTGGAATTTGGAACATTAAAGTTTTTCTGTATATATGTTAAATTTGTTGTGTTCATTGGACAGCAAAGTGAAATGTGAAGTAGGCAGCTGTATATGTGGGTTTACTGCTTAGTAGAGTGATCACAACTGATAGACATAAGGCTGAAAATCATCTTAAGTATGACTTAAAAATGGTAATTACCTGGTAGGATTACATGATATAATCATGGTATAATTATATCCTATCATTCAGGGAATGTACAAAGAAAAGAGAAAAGTAGTAAAATATTTGCCAAATACTTATTATAAGCCAGGCATTTTTTAAAGCACTTTACTTGTGTTAACTCAAATCTTCCAACAACCCTGTGGAGTAGGCTACTCATATCATTTCAGTTTTATTGATGAGCATTCTGTGACACAGAGAAGTAACATGTTCAAAGTATAACTAATTACATTTCTGGAACAAAGAATATTAAAGGAAATAGCAGAGAAGAGGAGAGGTGAGAAGAGGGGAAGAAGAGGAGAATAATACTTGAACCAGGGACACCCTCAACATGTAAAGGTGATGAAGTAGCAGAAAAGACATAAAAAAAAAAATCCAGAAAGTAAGAGGAAAATCAACAGCATTCCCAAAAGAGGACATTTAATAGAATTAACTCTCTTTCACACACACACATCCCCCACGTGATGTTCAACTCTGTTAAATGCTGCAAGCTCTTTAAAGAAAATAAAGTCAAATAAATTTTCCTTGGTTTGGCAACATGAGGGTAATTGGAGACACTGATAAAAATAGGTGGAGTATAGGCTGGGTGTGGCAGCTCATGCCCATAATCCCAGCACTTTCACTTCAGCCCATGAATCTGAGATCAGTCTGGGCAACATAGTGCAGCCCTGTCTTGATAGATAGATAGATAGATAGATAGATAGATAGATAGATAGATAGATAGATAGACATGGTGTCATGTGTCTGTGGTCCCAAGTAGTTGGGAGGTGGCTGAACTGGGAGGATCACTTGAGCCCAGGAGGTAGAGGCTGCAGTGAACCATAATCATGCCAGCGCATTCCAACCTGGGCAAAAGAGTGAGACCCTGAAAAAAAAAGGAAAGAAAAAGAAAGAAGGAAGAAAGAAAGAAAGAAAGAAAGAAAGAAAGAAAGAAAGAGAGAGAGAGAGAGAGAAAGGAAGGAAGGAAGGAAGGAAGGAAGGAAGGAAGGAAGGAAGGAAGGAAGGAAGGAAGGAAGAAAGAAAGAGAAAGAAAGAAAGAAAGAAAGAAAGAAAAGAAGGAAGGAAGGAAGGAAGGAAAGAAGGAAGGAAGGAAAGAAGGAAAGAAAGAAAGAAGGAAAGAAGAAAGGAAGGAAGGAAAGAAAGAAAGAGAAAGAAAGAAAGGAGAGAGAGAGGAAGGAAGGAAGGAAGGAAAGGAGACAAAAACAAAAAAAATGTCTTTGGAGTGGAGTGGCAGTTATGGAAGCATAGCTGGACTAATTTGAAAAGTGAATGTGGCACTCCTGTTTGTTATATAGAAGTCTAAATGTGTAGAGACTGACCTAAACCAACATTTTATCCTATATATGATACATGATACACCAAACATATTTTAATCCATTTAAGGCGTGTAAAGATGTGAAGAAAGCTTTAGCTCACCAAATGGACAGATCAAATGGGAATGATAAGTGGCAAGCACACTTGAAATTTGAGGTTGCCTTGGGGACAAATGTGGATACTAGGATGGAAAAATGGGAACCAAAGATTTAGTCATGTGCTTGTTAAGTTAGAGCACCAAATCTGAGTGTCTCAGAAAACTTGGACCCTCAAAAGGAGTTCAAGCAGTCCCAGACTTTAATAGCATAGCTCTGGAGGAATAGATAGATGCATATCACTCCAGTACATATATATTTGCTGCATAAAAGTTTAAAAGAAATCTACATCTAGACTCATCATCCAGAAACTAGCAAACCAAAGACAAGGAGAACAATCTTAAAAGTGGTGAGAAAATTACAGCACAGTTCCTTCAAAAAAAAAAAAAACCAAACTGCAGTTAAATTGACCCATGACTTATCCAGAGCAATAAAGTCAGGAATACAGAGAAAAAGGTGGCCAATGTGCTGAAAGAGAACGGTAAAACTAATATTTACATGAAGCAAATTGTCCTTTAATAATGATAGGCAGTGAAAATGTTCTGAGAAACACTTGCATGTGGATATTCTGTAGCTATATTAATAGTATACCTGATAGATATTAAAGTAAAAATCTTAGTATAAATCACATGATAATGATAAAAGGATAAATTCACCAAGAAGATATAGCAATCCTGAATCTGTAAGTGCCTAATTATGTGGTCTCAAAATATAAAGCAATAACTGACAGACCTACAGAGGAATTGTCAAATTCACGACCACAGTGAGACATAACACACCTCTCTTATTAGTTGATAGCACATACAGACAAAAATAATCAGTGAGGAGATAAAACATTTGAACATCTCTAGTGGAAAATTAAACTCAGAGTTATATATAGAATCCTGCTTTAAATTTCTGTAGAATGCATATTCTTTCTAAGCTTGCACTAACATTTATTTTTAAAAATAAATACAGGACTATTTTCCTATATAGGAAACCATTAAGCAGAAATGCATTATTGTAATGAAGTATTTAGTTCACCAAGGTGTTGAGAGGTGTCTAGAAGCTATGAGATGACAGAAGATGCCTTCATATGTATATTTTTTACAAAGTGTGGTATCAAAAATCACCAGGGGAAAGTGATAGATTTCCAACAATAGCGAATTTTCAATTTGCAGTCACGTATTTAAAACATAACTAGCTGTGTGGTTTTTCTCCTTCAAACTCCAGCTTCTCTCCTGTAGGTTCAGAAAAGACAGATAGTTTGGATAAACTATATTGAGATTTGGCCAAGGAGTAAGACAGAAATATATAATACCAATTGCTTTAAATAATAATGGAATTGAAACTGATGAAGAGGAAAAAAGAGGACTGTAGGGAATGATGCATGTTTAACTGGTGTTTAACGTGTATGTGTGTGTATGTTACACACACACGCAGAGCTAGGCCTTGAACAGGAGAGAAAGAAACAAATATTTTTGCCTAAGGACCCTTTCCATGTTTTATGATTTTCTGATTCATCCCATGTAATCTCTTACTGTATTAGGGCTCTCTAGAGGGACAGAACTAACAGGATATATGTATATATGAAAGGGAGTTTATTAAGGAGGATTGACTCACACGATCACAAAATAAAGTCCCACAATAGGCTGTGTGCAAGCTGAAGAGCAAGGAGGCCAGTGGTAGATCAGTCTGAATCCCAAAACCTCAAAAGTAGGGAAGCCGACAGTGCAGCCTTTAGTCTGTGGCCAAAGGCCCGGGAGTCCCTGGCAAAGCACTGATGTAACTCCAAGAGTCAGGTGAAGAACTTGGAATATGATGTTTGAGGGCAGGAAGTATCCAGCACGAGAGAAAGACAGAGGCCGGAAGTCTCAGTAAGTCTGCTCTTCCATCTTCTCTTTCCTGCTTTATTCTAGCTGCACTGGTAGCTAATTAGATTGAGGGTGGGTCTGCCTCTCCCAGTCCACTGACTCAAATGTTAATTTCCTTTGGCGACACCCTCACAGACACACCAAGGAGTAATATTTTGCATCCTTTAGTCCAATGAAGTTGACACTCAATATTAACCATCACACCTACATTCACCAACACATACTTATTGTTCTCTGGGAAACACAAGGGAGGCTTGAAAAAAATACAAGTGGAACAATCTGGGTCATCTAAAACATGGAAAAAGATTTCATAAAAGAATTAGAGGAAAGGAGAAAAGAAACTTTTTTGTCCTTTTTATTTCAACCACTTAAAGCAGCTTCTGTTTATCCTTCTAGCTTTCACATTATTAAATTTAAATTTGTCAAAATATAATTTCTTTATAGTGTACACATTGAGCATTTGAAATAAAATGATGGAGAGAGGATACATTTTTCATCTTTACATGGTTGCTATAAAGAGTCAATGTAGTCAGAAACAAAGGATTTTGTATAATATTGAACTCAATAGAATATACACTTTAATGTGAAGAAAATAATTATTTTGCATATTGAATGCACATAATTTCCTTTCCACATTCCAAGAGAATCATTGATTCCAATAACCTAGATGGTTTCTACTTGGTACCTGTATCCAGATTTCCTATTTCCTTTATATTTTCTCTCCTTAGAGAATATTCTTTCATGAAGCTATTCCATAGAATCAACTTTAAACCAGATACTTCTAGATTTACTATTTTCCCTCAACTCTCTTCTTTTCTGACTTTCATCACATGGCTTTAATAAACATCAAAGAATAAATGACACATATGTCAACCAAAAGACTTGTGTTCAGAGTCCATAAAGGAACATTACAAATCAATGTTAAGAAAATGAAGAACTCATCAAAAACAAGCAAATGATTTGAGAAGACATTTTATAAAAGTACAAAAATGATCAATAAGCACTTGAGAAGATACTGAACATTAGTAATCATTAGGAAAATGCAAATTAAAACTGCATGATATACACCCATTGGAATGAAAAAGTTGACATAGTGTTGGGAAGGTTGTGGAGTAACTGGAATGCACTTACATTGCTGGTAGAAAGAGAAAATTGTACAGCCACTTTTGCTATGTTGGTTTCATAACAAGCTAAACATGCATATTCTATCCACCAATCCATTACACTTGTAGTTGCTTACTCAAGATAAAAATATATATATATGTTTATAAATAAATACATGTATATATTTCCACAAAAAGATTTGTACAAGAATGGCCATAGCAATTTGGCTACATTTTGGGAAACAACTCAAATGTCTTTCGATGGATGAAAAATTAACAAATTATGGCATATCCATAATGGACTTACTATTTACTTACTACTTAGCTACAAAAAGGAACACACTATTGATACATACAATGGCATATATAAGTCTCAAAATCATGCTGAGCGAAAGAGTGCACACTGTATGATGTCATTTATATAAAATTTTTGAAGAATGCAACTAACCCATGTTGAGAGTGAGCCAATCAGTGATTGTCTAGGAGTGGGGTGAGGAGGAAAAGATGGATTGCCAAGGGGCACAAGGACACTTTGGTGGTAATGGAAATGTTTATTATCTTGAATGTGGTGACATAAATATATCAGAACGTATCAGATTGAAGATCAAAATGTATGCAACTAATTGTTTTTCAATTATATCTCTTTCTGTGGAAAAAAGTCAAAGAATGCTCTTTCTTGCCTTATTTGTATGTGTGAAAACTATTACCTCTATGAAGCCCCAACCCTAAATGTTCCAGATACTTGTTTTTTCACTCTCTTTTCTGCAATTGCATAAGTCTGCATTCACGTCTATCATAGACATCATCACAGAGGAAAAACAGCTTTCTAATAATGTTTAAAGTTCTTGCATGGATATTTAAATTTACTACCTATTTAAATTTACTACTTAATTTATCTACTTAAATTTACTACCTATTCCTGATTCAATATTTGTAATTATATTAACATATCTGTTCCTCATCTCCCACCAGGTTGTGAAGTTCTTGAGAGAAATCATCTTTGACTTGTCAGCTGTTTCAGCACCTAGCACACTGATAGTCACACAGTAGGGTTGTAATCAGCACTTGCAGGCTGAATCGATAATACTTGTAACATTTGTAAGGCATTTTGGTGGTTTTCTGATATGAGTTTAGGCTCTTGACTTTCCTATACCGCTGAGATTGCTTTATAATTGAGGTGTTGGTTTCAACAATTTTCATGACCCATAAACTTTGCAATTCCCTGGAAACATTTGGAAGAAATAATATCAGGGAATTATTTCAATCAGCACCTTCAGTGTTTACATGATAGGTTTTATCCACTGTGATTCCCATCTTCCATAAAAATAATCATTTCTTGTTAAGTTTTCTGTTTGTTTGCAAAATCATCTTACTTCTGTTGTCCCCAATTGCAGTTATTTCTGATTCTGCCATCTGAACTGCAGTATTTGCACACATAATCTCTATTCAAAAGAATATAGCACACTTTTTAAGTCATTATCTTCTGCTGGAGGTGTGTTTATTATTGCTTTCTGTGCCTCTATTGTCTCCTCAACTAGGAATCTATAACACAAAATCCTGCAAAGCTTTTGTCAGAAATGTCATAAAGGAATGTGTTACTATAGAAGATGTGAAAATTCCATTTGGACTTATTTACCAATTGAGAGAGATATTCAAGGTAGGGACAATATTCTCAGCGAAGACTACACTGCAAATAGTAATACGGATTTTTTTTTTAGCTTTTTCTTCAAAAAGACAGAAATCTAACAGAAAACATTTTTGCAAGATAACTGCATAAATCTAGCCAGTTTCGTGCTAGGTTTTCCACTGCTATTACAATGTTGCCCATTAAGTATGTTTATGGAGTACTCAATGACAAGAAAATAGTTTGATGGACATATCCCACATAATGAGATTTTTCTGAAATTGTAGTTTTACTTCAAGTACAAGTCTGGAAATATCTAAAACAATATTTCTAGATGAAAGGAGTGAATCTAAGGGAATTAATGGAGACTCATTTAACCTTTAACGTCCCAAGAAGTAACAGCATTTTGGAGGAAAAAAGAAGAAAAAAATTAATCCCAAAGTAATGGCCATTATTATTTAGAAATATACATATATAGAATTTTGGCAAATAGAGCTTCCCAAAGGTTATTATGCTACCTGGATAAAACATCTAAAATTTCTTCATTTGTGGTAAATTTAAGTGAAGGCCTGAACATTATCTACCATCTATCTATCTATCTATCTATCTATCTATCTATCTATCTATCTCCTAAATCCTAAGTGAAATGACCAAAATATATATAAAAATAGAAGAAATCTGTATCACACATTCAGTCAACTCCAGTCTAAATCTGTTCCTACATCTTAAATGAAATTGAGCCTGTCAATGTCACAAAGCTCTTCCATTATTCTAGACTCAAGGTCTGGAATCTTTCTTTTCTAGTTCATCTATTCTGCAGTTTAAGATACACAGGACTCCTCCTCTTCTTGCTTGCTTACTCGCCATGTTCTTTTCGCTCTTCTTTGCAGCTACTTCTCTTCTTTAAATCTTCAATGTCAAAGTATCACTGGACTTAGTTCCTCCTTATTCACTTCTTCATGGACACACATTTCTGATATGATTTTATCCAATCCCTTGGCTTTACATAAAATCTATTTACTGATGAATTCCAAATCCACAAATCTAAACCTGACACCTTCCTTAAGCCCAAAGCTTGTCTTTTCAACCACCTACATAACATATCCACTTAGACATTGTATTTTTTGACTTAGGCTAAGTTATGATACAGTAACTAACAACTCCCAAATCTTAGCACATTACACCAAAGGTTTATTTATGCCCTCATGAAATATTGGCTGTTTGTGAGCTGAAGATTCCTGAACCATGTGTCTTTTTCACCCTTGAATCCAGATTGAAGGTTTCATGGTAGAGGGAAAAGAAGAATGGGAAGACTACACAATGACTCTTGAAACTTTTACCAGGGGTGGCATGTGTCAATTCTACTCACATTTCATCAGGCCAAGAAAATCATGTGGTCAAGCCTGATATCAGTGTGACAGGAGAACATAATCTTCCACAGAGAGTGCCAGCAAATAATTGAGAATAATAATATAATTTGGCACAAATGTTTGCTAACAATCTCAAAGTTAACATGTCCAAATTTTAAATATTTCTTTTTCTTCAGAAGTTATCCTCGTTTCTAATCCTTCTTATTGCTCCAAATTATATCTCCATCCATTGACTTGGCACAGCAAGAGATCTTATAGGAAAGAGTAATTTTTTTTCTCAGCCCATTATCCAATCCATTGTTAAATCTTAGTACTTCAACAGATGTGTCAAAAATCCAATTCTTTCCCACACCAGTACTATCATATCAGTCTAAATCACCATCTCTTCTCTCCCAGGACTACAACTGTAGATACCTAAACATGTCGTACTATAACCTATTTACCATAAGTCGTCCAGTGTTATCTCTTTGAAATATAAATTGAATGACATCACATCAATATTTTAAATCCTGCAGTGACTTCTCATCACACTGATAATAGCATCTAACTTCTTAAAGTTGACTACAGGGCCCTATGGACTTGATTCATCCATCCCCTTACCTCAGGTGGATCCATTTTCTGTTTGTTCACTGGACTGAATTTATACCAGCCTTGGATTCTACAGCATGCCCAGCTGTTTCTCACCTCTGACAATCTACAAGTGTTGATAATCTACTTTTGCAATCTGGACTACTCTTCTGACATACAGTTCTCAAATGAAAACTTACCTCTTTAAGAGGCTTTCTCTGACCACATTATCTCAATTAAAAAACCCAATCCTTTACCCTAGTAGCAATCTATCCTGTATCATAGCAATATTACTCATACAATTAGTAAATCTTGTTTGTATACTTGTTAACCAGTTTATTGTTTGCTTCTAATACTCTAGCATAAGTCCCATGAGGACAAAACCATATTTTGTCATTGCGGCTGTCGTTGTTCTCTCATACTAGCTATATAGTAGATACACTAAATATTTGTTAAATAAATGACATGATTTTTCAAAAATCTTTTCAGGATTTCTGCAAATAAAACCAAGGTGAAGGAAGAAACCAAAGACCAAGGAAGGTGAAGGAAGAAACCAAAAAATATCTTTGTGGTGAAAAAAAGTGTTTTCTTAGGAAGTGGAGAATTCCAGCAGAAACCCAATAATACCATTAAGAGATGCTGGTTGAAGATAAGAGATAGACATAGAAGGAAACGGGAAAACTATACATAAATTACCTCTTTTACCTCTACATTATGATCATTCAGAAATAAATATATCCAGGAATTGGGAGGGTAAGTAAAGCCATGGAGAGTACTCTGTGTATTATAATGTTAATAACAAAAATATGATAAGGTATTAGTTAACATTTTAGGAGAACTTCCTATTCTAAGCACTTAAATATATTAACTCAGTTCTAAAAACAACACTGTGTTTTTCCTATTTTAGATTAAAAATCAAAAGTAGAAGTGAATGCCAATATTTAATTTAGAATGGGAGAGAAATAGCTCAGTTGGTTAGAGCATGGTGCTAATAAAATGAAATAAACACAGTGTTTTTAAGATCATATACATCTAGTAAGTAGCAGCACCAGAATTTGAAATGACATTTTCTGAAGCAGCATCTTAAATACTATTCTTTTCTCTACCATGTGTGTCCTTCAACATTGTCCTGTCTTGGGTGTGATCTCAAGCTGGATCTGTTTAGTAACCTGGAAGAACACATGTGGAGTAGGGGTGGAAACAGCTTTTCTTTCTGCACCACCAGTGTATCCAATCATCTCCTACTGGGTTCCTCCCTCAACATGGGGGGATTACAATTCAAGATGAAATTTGGGTAAGAACACAGAGCCAAACCATATCATTCTGCCCCTGGCCCCTCCCATGTCTCATGCCCTTTTCACATTTTAAAACCAATCATGCCTTCCCAATAGTCCCCCAAAGTCTTATCATTCCCGCATTAACTCAAAAGTCCAAGTCTAATGTCTCATCTGAGACAAGGCAAGTCCCTTCAGCCTATGAGCCTGTAAAATTAAAAACAAGTTAGTTACCTCTAAAATTCAATGGAGGTACAGCATTTGGTAAATGTTACCATACCAAATGGGAGAAACTGCCCAAAACCAAGGGGCCACAGACCTCATGCAAGTCAGAAAACTTATTGTGAGGGAACTTCTTAAATCTTAAAGCTCCAAAATAATCTCCTTTGACTCCATGTCTCACTTCCAGGACACGCCGATGCAAAGAGTGAGCTCCCAAGGCATTGGGCATCTCTGCTGCTATCCATGGTATGGCCCATGTGGCTGCTTTCATGGGTTGGCATTGAGTGCCTGTGGCCTTTCCAGGCACACCGTGCAAGCTGTCGGTGGATCTACCATTCTGAGGTCTGGAGAAGGATGGCCCTCTACTCACAGCTCCACTAGGTGGTGCCCCAGTGGAGACTCTGTGTGGGGACTTCAACCTTACATTTCTCCTTTGCACTGCCCTAGGAGAGGTTCTCCATGAGGGCTCTGTCCCTGCAGCAGACTTCTGCCTGGACATCCATGTGTTTCTATACATCCTCTGAAATCTAGGTGGAGGTTCCCAAACCTCAACTGTTGTCTTCTGCACACCCACAGGCCCAACACCATGTGGAAACCACCAAGGCTTGGGGCTTACACCCTCTGAAGCAATGGCCTGAGGTGTACCTTGGCCCTTTTTAGCCACAACTGGAGCTGGAGCAGCTGGGATGCAGGGTGCCATGTCCCAGGGCTGCACAGAGCAGCAGGGCCCTGGGCCTGGCCCATTTTTCCCCCTAGGCCTCCAGGCCTGTGATGGGAGGGGTTGCCAGGAAGGTCTCTGACAGGACCTGGAGATGTTTTCCCTATTGTCTTGGCTATTAACATTCTTCTTGTTGTTACTTATGCAAATTTCTGCAGCCAGCTTGAATTCCTCAAACAGAAAATGGTTTTTTCTTTTCTACCACATGGTTAGGTTGCAAATTTTCCACACTTTTATGTTCTGCTTCCCTTTTAAACATAGGTTCCAATTTCAAACCATCTCTTTTGTGAATGCATATGACTGAACACTCTCAGAATCATCCAGTTTATCTCTTGAATGCTTTGCTGCTTAAAGTTTCTTCTGCCAGATACCCTAAATCATCTTTCTCAAGTTCAAAGTTCCACAGATCTCTAGGGCAGGGGCAAAATGCTGTCAGTCTCTTTGCTAAAGCATAGCATGAGTGACCTTTACTCCCGTTCCCAATAAGTTCCTCATCTCCATCTGAAACCACCTCAGCCTGGACTTCATTATCAATAACAGTATCAGCATTTTGGTCAAAACCATTCAAAAAGTCTCTGGGAATTCCACACTTTCTCTCATCTTCCCGTGTTCTGAGTTCTCCAACTTGTTCCAACCCCTGCTGGTTACCCAGTTCCAAAGTCATATCCACGTTTTCAGGTTATCTTTATAGCAGTACACCACTCCTGGAACCAATTTCCTGCATTAGTCCATTTTCATACTGCTATAAAGATACTACATGAGACTAGGTAATTTATAAACAAAAGAGGTTTAATTGACTCACAGTTCCACATGGCTGGGGAGGCCTCGGGAAACTTACAATCATGATGGAAGGGGAAGCAAGTCACATCTTACATGGCGGCAGGAGAGAGACAGAGAGAGAGAGAAAGGGAGAGAGAGAGCGCGCACACACAGGGAAAACTGCCACTTTTAAACCATCAGATCTTGTGAGAACTCTCTCACTATCGTAAGAACAGCACAGGGAAAACTGCCCATGATCCAATCACCTCCCACCAGGTCTCTCTCTCAACAAGTGGGGATTACAATTTGAGATGAGATTTGGGTGAGGACAGAGCAAAACCATATCAACCATCAACCCTCTAAGTTGGCTTAGGAGGCTCTTTAAGATCTAAGGCAGTGAGATATTGCTTGTCCACAAGACTCCAGCAATATGTCAATGCTGCGGACAGTCAGTAGGTAATATGGTGGCTGTTGTTGATGGGACGTCTTTATTCAATGTCAATGAGCAGAGGACTAACAAGGCTTCATATCCTTCGTTATATAGGCTGCTCTTTCAAATAGAGACTAAAAGAAACACAGATGCAGGCTTAAGTCCTTGGTGCAGACTACCACCACTTATCTCACACAAACAGACACACACAGAAAGAGAGGCAGACAGAGATGAGAAAGGAGAGACAGACACAAAAAGGCAGAAAGACACAATGGCTACCTTTCCTTTACTTGCCAATCAATTTTACATAAAAGATTATAATAGCTTTAAGATGTTCAACACATTTTCTCAAGAGAGGTATTAAGGAGTTGTCCATTTTTCAAGTATTGTTTTTATTTCAATTCCTCTTTTACAAATAAAAACCTAGGATTAATTTGGAAGAACTGCATTTATTTACAACATTAAGACTGATATCTACTCTCACAGGTTTATGCATTATTTTTCAGAGTTTGGTATCAAGATTATGTTACTTTTGCAACATAACTTGGAAATCCTTCCATTGTTTTCAAAACTCTGTAGCCATATATAAAGGAAGGAAAGTTTGTGTTTCCTGAAAGTTTATGAAAAAAGAGACCCTAAAAGCTTCTCAGTCCAATTCTTTTTATTGAGTCAATGATTTTAAAATAATTTTCCCTTTATAGTTTTTTATGCTTTTATATCCTTTGAGAACTTATATATCCCTAATATGTTACACTTTACCTCTAGATTTTTTTTAGTAAATAATTGATATTAGTTTTCTGTCATATTTAAAAATCTAATCTACAATAATCCAACAAAGATATATTGAGGCCTATTATCTCCCAAGACTGATCTGAGGTCTGGATATATAATAGCAAGTGAAATAAAAATTCTCACAGTCATGGAGCACACATTTCAATATAATTTAAGTCTATTTCTGATATTCATGATTTAGGTATTTTATTTTTAATTAACTTCAGTCAAGATGTATCAATTTTTATTAACATACTGACATGCTGAAACTTGTAATGTATATAACTTATAGAGCCTGTCTATCTATGTTTCTAATTCATCAAGGTGTAATTGTTATTGATAATTGAGAGACAGGACTAGCTGGATTTCCTAGGGTGACTAAGAATTACTAAGCCTAGCTGGGAAAGATAATAACACATTTGTCTTTATACCTGAGCTTGTTTCATTGTTTCTTGTTTTCTGAGCTGAGACAAAAGGCCAGTGTTTCCTTACACCTTTCTCTTTTTCTATTTTTCCTCTCTCTCTGGCTGCATTCCTTGCTTTCTTCTTGCTATATTTGTAGGTAAAAGCATACTAATGGCCTTCTTATTATCATTTCAAATAAAAAAATTCTTAAAGATTTAAATAGGAAAAATTTGAAAGATTCTTTTTAAATAAGAAAAATCTAAAAAGAAAATAAGAAGGCCATTAGAATGCTTTTACATGCAAATATAGCTCTATTACAAATATTTTAACCTGGAGTTGTACCCATTAAGTTGATATTTTAGACAGTTTATAATTCACAATTTGTTTTCCCCCTTCCCTCAAAATTTTGTTATGTTTCACCTTGTTTTTATGGGGGAAATATTTATAATTCTCTGAATGATTAGATTTTTAAATTGCTGTTTCTAGCAGGGTCGTTCTTTTTACATTTTATTGGCATTTTTCCAAGAAGAAGTAATCTGTACTATTTTGACTCTTAGAACGTACTAAAGGTTTTTATTATGAAGAAACCATAAATATATGAAAAGACTTTTATAAATTAAGAGTTTTCTATTATTTTTAAAAACTAAATCCGTATTTTTTTCCTTGCATATTTTTAACATTGAGGATTCAGTGTAAAATTTGGGGATTTTCTTGTATCTCCATTAACTTTTCTTTCCATTTATATGCGTTTGGTTTTGAAAAAAATAGCAAATATGTATTATAGATTATATCTCAATACTTCAATCTCTGCCATCATTATTAATTAATAGATGTTCATCTTTGTCACTTTTGCTGCAAGCCTTTTATAAAGAAACAAAACATTTCAGTTAAATGGTTATTTTTTTACATGAGGTAAATCCCCTTAGGCACCTACCTGCATCTTCACCTTCTCTCCACCTGCAAGGTCTCTTCTGCTGCTCTCTAAGTCAGTCAATCACTACTAACATTTTGGTTGGTATTCTTGTGGTCCATCTTTTTGTGTGTGCCTTGCAGACGTATTTATATAAACTTGGATTAATATTTTAAATTTACATAAGTGCTGTGATACTCTGCAATCATTCTGCACCTTACTTTATTCACTTAATTTTATAATGTTTGAGTTTTATTTTTCTTTATACACACACACACGTCTCATTATTTTAACTTTCTCTAATATTTTCCACCTTTTTTCACTTTCCCACTGTCATACTCAATTACCTCATACCACGTTTTTTTAAACACCCAATGCTTTTTCTCTTTTTATTTACCGAAAATTGAAATGAGAAAAGACTCCCTATAAGTTCTCACCACAATTACCACTCTATTGGTCCCTGAAACCTGTTAAAAGAAAAACCTTAACCAAATTAAATTTAACACAGTCTAATTCAGCAAAGGATTTGTAAATCAGGCAGCCTCCCAAGACAGACTAGGCTCAGAGAGACCAGCACAGCCATGTGGTAGAAAAAGATTTATGGACAGAAAAAGGAAAATGACTTACACAAAATGGAAGTGAGGTACAGAAGAAACAGCCGGATTTGTTACAGCTTTGGCACTTGCCTTAAGGGAACATGGTTTGAACAGTTGACTCCCTTTGATCGGCCAAAACTTGGTGATTGGCACAAGAGTAGATTACAGTTGGTATACATTACCACTTAGATTATAGTTCACTCTGTGCAGAGAAACCCTTAGGCCCAACTTAAAATACATAAGGAGGGAGCTTTAGGCTAAAGTTGATTTTTAGCAAGCCCTATGCTCAGATTTCCCCCATGTACAATGAATGAACTTCCCACAAGCCTATCAAAGTCCAGATTCTCCACATATACAGTAGATTATATCCTTTTTTCCCTTCGTCAAAAACATTTTTTTCCCACTATTTCCCTTTCTCTCTTGCATCACATTTTATCCTTTACCAGTGGGTCATCGTTAGCATGAGCCTTCTCTCTTTTTTTTTTTTTTAGTCTTGCTGCGTCGCCCAGCTTGCAGTGCAGTGGTGCCATCTCGGCTCACTGCAAGCCCTGCTTCCTGGGTTCAAGCCATTCTCCTGCCTCAGCTTCCCGAACAGCTGGGACTACAGGTGCCCGCCACCACGCCCGGCTAATTTTTTGTATTTTTAGTAGAGACGGGGTTTCACCGTGTTAGCCAGGATGGTCTCGATCTCCTGACCTCCTGCTTTGCCCGCCTCGGCCTCCCAAGGTGCTGGAATTACAAGCGTGAGCCACCGCGCCCGGCCGCATGAGTCTTCTCTTGATCCCATTTTACCTCCTGCTACCGCTCCATTTGTCTAATCCCCTTTCTGGTAGAATTCTTAAAAATTGTTATGGACATTTTTGTATCCATTCACTAGTGAGGAGCCCTTTAGTTTATTCTTGCCTCTCTTGCAATATATCTTGCATATATCTTCCTTTCCTACAATTCTGGCACACCAGTGATATACTTCTATAGTTGCTTTCCAGGAAGAAAGTTTCCTGCTATTTCTAGATTTATTTGGGTCATTTTTCAACACTTAATTTATCATTAACAAGAAGTCAAATGTTATTTTGAAGAATGCAAGGTGTATAAATGAAAAAAGGAAGCTAATAACCTTGAAAAATTGAAATGGAAATGTTTTCTACTGTGTGATGTTAATGCTTAGAATTTAGTGGCAAAGTCAAAATATCAGTAGCAATTAATGTGTGCGATGAAAGAGATATTTGGTTAAAGGAAATGAATATTATTTATGATGACTACCCACTCATTATAAGCCAGAGGGAAACAAATGTTCTATTCAGTTTTCTTTCATCTCAGCTATTTGCTAGTGTTCAAATCTCTAGAATAATTTGCCCAAGGCATAGTTTTCATGAAGCACTGCTCTAACTAGGAAGGCTATAGGTAGTATAGAAAAATTACTTATGAAGTTAAATTAGATTTGCAGACTTTAAATACTACAAATTCTCTTTCTTTTCTCTCTTTTCTGTCTGACCACCTAGGAAACCTCTATCACAAGGGTCTTATAACTTGGAATGATAGTTTCTGAGGCCCCATAGTGTCCAAATTATAAGAAACTGTTGGTCAAAAAGAGAGATGAGAAAAGGCTACTAACTGAAAGAGAAACAGGCTTTTGTGCATTCAAAAATAAGACCTTCACTTGGAGGAGAGAATTGTTGATATTTGGCAATCTACTAACAAAATCCTTTACCCTACTTCTGCTAACAGTATTCAGTTTACTTTCTCTCTTTGACAAACATCACCATTTCTCCATTCATTTTTGTTTTACAATTTTCTTTGGAATATAATCTTTAAAAAATATTTCACCAGAAGAAGGGGGAGGAGCCAACATGGCCAAATACAAACAGCTCCAGTCTACAGCTCCCAGCGTGAGTGACGCAGAAGTCGGGTGATTTCTGCATTTCCATCTGAGGTACCGGGTTCATCTCACTAGGGAGTGCCAGACAGTGGGCGCAGGACAGTGGTGCAGCGCACCATGCACGAGCCGAAGCAGGGAGAGGCATTGCCTCACTCGGGAAGTGCAAGGGGTCAGGGAGTTCGCTTTCCTGATCAAGGAAAGGGGTGACAGACAGCACCTGGAAAATTGAGTCACTCCCACCTGAATACTGCGCTTTTCCGACAGGCTTAGGAAACGGCACACCAGGAGATTATATCCCGCACGTGGCTCAGAGGGTCCTACGCCCACGGAGTCCCACTGATTGCAAGCACAGCAGTCTGAGATCAAACTGCAAGGCGGCAGCGAGGCTGGGGGAGGGGCGCCCACCATTGCCCAGGCTTGCTTAGGTAAACAATGCAGCCAGGAAGCTCGAACTGGGTGGAGCCCACCACAGCTCAAGGAGGCCTGCCTGCCTCTGTAGGCTCCACCTCTGGGGGCAGGGCACAGACAAACAAAAAGACAGCAGTAACCTCTGCAGACTTAAATGTCCCTGTCTGACAGCTTTGAAGAGAGCAGTGGTTCTCCCAGCACGCAGCTGGAGATCTGAGAATGGGCAGACTGCCTCCTCAAGTGGGTCCCTGACCCCTGACCCCTGAGCAGCCTAACTGGGAGGCACCCCCCAGTAGGGGCAGACTGACACCTCACACGGCCGGGTACTCCTCTGAGACAAAACTTCCAGAGGAACGATCAGACAGCAGCATTCGCGGTTCATGAAAATCCACTGTTCTGCAGACACTGCTGCTGATAGCCAGGCAAACAGGGTCTGGAGTGGACCTCTAGCAAACTCCAACAGACCTGCGGCTGAGGGTCCTGTCTGTTAGAAGGAAAACTAACAAACAGAAAGGACATCCACACCAAAAACCCATCTGTACATCACCATCATCAAAGACCAAAAGTAGATAAAACCACAAAGATGGGGAAAAAAACAGAGCAGAAAAACTGGAAACTCTAAAAAGCAGAGCGCCTCTCCTCCTACAAAGGAATGCAGTTCCTCACCAGCAATGGAACAAAGCTGGACGGAGAATGACTTTGACGAGTTGAGAGAAGAAGGCTTCAGATGATCAAACTACTCCAAGCTACAGGAGGAAATTCAAACCAAAGGCAAAGAAGTTAAAAACTTTGAAAAAAATTTAGAAGAATGTATAACTAGCATAACCAATACAGAGAAGTGCTTAAAGGAGCTAGTGGAGCTGAAAGCCAAGGCTCGAGAACTACATGAAGAATGCAGAAGCCTCAGGAGCCGATGCAATCAACTGGAAGAAAGGTTTTCAGTGATGGAAGATGAAATGAATGAAATGAAGTGAGAAGGGAAGTTTAGAGAAAAAAGAATAAAAAGAAACGAACAAAGCCGCCAAGAAATATGAGACTATGTGAAAAGACCAAATCTACGTCTGATTGGTGTACCTGAAAGTGACAGGGAGAATGGAACCAAGTTGGAAAATACTCTGCAGGATATTATCCAGGAGACCTTCCCCAATCTAGCAAGGCAGGCCAACGTTCAGATTCAGGAAATACAGAGAATGCCACAAAGATACTCCTCGAGAAGAGCAACTCCAAGACACATAATTGTCAGATTCACCAAAGTTGAAATGAAGGAAAAAATGTTTAGGGCAGTCAGAGAGAAAGGTCGGGTTACCCACAAAGGGAAGCCCATCAGACAAACAGTGGATCTCTTGGCAGAAACTCTACAAGCCAGAGGAGAGTGGGGGCCAATATTCAACATTCTTAAAGAAAAGAATTTTCAACCCAGAATTTCATATCCAGCTAAACTAAGCTTCATAAGTGAAGGAGAAATAAAATACTTTATGGACAAGCAAATGCTCAGAGATTTTGTCACCACCAGGCCTTCCCTAAAAGAGCTCCTGAAGGAAGCACTAAACATGGAAAGGAACAACCGGTACCAGCCGCTGCAAAATCATGCCAAAATGTAAAGACCATCGAGACTAGGAAGAAACTGCATCAACTAACGAGCAAAATAACCAGCTAACATCATAATGACAGGATCAAATTCACACATAACAATATTAACTTTAAATGTAAATGGACTAAATGCTCCAATTAAAAGACACAGACTGGCAAATTGGATAAAGAGTCAAGACCCATCAGTGTGCTGTATTCAGGAAATCCATCTCATGTGCAGAGACACACATAGGCTCAAAATAAAAGGATGGAGGAAGATCTACCAAGCAAATGGAAAGCAAAAAAAAAGGCAGGGTTTGCAGTCCTAGTCTCTGATAAAACAGACTTTAAACCAACAAAGATCAAAAGAGACAAAGAAGGCCATTACATAATGGTAAAGGGATCAATTCAACAAGAAGAGCTAACTATCCTAAATATATATGCACCCAATACAGGAGCACCCAGATTCATAAAGCAAGTCCTGAGTGACCTACAAAGAGACTTAGACTCCCACACAATAATAATGGGAGACTTTAACACCCCATTGTCAACATTAGACAGATCAATGAGACAGAAAGTTAACAAGGATACCCAAGAATTGAACTCAGCTCTGCACCAAGCGGACCTAATAGACATCTACAGAACTCTCCACCCCAAATCAACAGAATATACATTTTTTTAGCACCACACCACACCTATTCCAAAATTGAGCACATACTTGGAAGTAAAGCTCTCCTCAGCAAATGTAAAATATCAGAAATTATAACAAACTGTCTCTCAGACCACAGGGCAATCAAACTAGAACTCAGGATTAAGAAACTCACTCAAAACCACTCAACTACATGGAAACTGAACAACCTGCTCCTGAATGACTACTGGGTACATAACGAAAAGAAGGCAGAAATAAAGATGTTCTTTGAAACCAACTAGAACAAAGGCACAACATACCAGAATCTCTGGGACACATTCAAAGCAGTGTGTAGAGGGAAATTTATAGCACTAAATGCCCATAAGAGAAAGCAGGAAAGATCCAAAATTGGCACCCTAACATCACAATTAAAACAACTAGAAAAGCAAGAGCAAACACATTCAAAAGCTAGCAGAAGGCAAGAAATAACTAAGATTAGAGCAGAACTGAAGGAAATAGAGACACAAAAAACCCTTCAAAAAATTAATGAATCCAGGAGCTGGTTTTTTGAAAGGATCAACAAAATTGATAGACCGCTAGCAAGACTAATGAAGAAGAAAAGAGAGAAGAATCAAATAGCGGCAATAAAAAATGATAAAGGGGAAATCACCACCGATCCCACAGAAATACAAACTACCATCAGAGAATACTGCAAACACCTCTACACAAATAAACTAGAAAATCTAGAAGAAATGGATAAATTCCTGGACACATACACCCTCCCAAGACTAACCCAGGAAGAAGTTGAATCTCTGAATAGACCAATAACAGGATCTGAAATTGTGGCAATAACCAATAGCTTACCAACCAAAAAGAGTCCAGGACAAGATGGATTCACAGCCGAATTCTACCAGAGGTACAAGGAGGAACTGGTACCATTCCTTCTGAAACTATTCCAATCAATAGAAAAAGAAGGAATCCTCCCTAACTCATTTTATGAGGCCAACATCATCCTGATAGCAAAGCCAGGCACAGCCACAACCAAAAAAGAGAATTTTAGACCAATATTCTTGATGAACATTGATGCAAAAATCCTCAATAAAATACTGGCAAAACGAATCCAGCAGCACATCAAAAAGCTTATCCACCATGATCAAGTGGGCTTTATCCCTGGGATGCAAGGCTGGTTCAATATATGCAAATCAATAAATGTAATCCAGCATGTAAACAGAACCAAAGACAAAAAACACATGATTATCTCAACAGATGCAGAAAAGGCCTTTGACAAAATTCAACAACCCTTCATGCTAAAAACACTCAATAAATTAGGTATTGATGGGACATATCCTAAAATAATAAGAGCTATCTATGATGAACCCACAGCCAATATCATACTGAATGGGCAAAAACTGGAAGCATTCCCTTTGAAAACTGGCACAAGACAGGGATGCCCTCTCTCACCACTCCTATTCAACATAGTGTTGGAAGTTCTGGCCAGGGCAATTAGGCAGGAGAAGGAAATAAAGGGTATTCAATTAGGAAAAGAGGAAGTCAAATTGTCCCTGTTTGCAGAAGACATGATTGTATATCTAGAAAATGCCATTGTCTCAGCCCAAAATCTCCTTAAGCTGATAAGCAACTTCAGCAAAGTCTCAGGATACAAAATCAATGTACAAAAATGACAAGCATTCTTATACACCAATAACAGACAAACAGAGAGCCAAATCATGAGTGAACTCCCATTCACAATTGCTTCAAAGAGAATAAAATACCTAGGAATCCAACTTACAAGGGATGTGAAGGACCTCTTCAAGGAGAACTACAAACCACTGCTCTAATGAAATAAAAGAGGATACAAACAAATGGAAGAACATTCCATGCTCATGGGTAGGAAGAATCAATATTGTCAAAATGGCCATACTGCCCAAGGTAATTTATAGATTCAATGCCATCCCCATCAAGCTACCAATGCCTTTCTGCACAGAATTGGAAAAAACTACTTTAAAGTTCATACGGAACCAAAAAAGAGCCCGCATCACCAAGTCAATCCTAAGCCAAATGAACAAGGCTGGAGGCATCACACTACCTGACTTCAAATTACACTACAAGGCTACAGTAACCAAAACAGCATGGTACTGGTACCAAAACAGAGATATAGATCAATGGAACAGAACAGAGCCCTCAGAAATAATGCTGCATATCTACAACTATCTGATCTTTGACAAACCTGAGAAAAACAAGCAATGGGGAAGGGATTCCCTATTTAACAAATGGTGCTGGGAAAACTGGCTAGCCATATGTAGAAAGCTGAAATTGGATCCCTTCCTTACACCTTATACAAAAATCAATTCAAGATGGATTAAAGACTTAAACGTTAGACCTAAAACCATAAAAATCCTAGAAGAAAACCTAGGCAATACCATTCAGGACATAGGCATGGTCAAGGACTTCATGTCTAAAACACCAAAAGCAATGGCAACAAAAGACAAAATTGACAAATGGGATCTAATTAAACTAAAGAGCTTCTGCACAGCAAAAGAAACTACCATCAGAGTGAACAGGCAACCTACAAAATGGGAGAAAACTTTCGCAACCTACTCATCTGACAAAGGGCTAATATCCAGAATCTACAATGAACTCAAACAAATTTACAAGAAAAAAACAAACAACCCCATCAAAAAGTGGGCAAAGGATATGAACAGACACTTCTCAAAAGAAGACATTTATGCAGCTGAAAGACACATGAAAAAATGGTCACCGTCACTGGCCATCAGAGAAATGCAAATCAAAACCACAATCAAAACCACAATGAGATACCATCTCACACCATTTAGAATGGCAATCATTAAAAAGTCAGGAAAAAACAGGTGCTGGAGAGGATGTGGAGAAATAGGAACACTTTTACACTGTTGGGGGGACTGTAAACTACTTCAACCATTGTGGAAGTCAGTGTGGCGATTCCTCAGGAATCTAGAACTACAAATACCATTTGACCCAGCCATCCCATTACTGGGTATATACCCAAAGGACTATAAATCATGCTGCTATAAAGACACATGCACACGTATGTTTATTTTGGCACTATTCACAATAGCAAAGACTTGGAATCAACCCAAATGTCCAACCATGTTAGACTGGATTAAGAAAATGTGGCACATATACACCATGGAATACTATGCAGCCATAAAAAATGATGAGTTCATGTCCTTTGTAGGGACATGGATGAAATTGGAAGTCATCATTCTCAGTAAACTATCGCAAGGACAAAAATCCAAACACTGCATGTTCTCACTCATAGATGGGAATTGAAGAATGAGAACACATGGACACAGGAAGGGGAACACCACACTCTGGGGACTGTCCTGGGGTGGGGGGGAGGGAGGAGGGATAGCATTAGGAGATATACCTAATGCTAAATGATGAGTTAATTGGTGTAGCACACCAGCATGGCACATGTATACATATGTAACTAACCTGCACATTGTGCACATGTATCCTAAAACTTAAAGTATAATAAAAGAAAAAAACCATTTCACCAGAAACTATGAAGTAAAGATGACTTTTCTAACTATCCAACATGTTCTTAATTCTATTAATAGCCGTCTCTCTTTCAATTCAATTCAAACTGATTAATCTATTACCATTGAACTGGATGGCTGCTGAGTAACAGGCACTGGGATCTGGAATACACATGAGCTTTTCCTCATGGAGTTTATGTTCCAGCATGAAAGAAATAATTAAAAAATATGGAGAGGGTAATGAAAGGTCATATAATATGAATGTGTACAGTAAGGAGATCAAGGAATAATCTTCTTGGGAAGTAAAATTTAAGCTGAGATTTGAAGAATATGTAAGAATTAGCCAAGCCAGGAGACTCAGGCATATCTGCCACATAATCTGAAATGGAACTGAACTAAAGCAGCACATCTGGCTAGAGTATAAAAATACAAGAAGGAGGCATTTTTTACAAATCTAAAAAGGGAGGCAAGGGAATATTATTCTCTTTTCAACAACGTGTAAAGAGGTGAATAATATACTACCTGATATGGTTTGGCTCTGTTTCCCCACCCAAATTTCACGTTGAATTGTGATCCCAAGTGTTGGGTTGGATGCGGTGGGCTGGTGGGAGGTGACGGGATCTTGGGGGTGGTTTCTAATGATGTAGCACCATCTCCCTAATACTGTCTTTTGAGTGAGTTCTCACGAGATCTGATTGTTTAAAAGTATGTAGCACTTCCCCCTTAGCTCCTTCTCTCCTACTGCCATGGGAAGACATGTTTGCTTCCCCTTTGCCTTCCACCATGATTTTAAGTATACTGAGCCTCACAGCCATGCCTCCTGTAAAACCTGCAGAAATGTGAGTCAACTAAACCCCCTTTCTTCATAAAAGGTGTTATTTAGAGCAGAGTCAGAATGGACTGATACACTACCTCACCAGTACCAAAGTGTCTTCTGGAGAAAAAGGAAACACTATATTTGTTCAGAGAAGACCCTTGATTAACCACTTAGTATGAAAATAGAGTCACTGAAGGCCGAGGTGTTTGCAGTTCTGTTCTGCCTGAGACAGGGAGAAAGTTGGGTAATTTTTCTTCTTTCTCTTTCCTGTCTGGCCTCAAGGGTAAGAGATGAGAAGGAAAGGTGTGGAGAAGTAGTAAGGGACAAAGAGTGTCTTAATTTGCATTTCCCAAAAGCATAGGTCTCTTTTTTTTTTTCTCTCAGAGGTTTTGACATACTCTTAGACACAGGAGTTTTTCTGGGAGATGATCTCAGGAAGCAGAGTGGGGGACTCAGGAGGGACGAACAGAAAAGGAAGAAAAGCCAATAAAGGGAGTGTTGTTGACCTAGTAGCTGTGATGGGTAATTATGTTCCATCCTGCTGGGGACCTCTGAGAAACCTGGAAGACTCTGCCTCAGACTGTCACTTTTACAGCTTCCCTCAGCCAAGCTTTTGCCTGCTTCTGCACACAGGCTTGGCAGTCTCCTAAGGTGCTGGAGACAGTCCTAAGGCAGAAAAGGTAACCACATGAAATCAAGTGCCATGATAAAATGTGGCATCGGATACAAAGAATCAACCAAATGATAAAATGCTGGGTACTATAGGGGAGCAAGGTCATGAGAACCCTCAAGTGTAAAGTCGAGAGACAACTTTTGGTAATTCAGAAGCCTAATATACAATTTTCATCAGTTTGATTGCTGCAATATAAACCTTGATCCACATCACACATCTCAGATTTATTCATGAAAATCTTCATCTCGCTCTTGCTCCCTCTCTTTCAAACACACATGCATGTGTACATACATCTTACACTCAATCTCATGTCCTATAATGGGGAAATAGGATGCTTGGTGGAAATTAATTAAAGGCTTAAACTTTACATGTTGGCAACCTGAAGTAAATAAGATGACAGTCCCTGCCAGAGCTAGAACCTAGAGCTCACTTGACTCTGACAGCATACACACATCCTCCAAATTGGGACTTTTCAATAATCATAAAATTTTTGGATTCTCAGGGGGTATAGAATTGTGATATGATCTCCAGATTCATTGGGGCAGGAGACTTCAAGTGTTGTCTAGTTTTTATATGTTAAAAATTTGAACTCACACGTTCTTAATGAATTTTGAGGACAAATTCATAGGATCCAATCTGAATTTCTGGTTACAGGGCAGAGATTGAATTAGAATGGGGGTAAGAGTAGATATAGGGAGAAAAATTAGCAACTATGTTGCCATTGTCCCACCAAGAGGCAAAATCATTAAGGCCTGGCTATTGAAAGATAAGGGGACGAATGAGTGAAAATGGTAAGTATTTGAAGAAATAGAAAATTAAGGTGCAATTTCTTAAAATTGGAAATACTGATGAACGAAAAGGTTTTAGGGAGAAGATATATTTAATTTGGAGCATGTTTGAATATTTTGTGAGGGGAAATAAATGAATCTATACATACTGAGTGAGATTTACATGTTTGAAATTCAAAAAAGACATTGGGTTAGAGATAATAATGTGGAATAAGAATCACCTTCATAAACTTATCTAAAACTATGGGACTGGGTAACATCTTCTAGGATTAGACTGAGCTATGGAGAGAGAGAGAGAAATAGAGACAGAAAGTAAGGGGAAAAAACCCTAAAATCATAAATATATAAGGGCAGGGAGAGGAGACATTAAAGAAGACTAAGAAGGCATATCCAGATATGTATAAAAAAAGCAAGATAATAAGCTCACAAAATTCAAGAGGAGAGAGTCTTTAGAAGGAGATTCTGAATGCTGTAGAGTGTTCAAATACAGTAAAGATGGAAATATGTCCATTTATTCTAACAATCTGGAGGGCAGGGTGACTCTGGTGAAGAGTGTTTTAGAAAGTTTAAATATAATAAAGACTGAAATATATCCATTGACTTTCAACCTGGAGAGCTGGATGACCTTGGTGGGGAGAATTTCAGCGTAGTGATCGAGTGAGACATATTGGAGTGAGTGAGAAATGAAGAAATGTAGACATCAAGGGGCAGAAACTGGTTAAAGAAATTTGGCTGAAGGGCTTTAGTTTGCACAAAAATCAAAGGAAGTAGGTATTATTCCTACCATCTTAGGGTTGGGCAAACTGAGTTTTATAGAGGTTTTATTGTCAAAAGCCACATAGTAAATACCAGAGCAAGAATTCAAAGATCTGCTGCCTTCAAAGATCCAAAATCTACGCTAGATTTACTTAAATTCAATTATACCACATCATCACATATCACATCAGATTAAAAATGTATATTGAAAAAAACATATACTGAAGATGAAGCCATTTTATCATATGTAAATGATCTCTCAATGAAAATTAAACATTAATAATATATAGAAATAAACATGCAAAAAAATTAGCCTCACTAGTATCAAAGAAAAGCTAACCAAAAACATTAAGAAGAATGTATTTTTTTTTACATATTACTTTGACATAGATGTAAAAAGATGTAAATTGGTTTAGACATTATGAAGAACAGTATGGAGGTTTCCAAAGAAATTAAAAATAGTACTACCTTATGACTCAGCAATTCCTCTTCTGGTCAATCCCAAAGGAAATGAAATTACCATTTTAGAAAAATATCTGCCTTCTCGTGTTCTGATGTAGAAATAACCAAAATGTCTGTTGATGGAATAACGAATAAAGAAACTGTGAGATAGATATTAGTGGATATACATACATACATATATGTGTATGTGTGTGCATATATATGTAGTTGACCCTTGAACAACATGGGTTTGAACTGTGAGGGTCCGCTTATACACAGACTTTTGTTTCAATAAAAGATACATTGAGTGTGCCTTCCTCTCCTGCCTCCCCTTCCACCTCCTCCACCTTTTTGACTCTGCCATCCCTCCTTCTCAGGTCCTCAATGTGAAAATGATTATAATGAAAACCTTGATGATGATCCACTTCCTTTTAATGAAGGGTAAATATGTTTTCTCCTGCTTATGATCTTCTAATAACATTTCCTTTTCTCTAGTTTATTGTGAGAATACAGTATATAATAGATATACAAAATACATGTTATCAACTATTTATTTTACTGGTAAGGCAGTCAGCAGTACTTTATTATTAGTTCAGTTTTTAGGGAGTCAAAAGCTAGAAGTGGATTTTTGACTGCAAGAGGAATCAGTGCCCCTAATCCCTCCTTTGCTCAAGGGTCAACTGTATGTATATACGTATATATCTATATGTATATATGTATATATAAATATATATACACAAATATATGTATATATGTATATATACATATATACACACACACACATACACACACACTCACACACACATACTTATAGGAATATCATTCAGCCTTGACAAAGAAGGAGATCCTGCCACAACATGAATGAACCTGGAGGATATTATATTCAGTTAAATAAGCTGGACAGATAAGGAGGAATACTGCATAATCTCACTTACATGTGAAATATTAGAAGAAAAATCAAAAAGTGAAATATACAGATGTAGAGAATAAATCAGTAGTCATCAGGGGTTGTGGGGGAGGGGAGAAAATGAGGAGCTGTAGATCAGAGTATACAAAGTAGCAGGTACCTAAGATGAACAAGTCTAGAGATCTAATGTACAACATAAAGACTACAGGTCATAAAATTGTACTATATTTGGGATTCCTGTTAAATGAGTAGATTTTAGCTGCTCTTGCCACAAAAACAAAAATGAATAACTATGTGAGATGATGGATATGCTAATATGCTTCACTATAGCAACCATTTCACTGTCTCTATATATCCCATAACATCATGTTGTATACCTTAAATATGCACAATAAATTTTTTAAAAAATGAATGGGTTAGAAAGGAGTTGTGAAGCATGTAATTTCTAACGTGCTTCTGGGAAAGCAATTGACATTCTCTCATGAGACTGTAAGCTCCTTTAGGGCAGTTTTCATGTCTTAATCATCTTTGTTTTTCTGCTTCCTTCTACAATTTCTGAAACAATATTCCCTTATGAAATATTTATTGTATTTTATTGAGTTGCTCTGAATCAAATAAATAAGAATGTGAATTCTAGTTCTAAGATATGAATAATTGTAAAGTTATTTAAGTATACCTTGTGTATCATTCTGATTGTACGTGATTTACTTCTGAATTACTTCACTTCCGAGAAGCATATTTCTGTGAATGAAAAATTTATGTGTAATGTGTGTCTGCGAGTTTATGAGTGTGTATTATATGTGTTTTTGATGAATAGATCCAGTTAATTGAAAGCCAGTCAATTTTTCGTACTCCTCTGTAAATACTGTTTGATTATTCATAGCTCTTCAAGGAAAATTTTGCTTGTTATTTCCCCATTAAAGTGGGCTGGTTATAAACTGAGAAGTCAAAAGGTCCTCTACAGCTTTAATTAGAGTGCCTGCTAAGTTGCTACAACAAAGGAACACAAAAATCTGGCGGCTCAAGCAAAATAGAATTTGTCTCTCATGTAAGAGTGGGCAGTCTATGGAGGAGAGGTGGCTCTGCTGTATAATATACAAAATATGTGTTATCTCTGCTTCATAAAGTTGTCTGGAGACTCAGGGGCCTTCTACCTTGCTGCTCTATTAATCCCTAAAGAAGTAATTCTCAAACTTTACATGCATCAGAATCTTCTGAAGATCATGTCAAAACAGATTGCTGAATCTACCCCTGGCGTTTCTGACTCAGTTGGTCTGGAATGGGGCCTGAAAACTTGCATTCTTAACAAACTTCCATGTGTCAGTGGGAATCGGCTGATGCTACTCGGGACTACATTTTATAAACCACTGTCCTAAAATGTTAGCTTGCTCTTCCTGGTCCAAGCTAATTACCAGCATGATCCTTCAGATTCAGTTTATGAAAAGGGGTAAAAAGAAAGAGAAATCTGCCCAGTTATTTTAGTGGAATGGCTTAGAAAAAAATATATGTTTTTTTCTCATATTTCTTATTTGAGAACTTAGTCACAAGGCAGGAAAAAAATGGCAATTGAACTTAATTGCTAAGAAAATGGTAAATGTTGTCTCTAGCTGGGCAAATATATGTCCAAATAAAACTCAAAGGGTTCTATTACCAAAATAGGAAAAAAAAAAAAAGAAAATATCAATACTAGGAGTACTTTGGCAGGATTTGCTATAATGCCATAGATAAGCACAGTATAGAATTGCTAAGACCAAAAAGAAAAGTATCTATAGAACAACATGAGAATAACAATAGCAGTAATAATAATAGCCAAGATTTCAGTGCTTATTTTATTCAAGCTCTGTGCCAAACACTGTACATATGATATATTCCTTATTTTTCATGAGTATTCTATGAGGACATCATACAGTGTCCTCCATCTCTCCAATTTTCAAGAGGAAACATTAATTTATTACTGTAACTTTATTAGTTATTTGATTTTTAGATTTGCCTAACAATCCCAAAATGTACATAAAAATTACTCAACTTCTTAAGCACAATATTGGCTTGGCACAGTGGCTTATTCCTGTAATCCCAGAACTTTGGGAGGCCTAGGTGGGCAGATCACTTGAGGCCAGGAGTTTGAGACCAGCTTGTTCAACATGGTGTGAAAATCCATCTCTACTTAAAATGCAAAAGACCAGCCTGTTCAACATGGTTAAAACCCATCTCTACTTAAAATGCAAAAAGTAGCCAGGCATGGTGGCACATGCCTGTGGTCCCAGCTACTCGTGTAGCTGAGGCATGAGAATTACTTGAATCTGGGAGGCTGAGATTGCAGTGAGTGGAGATTGCTCCACTGCACACCAGCCTGGGTGACAGAGTGAGACTCTGTCTCAAAAACATAAACAACAACCAAAAAAAGTGCAATACTTAAAATTATTTCAGTTCTACTTTAAATCTTTTGCAGTCTAGTTTATCTGTTATTCCTTTGCTAATTTATTATGTATAGATATAATCACTTAAAAAACTTATGATTAATATTAATAATAGCTAAAAAATATTGACTATTTATTACATGCCAGAATCTTTTCTATTTTTTTAAAATGTATTCACATCCATCATGGCAGACAGAAGGCTGGACTAGACTGCAGCTCTGAGTCAGACGGACAGAGCAGCATGTGGAAGCCCACATCATGAATTTTAGCTCCAGAACAACTGCAGTAATAAATCCAGGAAAGCCAAGATGAACCACAGACTCTCTGAAGAAAGTGGATTGTTCCTGCAGGACCCAGGAGACACCTCAAATACTCTGAGTGCCCAAATTGCAGAAGTGGGAAAGGGAGATCATCTGCCCCTGAACACACACCCCCACTGGGGAAACTGAAGGTCTAGTTTACGGGAGATGATTCCGACCTTACCCGGAGCTGAGTCAATTTAGAGAGCCAAACGAAATACAGGGGTAGAGGAAGCAGCGGGAAAGGCCCTGAGAGCTTGACGGGTCCCCAAGCAGTCCATTCCTGCCTGGCATCACAGGGATCGTTTGGGAGGGTGGCCAACAGCGTGGGGGAAATGCCACAGGGAGTAGGAAGTCTCCAGCTGAACTCTGTCACAATTCCAACAGGTCGAGAAGCCTCCTGGCCAGAACTCGGGGAGGGTGTGAATCCTATGTCCAGGCTCCACAGGTGAGGGAAGAACTAAAGCCCTACTTTCTTATGCTGCTGGGAGGCAGGTAACCTGGGGCAAGTTCTCAGCTCTGCTTGCCCACTCCTGGAAACAGACTTGGTGTGTTAGTGGGGAGGGACATGGTAGGAGTGAGACCTGCTCTTCAGATTGCCTGGGAGCTAGGTGTGAGGCCTATGACTGCCAGCTTTCCCCCACTTCCCTGACAACCTGCATGACTCAGCAGAGGCAGCCATAATCCTGCTAGGTACATAACTCCACTGACCTGGGAACCTCACCACCATCCCCCATGGCAGCCACAGCAAGACCCACCCAAGGAGAGTCTGAGCTCAGACAAGCCTAGCCCTGCCCCCACCTGATGTCCTTCCCTACCCACCCTGGTAGCTGAACACAAAGGGCATATACTCTTGGGAGTTCTAGAGGCCTGCCCACTGCCGGTTCCTTTCCAGACTACCACAGCTGATGCTCTCCAGAAAGTGCCATCTCTTGTCAGGAGGCCAACCAGCACAAAAATAGTGCAGTAAACCATCAAAGCTAAGAATCCTCACAGAGTCCATTTCAGTCCCCCTGCCATCTCTACTAGAACTGGTGTGGGTACCCACGGCTGAGAGATCCACAGATGGTTCACATCACAGGACTCTGTGCAGACAACCACCAGTAGCAACCCAGAGCCTGGTAGACTTGCTAGGTCTCTAGACCCAGGAGAGAGAGAACAATCATTACAGTTCAACTCTCAGGAAGCCGCATCCATAGGAAAAGGGAACACCCCCTGGGAAAAAAAAATTCTGAACCACAGCCTTCAGCCCTAGACCTTCCCTCTGACAGAGCCTACCCGAATGAGAAGGAACGAGTAAACCAGCTCTGGTAATATGACAAAACAAAGCTCTTTAACACTCCCCCAAAACCATAGTAGCTCATCAGCAATAGATCCAAGCCAAGAAGAAATCTCCAATTTACCTGAAAAAGAATTTGGGAAGTTAGTTATTAAGCTAACCAGGGAGGCACCAGAGAAAGGTGAAGCCCAATGCAAAGAAAACCAAAAAATGATACAAGAAGTGAAGGGAGAAATATTCAATTAAATAGATAGCATAAATAAAAAACAATCACAACTTTAGGAAACACTGGACACACTTACAGACACAAAATTCTCTGGAAAGCTGCAGCAATAGAATTGAACAAGTAAAAGAAAGAAATTCAGAGCTTGAAGACAAGTTCTTTGAATTAATTCAATCCAACAAAGACAAAGAAAAAGAAAAAGAAAATATGAACGAAGCCTCTAAGAAGTCTGGGATTATGTTAATGATCAAACCTAAGAATAATCGGCATTCCTGGGGAAGAAGAGAAATCTAAAAGTTTGGAAAACATATTTGGGGGAATAACTGAGAAAAACTTCCCCAGCCTTGCTAGAGACCTAGACATCCAAATACAAGAAGCACAAAGAACACCTGGGAGATTCACCACAAAAAGATTATTGCCTAGGCACATTGTCATCAGGTAATCTAAAGTTAAGATGTAGGAACGAATCTTAAGAGCTGTGAGTCAAAAGCACCAGATAACCCATAAAGAAAACCTATCAGATTAACAGCAGATTTCTCAGCAGAAAACCTGCAAGCTAGAAGGGTTTGGGGTCCTATTTTCAGCCTCCTCAAACAAAACAATTACCAGCCAAGAATTTTGTATCTAGCGACATTAAGCATCAATATGAAGGAAAGATATAGTCTTTTTCAGACAAACAAATGCTGAGAGAATTCACCACTACCGGGCCACCACTAAAAGAACTGTTAAAAGGAGCTCTAAGTCTTGAAACGAATCCTGGAAATAGATGAAAACAGAATCTCTTTAAAGCATAAATCTCACAGGACTTAAAAATACAATTTAAAAAACAAAAAACCAAGGTACACAGACAACAAATAGCATGATGAATGGAATGGTATGTCACATCTCAATAATAACGTTGAATGCAAATGGCCTAAATGCTCCACTTAAAAGATACAGAACCTTAGAATGGATGAGAATTCACCAACCAACTATCTACTGCCTTTGAGAGACTCGCCTAATACATAAGGACTCACATAAACTTAAAGTGAAGGGTGGAAAAAGGCATTTCATGCAAATGGACACCAAAACCCAGCAGGACTAGCTAGTCTTATATCAGACAAAACAAACTTTAAAGCAACAACAGTTAAAAAGGATAAAGAGGGACATTATATAATGGTAAAAGGCCTTGTTCAACAGAAAAATACCACAATCCTAAACATATATGCACCTAACACTGGAGCTGTCAAACTAATAGAACGTTTCCTAGTAGACCTAAGAAATGAGATAGACATCAACACAATCATAGTAGGGGACTTCAACACTCCACTGACAGCACAGACAGGTCATCAAAACAAAAAGTCGACAAGGAAACAATGGATTTAAACTATACCTTGGAACAAATGGACTTAACAGATAGATACAGAACATTCCATTCAACAACCACAGACTACACATTCTCTTTAACAGTGCATGGAACTTTCTCCAGAATAGACCATATGACAGGCCATAAAACAAACCTCAATAAATTTAAGAAAATTGAAATTATATTAACTCTCAGACCACAGTGGAATAAAACTGGAAATCAACTCCAAAAGGAACCTTCAACACCATGCAAATACATGGAAATTAAATAACCTGCTTCTGAATGACCATTGGGTCAAAAACGAAATCAAGATGGGAATTAAAAAATTCTTCTAACTGAATGACAAGAGTGACACAACCTTTCAAAACCTCTGGGATACAGCAAAGCTGGTGCCAAGAGGAAAGTTCATAGCCCTAAATGCCTACATCAAAAAGACTGAAAGAGCACAAACTGACAATCTAAGGTCACATCTCAAGGAACTAGAGAAACAAGAACAAACCAAACCCAAACCCAGCAGAGGAAAGGAAATAACCAAGATCAGAGTGGAACTAAATGAAATTAAAACAAAAAAAAAAAAAGAAAGATAAATGAAACAAAAAGCTGGTTCTTTGAAAAGATAAATGAAATTGATAGACCATTAGCAAGATTAACCAAGAAAAGACGAGAGAAAATCCAAATAACCTCAATAAAAAATGAAATGGGAGATATTACAACTGACACCACTGAAATACAAATGATCATTCATGGCTACTATGAACATCTTTACTCACATAAACTAGAAAACCTAGAAGAGATAGATAAATTCCTGGAAAGATACAACCCTCCTAGTTTAAATCATGAAGAATTAGATACCCTGAACAGACAGATAACAAGCAGCGAGATTAAAATGGTAGTTAAAAAATTACCAACAGAAAAAGTCCAGGACCAGACAGATTCACGACAGAATTCTATCAGACCTTTAAAGAATTGGTACCAATACTATTGACACTATTCCACAACATGGAGAAAGATAGAACCCTCCCTAATTCATTCTATGAAGCCAGCATTACTCTAATACCAAAACCAGGAAAGGACATAACCAAAAAAGAAAACTACAGATCAATATCCCTGAAGACCATAGATGCAAAAGTCCTTAACAAAATACTAGCTAACCAAGTCCAACAACATGTCAAAAAGATAATCCACCATGATCAAGTGGGTTTCATATCAGGGATGCAGGGATGGTTTAACATACGCAAGTCAATAAATGTGATACACCACATAAACAGAATTAAAAACAAAAATCACATGATCATCTCAATAGAGACAATTGCAAATTGTGGAACCAACCCAAATGCCCATCAATCAATGAGTGGATAAAGAAACCGTGGTGTACATATACGATGAAATACTACTCAGCCATAGAAAAGAATGAATGAACGGCAGTTGCAGTGACCTGGATGAGATTAGATCGGAGGCTATTATTCCAAGTAAAGTAACTCAGGAATGAAAAACCAAACATTGTATGTTCTCACTGATATGTGGAAGCTAAGCTATGAGGATGCGAAGGCATAAGAATGATACAATGGTCTTTGGAGACTTGACAGGAAGGGTGGGAGTGGGGCAGAGAATAAAAGACTACAAACAGGGTGCTGTGTATACTGCTTGGGTGATGGGTGCACCAAAATCTCAGAAATCGCCACTGAAGAACTTACTCATGTAACTGAATATCACGTTTACCCCAATAACCTATGGAAAAATCTTTTTTAAAAAGTATTAACCTATAAATTTATGATACTATTGGGAAACCACACTATCAGGTAGGCACTTTAATTATCTTCATTTATTCAATGAGATAACTTTGAACAAACCTATTCAAAGTCCCAGAGCTCACAGAAATTGCTCTGCGCTCTTAGCCACTATGAAACTAATCTGTAAGTTATGATTGTATTATAAAGAGTAATGAAATAAATATTAAAATGCTGTAACTAGACAGTGAAGAAATGTTGCATGATTTTTCCATCATATAAAATATATATAAAACATATTTTTCACTTTGAGAAAATGTTCATGAAATGCATATTTTGAGACACATTACTAGGGAGTCATAATGGAGCTCAATGGAACTAAAATGGGTCTCCAAATGAGTAGACAGTATCCATCTGGTCTGTTACCATTTCTAAAATGTATGTGCTTTTGTTGCACATTAGCATAAGCCCACTAAAATCATTCGCACTTTAGTCATTGAAGTTTTAATGAAATAACACATGCAACTCAAAAGCGTTGTCTATATTCTCTGTTTCAATTCCTTGCCTTTCATTCTCTTTCCTTCTCTCTCTCTTCCTCTCTCTCATTGACATTTTAATGAAAGAACACATGGAACTCGAAAGCATTGTCTGTATTCTCTGTTTCAATTCCTTGCCTTTCATCCTCTCTCTCTTTCTCTCTCTCATTGCAGTTTTAATGAAAGAACACATGGAACTCAAAAGCGTTGTCTATATATTCTCTGTTTCATTCTCTCTCTCCCTCCCTCCCTCCCTCTCTCTCTCTCTCTCTCTCTCTCTCCCCTCACCACCCTCCTTTGAGACTCTCTCCCCTCACCACCCTCCTTTGAGAGACAGTCACCCAGGCTGGAATGTAGTGGCAGGATCTTGGCTCAGGCTCACTGTAACCTCAGTCTCCTCGGTTCAAGTGATAGATTCTCATGCCTTAGCCTCCTGAGTAGCTGGGATTAACAGGCATGCACCACCCACACGGTAATTTTCATATTTTTAGCAGAGATGGGGTTTCATCATGCTGCCCAGGCTGTTCTCAAATTCCTAGCCTCAAATGAGCCTCCTGCCTCAGCCTCCCGAAGTGCTGGGATTACAGGTGTGAGCCACCATGCCTGGCCTCTCATTCTCTCTTGATCTCACTCATTCCAGTAAGGCTTTTATTTTGTTTTGTTTAACAAGGAATAGCATTTAATAAAGAGACTGGACATACTAGGATTTGAGTTATACTTAGTTATTCCAGAGCTATATGATTTTAACAGGTTAACCTATTGAAATGTCAATTCCTTTATCTGATAAATAATAATAGTCAAAATATAAATAGTACCTGTTATGAAACATGCATTGTCCTCAGCAATTAATGGAGATTAATCCAAATTCTCAAAACAAACATATGGAGTAGGTTTGTTATAAACACAAAGGGGTTAAATAAACTGATTGAGGTCCTATAGTAAGTAAAAAGCAGAGCATGGACTTGAATCCAGGTGTTCTGCCCCAAGGGTCCTTTATCATTTTTTAAAAAATCATAGATTGACAGGACATTGCAACGTTTGTACAAAGAGGTCTATTCACCCAGCTTCCCCCATGGTCACAGGTTATGTAAGTATAATAAATATCTAAACCAGGAAATTGATCCTCATATATTTATATGTTTAAAATATGTATGTATGTATGTGTGTGTGTGTGTGTATATATATATATATTTTTTTTTTCTTTTTTTTTTTTTGAGACAGAGTCTCGCTCTGTTGCCCAGGCTAGAGTGCAGTGGCGAGATCCGGGCTCACTGCAACCTCTGCTTCTCAGGTTCAAGAGATTCTCCTGCCTCAACTTCCCGAGTAGATGGGATTACAGGCGAGTGTCACTACGCCCAGCTAATTTTTTGTATTTTTAGTAGAGGCAGGGTTTCGCTGTGTTAGCCAGGATGGTCTCGATCTCCTGACCTCGTGATCCACCAGCCTTGGCCTCCCAAAGTGCTGGGATTACAGGCATGAGCCACTGTGCCTGGCCTAAAATATATATTTATATGTTTAAATATATATGCATATAATGCATATATGTCATTTTTATTACACACTTTTTTTATGTTGTCATCACTGTAATAAAGATAAATATTCCATCACCACAAAAATCAATTTTGCCATTCCTATGTACTCAAACTGCACCATCTCTAGCCCCTTCCATTCGGGCTTTTGCTTCACAGCACTGAGACTGTTCTTGTCAACGTTACTCATAAATCCATTAGTCAAGTCCCCATGTTATTCAGGCAGCCATCAGCATTGGACATGGTGAATCACTTCCTCCACCGAAGCCATTTTTTCTCTTGTCTTCTGGCTCACCATTCTCTGGGTTCTCCCCCAGCCTCATATGCTCTCATATGCTCTTGGTTCTCCTCCAACCTCATATGCTCTCAGTGTCTTTTGCTGGTTTCTCTTCCTCTCTTCTGAATCTTGACACCTTTATATGAACTCATTTCTCAGACCTCTATTCTTTTCTTCCTCTTTTTGCTTTACACTTACTCCCAAGATCTTAAATACAATACGATTTCTAATGTGTATCACTAATTTGGGGTTCTTCCAAAGACTTTATTCATTTACCCAATTGTTCACTAGACAACTCACTCGAATCTAACATTCCATTATCAAGTTAACATTTCCAGAAACAAACTCCTGATTTATCCTTCCCAAATCTACTGTTTATGACAGTTTACTCATTTTAATGAACACTCTATTCTTCCAGTGGTTTAACTCCAAAACATGTGCTTTTAATCACGTTCTACTGCAATTTTCATAGATCTCCTCCACAAAAACAAGTACATAAGTAAATAAACAAATAGTGAGAGAATTAATTAGTTTAAATGTACCTTGATCTCTTTCTGCTCCAAAAACTGACAATAAAGAAATATATTTTGGCCGGGCACGGTGGCTCATGCCTGTAACCCCAGCACTTTGAGAGGCCAAGGTGGGCGGATTGCCTGAAGTCAGGAGTTTGAGACCAGCTTGGACAACATGATGAAACCACTGTCTCTACTAAATATGCAAAAAAATGAGCCAGGCATGGTGGCAGGCGCCTGTAATCTCAGCTACTCGGGAGGCTCAAGCACAAGAATAGCTTGAACCCAGGAGGTGGAGGTTTCAGTGAGCCGAGATAGCACCAATGCACTCCAGCCTGGGTGACAGAGTGAGACTTTGTCTCCAAAAAAAAAAAAAAGAAAAGAAAAAAAGAAATATATTTTCTGGTTAAATTAAAATCTTCTATCTACCCAAACCATTTCAAAATAAACTGAATGTGCCAGTTAAACTCATGATTCAAAAACAATATCTTTGTGTCAAAAGGCAAGCAGAACATGTAACCAGTTGTCTCAGGTTGACATTTCACATTTCAATCTATTTCCATAACAATGCAAGTTACTTGAAAGCAGAGACTGTGTTTTCCTCATGTACAGATTCCCAGCAGCTAGTAAAGTGCCTCACACGTGACAGGCACACAATAAATATTGATCAAATAAATAAAAAATAATTACAACTAAAAGAAAATAGATTTGAGGGTAAAAAAAAAGCAGTGGTTAATGCCATATGCTGCATAAATACGTTAATAAATTCCATCTTACAAAATTGATATGCAGATAATATTTTTGATAATACAAGAGTAATCAGCTTGCAATTTCTTCATTCCTTAAATTTATTAATAAATTAAATGTATTAATTTCCAGTATCTACTATACCACTGCACAAATAATGGGATTATAATAGTGCTACCACAAAATCTAACAACTTTAATGGAATGTTTTAGTGATAATTCAATTGTGAGGTATTGGTCATAACCAAGTATATGCCACAACTCAAACATCCACACGTATAAATTGATACCTGTTAATATACATACACAGCTGCTTTCTATGAGCTGATGGGAATTACTTTGGGTTTAGTTGTTTCTGTAGTTAAGAGTAAAGGTTTAAGGATAGAGCATCAGTTGCTTTACACCTCTTGTTTTTCTCTTCACTGTCAATGGCACACTTTGGCACAGTTAATGTCAGGCTTTGGAATATTTCTCTGACTTTTCTCACTGCCATATTTGGCATAAATAAAGTGCTCCACTTAGGTGAGAGTTTTCCCCACTCAGCATCATGTTGAGTGCTTTACAGATTTGTTGTGCTCAAAATGATTAAGGGTGAATGCAAGTGAGCTGTAGATAAGAGGCGGAATAATGTGGCTTCCACATAGTCACTGGCACTGGCATATGTTGAATACATAGGAGCATCTTCATTAAAAAAATGATGCTACTTGCTGAGTGTTTCGGTTGATTTACACAGACAGTACAATATAGTGTCTTTGATGTCCAGTAGCATGAAAACTATATGTATAAGTCTGAGTATAACGAGCTGTCTGTTAAATTCTATATATAACATATTTGCATTTTATTCAGGATCATCAAATGGGGAAATCAAAGTACAATCACCTTGTTTTTTCCTGTAGGTTGAAAGCACTACAAATTAAATGACTCTGCCAAGTTCCCAACAGGAGGATAGAAAAAAATCAGCTTTGCTGTTTGTTGTTAAATGTCAGCAAAAGTCACATTTTAAAAATGTTTTTTAAAAAATTTAAGCTCTAAGGTCAATGATCTCTTGTATTAATAAAGGATTTCATCCAGAGGAAAAGAGCAAAGATGAAATGTGCATGTGGATTCACAATCAACTTGAAACACTAAGGAGGCAACTCAATCCCAATTAAATAAAAAATATTTGCCCAAAGCTTTCTTGAAGTTTTCTCAAATCCTTCTTAGTACAAGTTGTTCCTATTAAAAGTACTTTAAATTGGATTCTCAATAATAAACCATAGACTAATGAAAGAAACTAATTTAACTGTTGCCTAATTCATTTTGTTTTTGCTGTTGTTTGGTTGGTTGTTTTTTTGTTTTTTTGGTTTGTTTGTTTGTTTCATTAAGAAACATTTAGGTCCTAAACATTTTCACTTTGCTAGCTTTGAAAAGTTCTCTCAGAATCTCATGGCATTTTCTTGACAATAAAAAAGATAGACTGTGATGTCAAAAATAAAAACCAAGCCTGAATAGAGCTTATATCTATATATAAGTTCTCAGAAAGGGGTGTGATTTGGTGAATTCACACTGACGCTTTTTTGGGTTCATGCTGCATTTTAAAAGTTTTCTTAAAGCCACAAACCTTCCATAAAAGAGTACATCTAATATTTAGGGTGAAGTGTATGGAATTCTAGCTTGATCTTTTACCTCTTTCATGTGCCAATCCCCTTTGTCTGGCTTATTGTAGTTAATTAAAAATTAGTTACTTTTTATGTCTCTTAAAATTTGTGATGAAAGACTAAAGAAGTGAGATCTCATTAATGTTTTTATTTTGTTTTTTCCACATGTACTTATCATCATTCCATATCTATGAGCAGATTTGTTACAGAGAGGTAATATCAGAAGTCAAATTTAACTTACAACTAGTACCAAGACAACTGAGCATCTTTGCCTTCCTGTATTTTTCAGATGACCTTAAATTGGATACACATCTCTCCCTTTTTCAGCCCTTAGAAATAATAGACAAGGATAATATCAAGCAGGGCATCTTCTGTGAAAGCAGGAAAATCAAAGCATTCCTCTTGCAGCCTCTGCATCCTTCCTTGTCCCATATAACTTCTCGTGGCCAGCTTGCTGGGGCTTATACTGATACCAGTGTCCCAGTGGCCTCACACTCTGTCCCACACCTTCCAAGAAGTGTTCAAATATATTCATGTCTCTAACTCTTCAAGAAACATTATTTTCCATTTGTCTTATTTTCTCAGAGACAAATTTGTGGGTCCGTTTCTTGATTTCAAAGAATATTTAGCGTCACGTGAATTTAGCAGCACCCATACGAAGTATAAGAATCAGCCTTTTGAAGATACTAAGACAAAACAAAACAAAAGCAACAAAAAAGAACCCAACTATTGGCCACCTGTAGCACTAAAAGACATCAAGACAAAATTAAACACTTTAAAATTTGGGGGATTTTTATTTTTGAATAATTTTTTTAATTCTAAAAAGAACAAAGAATAACCTAATAACTACCCATATTTTACCATCCAAAATTAATAGGTTAGGTTTTTGGCAAATTTACTAAACTACATTTTGCATATTGCTACATTTTAAAATAATATCTATATAATATATAAATGTGCTAGCCTTTCTATTTGGCTAGTTAGTCATAAAATGTGAAAATAACAGGCAAAATTTTCCTGAAAACACTGTAACAAATTTATGACAATTATTGTTTCTTATATGGATCAATCATAAGTATTGGTCACACTCATTAAAAATTAAAAATGTGTCATTAGAATGAAGAAAAGAAATATTTAAAAAGTCAGACTACTTTATGTATACGAGTTATTAACTCCATAAGCCTCCGTATTAAGGGCTTACTATGTGTCAGATATTATAGGTAGGTATGTTTGTGTATTTGAGATATATATATATATATATCTCATTCCCACATTCACCCTGGATGAAGGCTATTTAATTCTTATTTTTTATTTGAGAAAGCAGAAGCATGTAAGGTTAAATGACTCCACCAAAGGCTCACAAGTGAAGACGTGATTTGATCTTTAATCTGCCTGATGTTTAAACCTGTGCTGCTGACTCAGCCACATTGTTTATTCTGTCACCAAAAGTGAGTCAAAATTTGACACTCTTCTGTATTAGTCAGGGTTCTTAGAGGGACAGAAATAATAGGGTATATCATTATTATATTAGTCAGGGTACTCTTAGAGGGACAGAACTAATAGGATATATATATTTATATATATGAATATAAAATAGGACTAAGAAGATATATAGTAAGATATATATATATGGGGAATTTATTAAGTATTAACTTACATGATCACAAGGTCCCACAATAAGCTGTCTGCAAGCTGAGGAGCAAAGAGAGCCATTCTGAGTCCCAAAACTGAAGAACTTGGAGTCCGATGTTCGAGGGCAGGAAGCATCCAGCACGGGAGAAAGATGTAGGCTGGGAGGCTAGGCCCATCTCTCACTTTTCACATTTTTTCTGCCTGCTTTATATTCGCTGGCAGCTGATTAGATTGTGCCCACTAGATTAAGGTTGGGTCTGCCTTCCCCAGCCCACTGACTCAAATGTTAATCTCCTTTGGCAACACCCTCACAGACACACCCAGGATCAATACTTTGTATCCTTCAATCCAATCAACTTGACACTCAATATCAAACATCACACTTCCTACCATGGTACCATGCAGATATTTTCCACAATTACTATGCCAGGTAGTAATCATTATAAAAATAGCGGTTTCTGTGGCATTATTTACTTTAAGAGAAAGTTGATATTTGACTAATTTTATTGAATAAGCTACAAATTAAATTTGAGACAGTTGGTGTATTTTAACATTTGAATTATAGTTTAAAATTTGACTGATACACAAGCTGAGATGGGATTTGGCTGATCAGTGTGAAAAGGGAATTTTTTGTAAATCAAAATGATTGTTTTAGCCAGATTCATTTTCATAAATATTAAAACCAATATTTACTGGCGTGGGTTGCTTCTCTCACAGGGCATATCTAAGTTAAAATGTTAATTTTGGCAAGGGATTAGCTCAAAACATGGCCTAATTGCCATTTGGCATTTTCAAGAAATTTGAAATATTGAAGTGCATGTTTTTTTTTTTTTCTTTTTCTAAAAGACAATAAATGCCTTTAGCACGTGCATAGTAACTGTTGCTTAAAAACCACTGCAGGCTAATTTTACTCAGCTAGGGTCCAAAGGAGCTTATGTTGTAGTCATTCACTGGTAAAATTTCCCATTGACTTGGATTTCCCAAACCTAATCAGTTAATATTATTTTTCTATGAAACCAGTTGATATCTAATGATTTATATGTATACCATCAATTATACATATAAAACCATGCAAACAACTAGCTGCAGATAATTATTTCTCCTCTTTATTTGCCAAAATATTTATTGGCATAAATGATATTGTAAGAAGAATCCATAACCAACCTAATAGAAGCAACCCACCTAACATACTTTTTGTGTATCCATTTACAGATAAACAACTACATAATTTAATAAAACTTATATATTCCTTAATAATTTGCCTTAAATGATATAACTATCTTTGGTTAATGTATGTAAAACAAATACACATTTTTTAAAACAATCCTTTACGGTATCTCTCTATGCTTCAGTGAAACAAAAAATGTAGGTTGCTTAAATGTTATTACTTCATTTATATTATAGTTGTTGTTGTTGTATAATAAGTGACATAAAAAACTGTGTCTAAAAACTGCAGATTCTAGTTCATCGGTACCTTTAAAATCCAACTAAATAGCTCAAGACCACTCCACATGTGTTTGGGAAGTTTGACACATTTCTTCAGATATCTGAGGATGGCTTCCCGGGTGAGTAATGTGAAGGCTTACATTCTCCTGGTCATTTGTGCTTTAGGTTCAGTTGCCTCTTCTCAGGTTGACTCTTGGTGCCCACTCCACTTCACCCTTTGCAGAGGCACTGGCCCTCTCCCTTAATTTTTTAAGCAAAGCATCAATAATGCAGTTGCAGCATTTAGTGAACTTTTGCTTAGGTTTCAGGAATAAACTAGAGGCCTACTTTGCTGCTCAAAACAGAAAAATAATCTTAAAACAAAAATTAGACCCCACATTTTTTAAGTAATTTGGACACCCTTCCCCCAGAAATTTACACTGCTCATTTTTCTCCTTTCAATTGAGCCTGAACTACTTCTTGGGGGTCTTTTTTCTGAGGATCACACACCCAGCTTTCCTATTCTCTTCTGGCTAGGTCCATCCACACTATCTCTCCTGCAGATTGCTCTTGATTTCTCATATAGGACATCATATTGTTCTGACTTGAAACTTTTCTTATGTTTAGGTGAGTTTCTTAAATACTTTCATACTCAAAGGTTAATTCACAGCGTTTTCTAATTGTTTAAGTCATCTCACTTAATTATCTTAGCAAATATAAAGACAAAATATATTATTTTCACTTTCCATTTGCCTGAGTTTAGTCAAGTTTTTTTTATTGAATTCTACTTATAACTTTTTTTAGTAATCCATTTGAAATCATTTTGGAAGAATGTGTTATATAAACTATATATATAAATTACTGATACATAGACAGACATATACACACATACAATATTTTACCTTCATTTATTTTCCTATTTGTGTGATGCATCACATGTAAAAAGTCTGCTGAAAATCTAGATCACATAGATCACATAAACAACTTGATTCAGAACAATAGTTTTTTTTTGTTTTATTGGGATAAATTAAAGATTTATAAATTAGCTTTTGAATGTTTCAGAAATTATAATCCGTTATTAAGCTATGTGAAGTGCAATGCCCTTTTCCAAGTGAATTTTCCTTGGAAATAATAGCAAAATTTACTTGCAACCTCTTTTTGTTTTTTAGTGCCAATAGTGCACCCAATGCTGAAGCTAGCACATGTAAAGCATAGTTCTTGCCCCAGAACTTTCACTGTATGAATAGCTAAAAGAAATATGCAATTATTCTGCATTTGTTTCTAATTGTTCTAATTATCTCACTTATCTAGAACTATTCATCCCTCAGCTTTGAATTTTGTTGCCTTACAGAGCATTCTATTTATTTTTTTCCACCCTCACCATAAACGTAGGATTCTTTGGGGAGGGAGGAGGGACTTCTTCACTACTGTATATTAAGCAATGCACTTCCCATAAAGATTACTTTTAAAGTCATCAAATACGTGACATTTATGGAATCAAAATATGAAAGAAGGATTGTGCAGTAGGGTAATGACAGTACTTGCTGCTTTCCATAAAGCACTTTCCATGATGAATTGATTAAAAAGGCCAGAAGCAGAGTTAAACAGATTTCCATGGATCTCATCCAGATAACATTTTTACCAGCCGGTCTCAGGCAGTGCCAGGAAAACTGTAAATAAGTTACTGATCCTTTCTTAGAGCAGATACCCCCAGAAAGATCACTGTTTTTTAGCTCGTAAGATAAAATATTTGTGTTTCATCACCATCATTATCATCAGTATCATCTAACGATCTCCTGCTAAATTCCAGATAAAGCTTGATGCTGAGTGTTTTACAAACATTACCTGGATTACTCACACCAATATTGACAGTCAAATAATAGTATCTTCATTTAATAGATGAGAACATGAAAATTCAGCATGTTGGCAACTCCTTAGAGTCATGTTTATTTGCTTCTAAGACCAGTAGTAATTTTTCTTATACTGAGTGCTTCCCACAATATAACATCACTTTCATAAACCACATATGATAAATTCTGCAATTTTAAAATTACTACACAACACAGAGATGATCAAGTAGAACTGTTACAAACTGCAACATGCCTATAATATGTGCATTATATCATAGGAAGTAATTAAGCATCATATTTTTCCATATGATCACTTCTTTTAAATGTGTGGGGCCCACTTTTCTCTTCTATATATTCTTTTCTCTTTGACACCCTCTTCCACTAATGGTTGTATTCTTGAAAGGCATTGAAAAATATTCTTGACTTTTATTTTTTTCATGATCACAGTCCTGGGCTGTGATCCTGGAGAAAAAAGAAACACACGAAGTGAGCCCCAAGACTGCTCTACCATTCTGCCTGGGGCATTTTGCTACCACTGACCCAGCAAAGGGCCAGAGTGTCTCCCAGAGCTAAAGCAGTAGAGAAAGAAGTTCTTAAATGTGGAAGGGGCTGTAATTTGCAAGATAGGACACTGAAGAAGAGAAGCTATACAGAGTGGGAGTGGGAACAGAAGTGTACAGGGATAGTCACTGCAGGTACTTAGCTGGGACTGAGTTGGGCACTTGAAAGGTAGAACTGCATGAGGCATTGCAAAGATGCCTGCTAAGGAGCTGAGAGCTAGAGGGTGAGGATGAAGGCTGTGTAGTTCTGGAGAATGTTGGAATTAAAAAAAATAGTGAAACCATATGATCATTTCAACAAATTACAAAAGCTCTCAGCAAGCTAAAAATGAAAGAAAATTTTCTTAACATTATAAGTGCACAAATGAAAAGCCTACTGCTAGAATTATATTTCATAGTGACTGAACACTCTTCTACTAGTATTTGAAAGACATGGGTCATATCCACTCTAACCATTTCTGTTAAACATTTTACTAAAACTCCTAGCCTGTACAATGAAATGGCCAAAAAACAAAAGGTAAAAGGCATACAGTATAAAAGAGAAGTAAAACCATTATTATTTGAAAATAACATGTTTGTTTACATGGAAAGCCTTAAGGAATCTACAGAAAACTAATATGTGGATTTACTAAGATCAGAGGACACAAAATCAATGTATAAAATCAATTATGTTTCTAAGAACTAGCAACAAACAATAAGAAATACATTTTAGAAAAAATCTCTTTACATCAAAAATATCATTTTTAGAAATTAATAAAATATGTCCAAAATATCTACATGGAAAGCTAAAAAACATGACTGAAAGAAAAATTAAAAAAGAATTAAAACAGCATTGAAAGACTCAGTACTGCTAAGATATCTATTCTCCTTAAATTGATATATAGATTCAATGCAATCACTCTCAAAACTCCAGGAGGCTTTCTTGAAGAAAAGACACACTGATTCTATAATTTATGTAAAAATTTAAGAATATAGGATAGTCAAATAATCTTTAAAAAGAGAAACAAAGTTGGAGGACTCCCACTGTCTACATTCAAGATTTACTATAAAGCTATCATAATCAGGACTGTGTGGTGTTGACATTAGAATAGACAATTGTAAGAATAGAATAAAGAGTCTAGAAATAGACCTCCTGTTCAAATGAATTTCAGCAAAGGCACCAAGTAAATTCAATAAGGAAAGGAAAGTCTTTTAAACAAATGGTGATTTGACAACTGAGTAAATATATAAGGGAAAAAAAACAAGTCTCAATTCCTACTCTCAGTATACACAGAAAATAATTTGAGATATAATATCCATATAAACAGGAAACTCAGACCATAAAGTTGTTAGAAGAAAACATAGTAGAACATCTTTCTGACCTTGGAGTAGATAGCTTACCTAAAGAGGATATGAAACATACTGTCCATAAAAAAATTGGACTTCATAAAAAATTAAAATACTCTGCTCATCAAAATATATTGTTAAGTAAATTAATACACAAACTACAAAATGAGAGACAACATTTGCACTACATGTATACATATGGCCCTGAAAAAGGCAAAAAAAAGGTGAAAAATTAAGTGAAAGAATTGAGCAGACAGTTTTTTAAAAAGAAGATATGCGAATGACCAACAAGTTCATGAAAAGATAATAAACATCACTAGTCATTAGAGAAATACAAAGTAAAACTTCAATGAGATACAACTTCACAATCACTAAAATGCCTAAGACTTTTTTTTAAGACTCATAATACCAAGTGTTTGCTAGCCTTTGGAGTGACTAGAATTCCTACACATTGCTGCAAAGAGCATAAAATGGTACAACCACATTGGAAAACTCTTTGGCAAGTTCTTCTAAAGTTAACCATACATCTAGTCTCTGACTCAGCAATTCCAGTCTTAGTTATATATGCAAGAGATATTAAAACTTACTTCTACAAGAAAGACATGTATAAGAAGATTTATGGTTCTCTTACTCATTATAGCCAAAACATTGGAAGCAGCCTAAATGACCATTAAGAGAGAATGGATAAACAAATTTGATATATATTCAACAATGAACAAACAATAGACTATTGCCTTTGAGTGGCAGAGATTGACTAGACAGACGATAGGAGGGAGCTTTTGGCAGCCATTGAAATGTTCTGTATCTTGACCGGGATATTGGTTATATAGGTGCATGTATTTGTCAAAATCTACCATATTGTATATCTAACGTGTGGATTTCATTGTATATAAGCTTTACTGCAACAAAAAAATATGAGGAAAAATCTGTATGAGAAAACTGCAGTTAGTTCTTAGCACGGAAGGAAGAAGGCTACCAGTAATTACAAAATGTGACCATAAAAATGCTAATAAATTTATCTCCCCTGGGAAATCCAACATGGCCAAAGATAGCATTGGAAATATTGGTGAGTGGTACGCTCTACAGCAAGATAATACAATACAATATTTTTTCTTATTGATGTCTCAGATGATTGAATCTGTTTATTTTATTGTTGCTCTCTAAAATGAAAAAGACATTAAATTTTTAATTGTTTAATTAGTTTTATACCTCTTAAAGTATAAATCTTGGCAACAAATACACTACTTTTCAAATATCTATCCGGAGGAACATTTATTCAATAAAATCGAAAGGCCATGAGGGCAGAGAGAATGGAGAATTTGAATCAAAGTAACAATATGATCTTAATTATAATGATGAGATTAAATTACCACGTGGAATGTTTCTGATAAACATAACTCATCTGATTACTACTTCAATTAGCCAAAATTCCCTGAATTCATATTTAGCATTTATAATATTTAACAAAACAATTTACAATTGAAAAAACAGTATTCCATGTCCAGAAAGCTAGAAAGGAAGTAAATTGGTTTCTTTAGAGATAGATAAAAATACTCTCATTCGTAACCAAAACCTTAAAATAAGAATAAACATTAATTACTATTCAACAAATGGTTATTGAGGATCTGCCATATTCTGGGAACAGTGTAATGTCTGGAAATATCAAGGTGATAGTAAGAAAGTCACAATCTAGGCCACAGCTTTGAATGGAGATGTTCATTATAAATAATATAAGTACTTTAATAAATCTGTGTTTGAAAATTTATTAAATTGCTTTTTTTAATTTAGAAAGATTTGTAGAAAAACATTCAAAAGAAAGCAATTAAAAATAGCCAATAAATATTCATGAATATGGTTATATTCTAGTATCTACTGAGAAATTGAAAACAAAATGTTCAAATATAGTAACTGGTTAAATGAGTCTTGATACAGCTATACCACGGAATAAACAATACATAGTTTACAAACATTCTTGACTTGGACTTTGGGCAAGACGTTTTTATCTTTTTCTACATCTCAGTTTTCCCGTTAAAAAAAAAAAGCACAAAATATCTTCCTAACCTATATATTGCAAGATTATTAGAATGGTTAAAAACTACAGAGTAAACATAAGCACCTAAAAAAGTGAAATATTAAAAAAGACTAAAACCCACTATTTGAATAAAATGAGAAATTAGTAAGTGAATGTCACTTCCTCTCTATCACAAATGTCTACATTCCTAGACTTAAAAATAAACCTATTCCTTTTATGAATAGGAAACTGGTTAAAGCAATACAGGAAAAGAGCCAATTCTAATCCCGTGGGTTTCTCCTATGCTGACTGAAGTTTCAAATTGAAAAGGTTTTCATAAGCATTTTCAGTTCATCACCATGTAGATGCATGAAGTGGGGAGATATGTTATCCGTTGCCCTAGTTTATACATAACAATCCTACATTTTTCTCATGAGGACACTTCAGATTCCATTTTCATTACCACACCCTTCATAATTCTTGTTTGAGCTCATATTATGAAAACATTGAATATACAAGTCTATTTCGACCTTACTTTAGTTTATGGGAAAAAGCATCCAAAGAAGCATAAATGCATAATGTACAGTACTTCCATACGTCTCTCCCCACAACTCTGGTTACTTCTTAATAAAATGGCAGAAGTGGGATTTATTCAGTCTTCAGAATGAAAAGAATATTCTTAGGTAGAAGTGAGTTCTCCACTGCAGTCAGAATGGCCATTTCATGAGACAAGTCTTTGTTTCCCAAATCTTCTTCTTTAAACCTTTGCCATCATTGCTAGTATCATGCCATGCTGCTGCATGGAACAGGGGTCTCCCTTTTCCAGATGATTATCAAATGTCTTAGACTGTTTTGTGCTGCTGTAACAGAATATCACAAACTGGGTAATTTATAGCAAACAGAAATGCATTGGCTCACAGTTCAAGGGGCCACCATCTGGCAAGGGCCATTCTTGCTAGACCGTTACATGGCACAAAGAATCACATAGTGGAAGGTCAGAGAGCCAGAGAGAGCAAGAGGGGGATAAACTCATTGTTTTATAAAAGCACCATTCCCAACCATAAGTGGGGAGCCCTCATGTTCGAAACACCTTTTAAATGTCCCACGTTTTAATACTGTTACAGTGGCGATTAAGTTTCAAAATGATGATGAAGGGACAACCATTCAACCACAAGAGCAGATTACTTCTATCAGTCAATCAGTGAAATGTTCTCAACTATAAAAGACAAACCTAAGTAAAGAAAAAAATATGTCCAGCAAGGTCTACTTAGTATTCCTTAAAATAATGTTATGTGATAATTATATGTTATCATACCCAGTCGGTGAATCCAGACATTCATCTAAGAAGAGTGCACCTTCCACCCTCACCTTAGATGAGGCTGACAGAGAAGTTTGTCTCCAATCAAGCTCTCCAAATTCAGCCAGGTTCACTGCTGTTTTTGCTCTTTTATACCCAGATGATTGATAGAAATGGCATCCAATGACCGCTTTTCCCGTCCTTTCTGGGAGTCTAAAAGATGGACTTTTACTATTTTCTTTTTCTTTTTTTCTTTTCTTTTTTTTTTTTTTTTTGAGGAGGAATCTCGCTGTGTCACCCAGGCTGAAGTGCAGTGGTGCAATCTCAGCTCACTGCAACCTCTGCCTCCCAGGTTCAAGGATTCTCCTGCCTCAGCTTCCCGAGTAGCTGGGACTACAGGCATGTGACAAACTCCTGGCTAATTTTTTGTATTTTTAATAGAGACGGGGTTTCACTGTGTTAGCCAGTATGGTCTCGATCTCCTGACCTCCGGGTCTGCCCGCTTCAGCCTCCCAAAGTGCTGGGATTATAGGTGTGAGCCACCGCACCTGGCCTTTTACTATTTTCTAATAGAAATATTATAAAGTAGCAAGCAAATAGCAAATAAAAATTCTCACTGAATACAAAATTTAGACAAAAGGCAATCTCTTCTTTTATGTCAATCTTTGTTGTGGCTCAAGAAATCATTTCTTGGGAAAAGAATAGTCTAAGCTTTGCTTTGTCAGTTAAACAATCTGTACAATCCCCAACATAAAGCAAGCGTTGGAACAAAGTAAATCAGAGAAAGTATCCTGGGCTTGCTACTAAAGGATTTTCTGGGACTCCTAACCCATTAGATTCACATGACCTACAGTTACGACAGCATGTTCTGTCACCCAAAGAGAAATTACAGATACTTCAGGCTCAGTGCTGTAATCTAGAAGACTGAATGTGAATACTTTCAAAACTCTGCCACCTTCAATTAAATAGTAGCATCTACCTATGTTTTTCTGCAAAGGCCATGGTCTTGGAAATGCTCAATTTCTTTCTCTTCCTCAGTCCACAAGTCCAATTAATCACCAGGTTCTTTAGCTTTTTTATTACGAACATATTTTAAATCCATCTACTCCTCAGGTGCTGCCTCTGCCATTATCCTTGTTCTAGCTCTGATTACTACCCTGGCTGTTGAGATAAAGGATCCTTTGTCTAACCGCAATAACCTCTAAACCACTCTCCAGGCAATCACCAAGGTAAGCTGCCAGCCAGAGACTTACCGTACACACTGGAAACCTACCAATGTCTCCAGATTTCTCGCAGAACAAGGTCCATGTGCCTCACGGTGTAACAAAACCACTTGCGAAGCACAGGCAGGAATCTGGGGTCACAGAGACTGCATTCTATTTTCAGTTCTGCTACTCACTTGGGGAAGATACTTTTCTCTCCCAGGCCCAGGTAGAGTAGGCAATCTCTGTCTCATAGGCTTGATATGAAGGTTTAGTTGAATACTGAATTCATGGCATTTTTCCACAGTAGCCAAATACAGAGTAAACTTTCTAGAAATATTCATTATTACTTTTATTATTATTAATAATACTTGGATAAAATAATTCATGTGCTATTGCTGTAATTCTTTACTTTTCATTAATTTTTTCATTGCTTCCTCTCCCTATTCAAGGAACTTGCACTCTATTTTTTCTTCCTAGCCCACACCAGGCATCCCTTAATGTCATAGCTCCATGTCTACTCCCTCTAGGCAGGTAAGGTGGTCAAAAAAGAACTATCTGGCCAGTCTGTCTGACATAGCTCTGTGGCTTCAAGAAAATGTATGTGAATGAAGCTCCAAGAAACATGGAAGAGTGTCCCCGATAGTCTTTTCCTTTTTTTTTTGAGACGGAGTCTCGCTCTGTCACCCAGGCTGGAGTGCAGTGGCACAATCTCAGCTCACTGCAAGCTCTGCCACCTGGATTCACACCATTCTCCTGCCTCAGCCTCCCAAGTAGCTGGGACTACAGGAGCCTGCCACCACACCTGGCTAATTTTTTGTATTTTTAGTAGAGACGGGTTTTCACCATGTTAGCCAGGATGGTCTCGATCTCCTGACCTCATGATCCGCCCGCCTCAGCCTCCCAAAGTGCTGGGATTGCATGTGTGAGACATCGCGCCCGGCCAGTAGTCTTAAACTAAATTCCGTGTGAGCTAGTAGAGGGGAAGCCAGAAGAAAAAGATTTTGCAGGGATTATGGGGCAGCAAGAAGCTCACTCTGCTTTCTGTCTGCACCCTAAAAAGCAGGCAACACCTAACACTTGGTAAACAGTTGCCCACAGCATGGAGGGAAATAAGTGTTTATTGTATGTGGTCAATAGCTATTGACTGTAATATAACTGACATGAGTTATTTGCAGCTGGTGGTATTTAAAATAGTCATAGAACTGGACCCTGATCCTGACACAATTTCCTAGAGTTCTGATATGGTGTGGCTGTGTCCTCACCCAAATCTCATCTTGAATTGTAGTTCCCATAATCCCCACATGTCATGGGAGGGACCCGGTGAGAGGTAATTTAATCATGGGGGCAGCTACCCCTGTGCTGCTGTCTTTGTGATAGTGAGTGAGTTCTCATGATATCTGATGGTTTTATAAGGGGATTTTCCCCCATTTGCTCAGCACTTCTCCTTCCGGCCATCATGTGAAGAAGGACGTGTTTTGCTTCCCTTTCTGCCATGATTGTAAGTTTCCTGAAGTCTCCCCAGCCATGCAGAACTTTGAGTCAATTAAATCTCTTTCCTTTATAAAATAGCCAGTCTGGGACAGTCCTTTATAGCAGCATGAGAATAGACTAATACAAGGCCCTTACCTTTAATTCTTATTAATCATTTAATTAGATATTTCACTCTTAGTATCCATATCTTTCTCTAGAGCTCAGTCATCATAGATAATACAACATTGAGGTAAAAACTGCCACTGGGGAACAGGTGTTCCCATATTCCTAAATCACACTTACTTGGGACAAGATGAGCTTCCAAAAAAAGATTGCTATTTTAATGATGCTCATCACAGTCATGACTGGCTCAGGGCTTTCAAATCTCCTCCCTCAACTGCAGCAAATTTAGAAAGCCTGCATTTTTTAAAGCATTCTAAAAGATTCAACAGTTTTCTCCATGTAATCAGAGACACTAATTATCAAGCTTATTTCAGATAAAGTAGTAGTTAATGCCAATTTATCAAGACGGGAAATGAATCTGATCTTATTTCTATTGCAACTGCCCAAAGGCAGGTGGCTTAAGGCAAGTATATTTAGTTTAATGAGACTCTAGCGGATAAACAGTCTAAGTTTGAGCACCCTCATTATGCATCAGCAAATACAGTGACCTGCCTGCTGCAGGAATTCAATTTATATTTACATAAAACATGGCTGTAGCTACTCCACTGATAGAAGCATAAGATATTAGACTTCCCCTCCCTCAGATGGAATTTGTGCATTCCTGTTCCAATACTTGTATCTTAAACTTATTTGGGAAGTAATTTCTTATGGTCTAAATGCTTTTATCTTCACCCCTTTTAAGCCTATTCCCAAAGCTTTTACTTTCTAATTTTCAGGTACAGTAAAGAGTCTAAAGCAACTTTTTGTCCTTTATTCATTAACATGTTCTCACTGTAAAACTATCAAGGATTTACCATCATGCAGATTCATGGTTGCTCAATTCAGAGCTCCAAGTTTCCTAGGACAGGTGCACACAAAGAAAACAATAACCCGTAATTCTAGTGTCCAGAAGTAAACATTGGTAATATTTTAATGGGTTGTCATCTATAGTTCTTTGGACTTAAACCAGTAGACTGAGATTAATCAAGGAGAAAAGACAAGAATTAATAAAGACACATGAGACACATTGTTGAGGCTGTGTCTAGAAGGAGAGATGTGGCTGGGCATGGTGGCTCAGGCCTGTAATCCCAGCACTTTGGGAGGCTGAGGTGTACGGATCATTTGAGGTCAGGAGTTCGAGACCAGCTTGGCCAACATGATGAAACCCCACCTCTACTAAAAAAAAATACAAAACTTAGCCACGGGTAGTGGTGTGCGCCTGCAGTCCCAGCTATTCAGAAGGTTGAGGCCGGAAAATTGCTTGAACCTGGGAGGCAGAGGCTGCAGTGAGCCAAGGTCACACTACTACACTTCAGCCTGGGTGACAGAGCCAGACTCCATCTCAAAATAATAATAATAATAATAATAAATAAAAGGAGAGATGTCATGACTAGTTTCCTGGAACTGAACTTGGGGCCAAAGTCCTGCATGCTTAGTACCTCCCTTTGCCATACCTACCCTGATTTCTGACATACCACAATGGTTCAGCAGAACATGGATGGGAAAACACTACAAGAAAACATTCAGTCAAAATATTATACGTAGATAAATGATATACAGGCCAAAGGTGGAGTGAGGTGGCAAGAGAAAAAGAAATACAAGGGGAATGAATTTTAGAATTAAAGTTCTATTCTCAGGCCTATGGATTTATCTCACATCCTCATCCCCTTGAAGTTAAGTACAGCCATGCAATTTCCTTTGACCGGTGAAGTGATGGGTAGTTATTTTTCTTTGCATTTGTCTGGGTAAGTTTAAGGGTGAATGTGAATATGTCACGCACCTCTTTTCTCCTGGCTGTAAATACTCCCAATGTGAGTTGCCCACCAGCCTGGCTGCAGTGGTAAAGACAGTGCAAAGGCGAGTCCCCAGCTGACCTGTGATGGGTATGTGGCATGAGCGGGAAACAAACCTTTTCTAATGTAGACTGTTAAGGCTGTTTATTACCACAGCATAACCTCATCTATCTTTACTGTTATCGAAAGCGGGGTACAACCCAACCAAAAACTCTTACATTTGGGTCATTGCGTTACAGCTCAGGGATTTATAGTAAGAAAACTAATACTGGAGGCTGAGAATATGATTGACCAGGATACTGCAGGGATGGAACATTTGATAAACTGTCTCCTGTAGCTTCTTGGAAGGCAGAGCATGTTCCTGACAAACTTGTATCTTTACAAGAAAAGGATAGAAAAGGTTGGTAGTTTGTGCGCCAGTTAGGGCAGGCTCTATGTGGAAAGATAACATACGCAAAAAAGATAACATTTCAGAAAACAATTTATCAGTTTATAAGAAGAGAATTAATGACAACTTAGAGTTTACTAATTCAGAGATCTATGACGTTCAAAGAGGCAAGTACTTCTCAACCCAAAACTGACTGGGGTAAGGGGAGGCTGAGAATGTTTTTGAGGCAGAAATCCTATTAAAACTCAGGATCAAGTCAAGGTTGTGGCCACTACACCTCATTCTTATCTCCCAACTTATTAATTTCACCCAATGTAACGGTCTAACAAAGAATGTGACATCAGTAAATCTTCTGGATTTGACAAAGTTGTTAAGAGAGGAGTGATTATGAGAAGCATACTTCCTGAAGTATAACAAACTCAGTGTACCTACAATTAAGTCACAAAACAGAGAGATAATTGAAAGTGAGAACACAAAGATGCATTGCAAATTTATAAGACGGGTGTCTGAAAAATGCTATGGATATATCAGTGGGGTTTCTAGATCAAAAGGAACCAACCACTTTCAGACGTGAGAAACAGACTATCCACTTTACTCAGAGATCCTAAACTTTGTCCTAAATAGTGTGAAGGGATAGAACTTTTGAGTTCTGCCTTTTTGGGAGAAAACTGATACACAGCAGAGCAGAAACCCCAGATGACCTCACATGGATATATTGTGATGCATGAAATCAGCTCTGGTGATTTTAAAACTCCGAGGCTTGTTGTGGCTGTTGTTGTTTTAAACCACAGAATAGCCCAACTCATTCTAACTAATAAAGAAATACACATAAATATTTCTTAAAGTTAGAATATGAAAGGTGTGCTTTTTACCCCATATGCAATTTCCGCTTCTTTTAAAATGAGCATATATCATTCATGTAATAAAATAATAAAAAGTTTAAAAATAATTGCTTTTATAACAACATTAAATATAAAATAGAATTAAAATGGATATAAGAAGTTAGGAGAAATAAATTATTCAGTAAATAGTACTGAAATACTAGTTAACGATTTGGAAGCAAAATAAAAAAAGAAAAAGTAATAAAACCTTACCTCTCACCTACATGAAATAAATCCTTAAGTCGTGACATCAACCCAAGTAACTTCACTGTTATTTCTGTTACTCACTGGAATTTGGGTAATGCTAATGACCAAAGATAATATAGCTCTTGCATTAAGCAGAGTATTGTTCTCAGTGCCTGACGTCTATTAACTCATTAATCCCAAGAACTCTACGTGGTAAGTTGTCACTATTACCATTCCTGTTTCATATATAAGAAAATGGAGAAACCAGAGAGGCTAAATAAATTACCCAAAATAACATAGCCAGAAAGTGAAAAATGAAAACTGACTCCAGGCTCTACAGTCTTAACTACTATGATGTCTAAATTGTCATTCAAGATCAATTAAGTTAATGATTCACTAAGATAATATTCACTTGAAAATAATGTCCTATTTTAAAAATTATTTGAGAATACTCTTCTATAACATTTTGCTTTTATTTACTATTTTAATAAGGAAAATAGAAAAATGAATATGATGATAATAATGAAAAGAAGCATATGAATTTAATGCACTTGAGAAAAATATGGGAATCATTAGGTACAGCAAATTGTTAAATCCAAATCCTCAACTGGAGGCAAATTGGACTGTTGAATTTAAGCCAACCATCTGTGTGTTCAAGTATAAAGAAAAACAACAGAATGAAAGAACATCTTGAAAATGCAAGAAACATTTTATTGTTGCTTGGATCTCAAAAGAGAGATGTTAAAACTTCTGGAAAGACGGCAGAGGACATAGGAATTCACATTATTCCTTCCCTGAAAGATGCAAAATTAACAAAAGGATTCAAAAGAAGGGAAGGATGAATAAAACTAAGGAACAGCTACAACATATATAAACTTGGAAGAATCTATGTAGAACTGAACTTTATCTGTGTCTGGCAAAACCTCTGACTGAAGTGTCAGACCTCCCAGATTGCTATCTGATGGCCAATTGTGTGGCAGACTCTCTCCTTATTGTAGCCTTTTATGTCCTTGATTACCAACTCTCTTCTCCCTCTCACACACAGAGCTCTCTAGTTCTACCTGGCCTCCTACGTGCTACTGCCTGGTACAGAGATATCTGCTACTGTTTGAACACCCTTCCAATTCAGCCACAGCTGCTCCTAATTTTTTTTTTTTTTTTTTTGAGATGGAGTCTTTTGCTCTGTCGCCCAGCTGGAGTGCAGTGGCGCGATCCCGCCTCATTGCAAGCTCCGCCTCCCGGGTTCACGCCATTCTCCCGCCTCAGCCTCCCCAGTAGCTGGGACTACAGGCGCCCGCCACCAAGACCGGCTAATTCTGTTTTTGTATTTTTAGTAGAGACGGGTTTTCACCGTGTTAGCCAGGATGGTCTCAATCTCCTGACCTCGTGATCCGCCCGCCTCAGCCTCCCAAAGTACTGGGATAACAGGCGTGAGCCACTGCGCCCGGCCAGCTGCCCCTAATTTATGTAGCTGCCCGTGTCCTGAGTTTTTCAGCACACACTCCGTTCAATTCCTCCTCCACCCCTTCCAGGTATGACTTTCTGCTCTGCTAGAAGAAATACTTGTTATAGTGCAGAGATCTCTCCAGAAACATCAGCCACTGTCAGAGATAACATTCTCCATTTTGTCTACTTGTCCACCACTGCACCATGCAAACTACAGCTTGTGTATACAATGCAGAATCTTACTTCCCAGATGCCAAACTCCTTTCTTGGCAGGTGAGTCAATAATAATAATAACAATAGCAACAGTGTTAATCGAGGTAATATTGACCCTGGACTCCATTAATTAGGAATAGATGCATACTGGGCCCCAGACCCTCTGAATCATGTATCCACAATGTTATTGTCCCTATTGGTTAACAGGACCATGTGCAGCATATCAGGAAGAAATTATCCGTGTTTTTTATTTGTATAACAGCCTCCTCAGATTCCAGAAATGATACAAACTCTTCCCTATTTCCAATACTTCCTACACGAGAATTGAGGCAGGGAGAGGGGTAGGGAGAAGGAAAGACTCTAGTACTCAGCTATCTTATTTACTGGAAGATTTCACTATGATTTGAATGCCAAATATACATTTTTTTCTTAGCTCTATCTAGACACAAATAAATCAAGAGCTACATATACTCTAACAATCATTCCAATGGTATCTACTTTTCTCAGACATCAGTCTTCTACTTGTAACGTTTCTAAAATTTGTCACTTCTGTAAGAATAAATTGCTTTCCAAAGGCCAAATAAACCAGAAAAAGGACTCCTCAAAGCTGTTGGTCCTTCAACATTAAATTGGTTAGGCTTGGGTGTCAGAGGTTTTTGGAGGTTTTTTTAATAACATTATTGAATTTAAAATATTCCCTGAGTACATTCATGTTAATTATAGGAATAACAGGGGTGGGAAAAAAATGCCATATTAAGGATCTGCAAAATATTTACATTATAATAGATGGATGTGAATGAATATTTAAATAATACCTGAGCTTTTCAAATCTCTTTGATACTGGGGACCATAGTGAGGTTGCAAAGACAGCTGCCACTTGATTTTCCACTGTGGTCAAATTTTTGTGTGACAAAAAAATTCTTTGTCATTTTTTTCTGTGCCCCATAAAGTGTTTAACAAATTCTGATTTGTCATGTTGAGGTAATCACATTAAAAAAATGGTATTAGAATTTTAGGATTCACATTTAATGTATACTATACTTTCTATTTCCTCTTTACAAAGCCTACATTTCTATTCCTTCTCCCCATTTCCCCATTTCTATTAATTAGCTACTATTTGGCATAGAGCTGTTAAAACACAAATACGTCTAGAAAACACTTTTTTTTTTTTTTTTTTGAGACGGAGTCCAGCTCTGTTGCCAGGCTGGAGTGCAGTGGCACAATCTTGGCTCACTGCAACCTCCGCCTCCCAGGTTCAAGTGATTCTCCTGCCTCAACATCCTAAGTAGCTAGGATTACAGGCACATGCTGCCATGCCCAGCTAATTTTTGTAATTTTAGTAGAGACGGGGTTACACCATGTTTGCCAGGATGGTCTCGATCGCCTGACCTCATGATCCGCCTGCCTCGGCCTCCCAAAGTGCTGGGATTACAGGTGTGACCCACCGCACCCGGCCTAGAAATCGCTTCTAAATGTATTGTTTTCAGTGAACATGTTGCCAAACATTCCTCTGGACACCTGTCCCAGTAAACCGCTAGACACAAACGGGAATCAGGTTATCATTTCCTCATTTCATTAGGTGTGGTTAGTGCTTATGCAGAAGCGGACTGGTGATTTCAGAGACTTCAAAGGTGAAATCTGTGTGGTAGCAAATAAACAATTGGTCCCAGTTGTGACATTTACTATTAGGATTATCTACTTCAAAATGTGTACCTAGCATATTAAAATGCAGAAAATTAGTAAGATATAGAAGTTCTCTGTTTTGCACACAGAATAGCCATTAATATCTTTTGGGAACATTAACATAGACCTTGGTGTTTTTCAGTCTTTTTCAAATAATAATGTGTTGAGAGTTCTTTGAAATCCTCAGGAGGTAAAGCAGCATATAAATTGAAGTTGTTATTATCAAAGGCCCATTTTCATTTCAGACCAGTTTGTCAGGGACCGTTGTTCTGATTTGCATATGGCCAAAAGCTGCAGATCTATGCAGTGCTGTCTGTTGTTGCTCCCTCTGTGGTTAGTTTTACAGTGAGAAAATTTCTGTGGTTGGATTTATCACTGAAGTTGAAAGGCTAATGATATCGACCGAATGGGATAAAAGGAATTTCATCTGATACATGGTAATAAAAATGAGTTCCTATCTTATCTAATACTTTGTTGGAAATAAGAAACTTGTAGGTAAAAAAATTACTTTAAAAGAAGCAGAGAGAAAAAGAAAGAATACAGATTTAGTGTGGGTTCCAGATATTTCACTCTTGGAAGGATTACAATTTGTGTATTTGACTTTATTAAAAAATAAAATGTCAAAATATCAAAGCTTATTATAAATAAATTCTACTGTTTTATTAAGGTCATACTAGTTCTGTTAAAAAATTGCAACAATTATTTTCAATTCTTCTAAAGAGGTCATCTTACTAATTTATTGAGGAAACTGGTATGACCCTGACAGATTTTTAAACTTTTAAAATATTTTTAGAGGAAGTAAAGGTAAGATTAATAAATAAAACTTAACATTTATATTTTTAACCACCCTTTGGAGTTCTCTGAACCCCTTCATTCCAAATATATTTGCATGCAGTAAATATTCACAGGAAGCCTCTTTTCTGGGTAGACTTATCTCCTTATGAGTAGTACATAAATTACCCCAGAAGGAATTGAAGTAGGATGTGAAAATACAAAACAGATGCCTACCCAATCAAAACAGTTATGAAAAGACAGAATGACTGTAGACCCTCAGGATACATCTGTAACCACATCAACTGGCAATCAGAATGCAGCTTGGTAAATATAGACACATTCCAAACACCTTTGGTCTTCTGTTGCTGTCTTATACTTTTTATATTTTGGGTTTCTTTGTTTATTTCTCTTCTCTGTTTTTATTTATTGCTCTAAATTTCCTTGAACTGAATACATGCACACACAAACAAAGCAGAATAGAAAATACAACATCTTTTCTGTAATGACAGATATATACTAACTTATCCTATTATGGTCTACACCCAATTTTTAAATATTAAAAATTTTGAAGACACTTTTTCCACTTATAATTATTAAAATAGTAAAAGAAGTATTTTAGAGAAAAGGAAACTTATGTAGGTCAGAAATTTGAATCTATGAATAAATCTGGAGGACAGTACACTAAGTGAAATAAGCAAATTACAGAAGAATAAATACTGCATGACTCCACTTATATGAGGTAAATAAAATAGTCAAACTCACAGAAACAGAAAGCAGAATGGTGGTTGCCAGGGGCTGGGGGTATGGGGAAGTGGATAATTTCTGTTCAACAGATAGAAAATTTCAGTTATGGATGATGAATACATTCCAGAAATATGCGGTAAGACATTGTGCCTAGAGTTAATAATACTGTACTGTACACTGAAAAAGTTGTTAAGGGGGTTTATATTTCATGTTAACTGTTCTTACCACAATAAAAAATAGAGAAGAAACTTGGATGTGCATAAAGAAAGAATGTTAGAAAAAGCATAAATGAAGGTAAAACAGAATCTCTTTTATTTCTTATTCTTAATTTTTCTAACAGATAACAGTTTGTTCAAAACAGTAATAGCAACAGTGTATTTGGTGATTATAATTTATGGATAAGGAATGACAGCAGTGTTACAAGCAATGGAAGAGAGGAATTGGGGATACCCTGATATAAGGTAACTTCACTTCCTCTGAAGTGGTGTGGCGTTATTTGAAAGTGGACTTAGATTAGTTGTAAATGTATATTGCAAAGTCTAGGACAACTACTAAAAAATTACAAAAGTATAGTTGATATGCTAAGAGAGGAGAGTAAATAGAATTATATAAAATGCTCAATGGAAACCAGAGAAGGAAGAAAAAGAGTGGGAGACAAAATAAAAAACAAAGAACAAGGACAAAAAACAGAAATGAGTTGCAAATATATGCAGCCTGAGTCCAGTGTATTCGAAAGATAACAGGGAGACTACTTGAGAGGCAGCCAGACAGCAGAAAAATTCACCTTTCTGTACAGTGCCCCTCCCACTCAACTCTGTATGAGTATCTAGAATTCACCAGAGCAGCTTCCCCACATTATATTTTATTGAGTTACAGCCCTGAGTGTCACAGACGGCCACTAGGTGCAGAATAAAGAGGTAGCTCTGGAATCTATGTGATCAATCATCTCACCTGCCGTGCCACACGTTCACAGTGAGAAGATATGTTCTACCTCCATTTTTTATTTAGATATTAATAATAAGTTCTTCATCTTATTAAAAAGTCAATTTTCAGTTTTCCTCGTTTCTTCGTAAGTGTGTTGCTTGTATTTGGACAATTTGATATAAATCTAAATAAAGCTCCTGCATTGCATTGCTTGCTTTGCCTCTCAAGCTAATCTATAAGCTTCCCCTCTCTTTTGTTTCCTAGCAATTTATTTGCTGAGAAAGCCAGGTTCATATGTCCTTATCAAGATTTTCATATGCTGGATTTTGTTGCTCACAACTTCATGTTATTTTAAAATATTTTCCTCTGTGATATGTTTTGGCTCTGTGTCCCCACTCAAATCTCACCTTGAATTGTAATAAACCCCATGTGTCAACAGCAAGGCCAGATGGAGATAATTGCATCACGGGGGCAGTTTCTCCCATGCTATTCAGGCTATTTGTGATAGTGAGTTCTCACGAGATCTGATGATTTTATAAGGGGCTTCCCCCTTCACTCAGCTCTCATTCTTCTCCTTCCTGCTGCCATGTGAAGAAGGATGTGTTTGCTTCCCCTTTCACCATGATTGTAAGTTTCCTGAGGCCTCCTCAGCCCTGTGGAACTGTGAGTCAAATAAACCTCTTTCCTTTATAAATTACCCAGTCTCAGGTATTTATTCATAGCAGTGTGAGAATAGACTAATACAGTCTGTCTCCCTTATTTTGTATAAACTGGTAGTTAGATCTAGAAGCAGGATCAGATTAAGGTTCTATTTTTTTTTTGGCAAGACCCCTTTATAGTTTTCCATAAGAAGTATGTCTTATCCACCTCCTTTGTCCCCCTTTCTCTGGGCACTGAGGTATCTTTGCTCATTTACCATACCTTGGGTTTGTGCCGTTCTTTACCCTAAAAGAGAGACTTCCTTCCTGGTCTTAGAGCATCTACCAGAAGCCAAAAGTTCCTGTTCCCAAATATATCCCCTCTCATTGCCCATTCAGGACAGATGATACCTATACATCATGACTCAAATTTGGTACACTCAGAAGCCGAGATCTATGTATTTTTTTTTTTTTTGAGATGGAGTCTCACTCTGTTGCCCAGGCTGGAGTGCAGTGGCGCGATCTCGGCTCACTGCAAGCTCCGCCTCCCGGGTTCACGCCATTCTCCTGCCTCAGCCTCCCGAGTAGCTGGGACTACAGGCACCCGCCACTATGCCTGGCTACTTTTTTGTATTTTTTAGTAGAGACGGGGTTTCACCGTGTTAGTCAAGATGGTCTCGATCTCCTGACGTCGTGATGCACCCGCCTCGGCCTCCCAAAGTGCTGGGATTACAGACGTGAGCCACCACGCCCAGCCTATGCGTCTTCTAATATTAAGATCCTGGAGTCCTAGAGGCTAGAAGTTCTGTGACATTTTGAACTAGCCCTTAAGTAAGAATGATATCAAAATGAGGGTTCGTTTGGGTTCTTTTCTAATACCACCTTTATAGTTGCATCAGACATTGCAGGGGTGAAGCAGTGGTCATTATGAAAATTGAATGGGGCTGTTACTAAACAACCAGAGCAGTTTCATCTCAACTTTTCTACTTTCTTACTGTGTGACCTTGGAAAAGCCACTTAACTTTTCTGAGTCTTATTTGCCTTATCTGTAAAATGGTAGTGGCATTATATTCTCAGAATGGTTTTAGTTGCACAGCATATTGATTAAAGCATAAAAGAGCACCTAAAACTGTAGAGCAAAATATAAGTTCATTAGTTAGTATCCTTAAATGACATATCATACAACAATAGTAGGTTAGCATAAATGAGATCCAGCTCACATGAGGTGTGAGAGAGGAAAAGGATTAGACATTCTTTAGTATGTGCCAAACGCTTCACATACAGGAAGAAAAATAATATTTCATTCAATGTGCATATTTGATGGTTTTTACTAACTACCTTAACTAAAATCAGATTCAGCTATTACTAAACTCTTGTACAGAATAATTCAATATGTTTTCTCTCATTTAAGTCTCACAAAAATTCTATAAGCTTATTATCTCATTATCAAAAAAAGAAAACTAAAATGCAGAAAACTAATATGAAACTTGCCTGATGTTAGCTTTTAGTTCTCTCTTAGAAAAGACTGTGTTGATTACTGAGATTCCTTTGTCATAACTACAAGAGGAAAAGTTAGTGATAGGCCAAGATTATAGAAATAGCAATGACAATTGTTGTCTTTATTATTAAAGAAAAAAAACATTTGAATAAGCTGGTCTTCAAAAACCACCAATTATGATATGCTGAAGAAAGAAATAATGAGATTAGGCAGAGGTGATGAGGTAACATGGGAACAGTATTAGGTACTTGGCTACTCCACAGGCAAGGTTAATAGGAAAGTAACTGCTAGATGTAAGCCCTCTTGCTACTTGTCTACATGCAATTTAAATCAACAAACAGTTTTAAATTTCTATGAACTCCTTTAATACTCATCCATTTCCCTTATTTGGCACTTACCTCGTGCTGCATTGCATTATTAATCAACTACAAATGTTCATCTTTCATCTCTAAAGCACATGAGGCCCTCCAACGAGCTAGCCTCTTTTCTGTTCAGAGGACTAACTCCTCAGGAAAGATTTGGCTTGAAACACTGCCTCTCAGAAACCAGGACATGATCAACCAACAATGTTCCTGAATCCATACACGTCTTCTTCTGGCCCTTCAAGATTCACCTTAGCCGTGCAGCAAAAGGAGAAAATGAGTTACCTTAGTGAGGCAGCTAAGTATCAGATGCAGTCTACTCTTCAAGATTATAATAAATAAAAGAAACCCTGGGTCTCCTATTAGGGTTCCTAATAAGGACCCTAAGATGCAAGTGGGTGCCTCTTCTGCTACTTCATGATGAGTAGACATTGAACATTTTTCTTAGAGCTCTCTCTCTTGATCTGTCCTCCTCTCTCTGGTAAGCACACTGTTCTCCCCCATCAAGCTTCCTGATCAGTGAGGACTGAGCTCTAAAGAAAACAACACAGTCCTAAGAGATCCATCTAACTCTGGCAGAGCCACCCATGTCATCTGAGCCACCACTGCCACCACTGCTACCCCATAGATTTTTACCATCCCTTCTTAGGATGAAGGCCTCTATAAAGTATTTCCCTGGGGTTTCATAACAGCCTTTTGACGATCCAGGACAAGAAAAAATCCACCCTGAACCAATCCTGACAAAAGCAAACCTGTTCTGTGTATGCACCCTGCATGGGGTAAAAATGGTCTGGCCTGGCTAGAAGAATCTGTTCATTCCAATCTAGTTTATTAGTCTCCAGAGCCCTTGAGCCTTAATAAATGATTGGAAATTAAATGATGTTCTGGTAATCCACAAGATAGTGAACACAAAGTATACTGTGATATCTCAAGAGGCTGCCATGAGGCAATGGTTAGTGATACTCATAAAAACAAAAGAACAGATAAACATACATCTCTAGAAAGAAATCAATGTAAAGCATTTGAAAATGCAGAAGTCATGGTTTAAAAGTGGCTGTAGTGGCTGTCGCAGTGGTTCACGCCTGTAATCCCAGCACTTTGGGAGGCTGAGGCAGGAGGATTGCTTCAGGTCAGGAATTCAAGACCATCCTGGCTAACAAGGTGAAATCCTGTCTCCACTAAAACTACAAAAAATTAGCTTGGCGTGGTGGTGCACGCCTGCAGTCCTAGCTACTCAGGAGGCTGAGGCAGGAGAATCGCTTGAACCTGGGAGGCGGAGCTCGCAGTGAGCCGAGATCGCACCAATGCACTCCAGCCTGGGTGATAGAGCGAGACTGCTTCGAAAAAAAAAAAGTAGTAAGTAATCTAGTAAACTTAACAGTTGAGTCAACTTAACTATTTTAATAAGGCTGTAAAAGTAAATTAAGAGATAAAATATCATAGAAAAGTGTATTAATAAGGACCAGTATGGAGAATTTTTTAAAATTAGAATATAGTCCTGTTGAAGGTTGGGCTTTTGATGCTGAGATGGAGATGAGCGCATAGGAACATCATGAAGGAGTGCTGTTGGGATCAATAACCATGGAAGAGAAAGGAAAAAAGCAAGATTTGACAGAGAAAGATGTGGAGCTCTAATGTAGTCACCACGAAAGCCCATGATTGCCCTATAGGGTATTCTGAAGCAGGGACAGGCTCCCAGATTTCTTGGTCGTTGCGGGGAAAGCACTGGGCCTTCACTCCCTTTCCACATTGACAGGGCACTGGACATACTCACCCTAAGGAGAGGGCACACCTGTGGGTGAAACAGCTCTCCTTAGCCAAGACCAAGAGGGCTGAGAGCTGAGCACTGCTGCTGGCCGTACCCTCAGTCCCTCCCACCTGAAGGGTGATCAGGGCAGCTTGTCACAGCATTTACCAAAGCACTCTTTACAATTCTACAAATAAATTTACCATTTCAGAGCTAATTTTTAAAAAATATATAAAATTACCAAAATTCACTTAATAAAACATGGAAAACTTGATGGGGATGGCATTGAATCTGTAAATTACCTTGGGCAGTATGGCCATTTTCACGATATTGATTCTTCCTACCCATGAGCATGGAATGTTCTTCCATTTGTTTGTGTCCTCTTTTATTTCCTTGAGCAGTGGTTTGTAGTTCTCCTTGAAGAGGTCCTTCACATCCCTTGTAAGTTGGATTCCTAGGTATTTTATTCTCTTTGAAGCAATTGTGAATGGGAGTTCACTCATGATTTGGCTCTCTGTTTGTCTGTTGTTGGTGTATAAGAATGCTTGTGATTTTTGTACATTGATTTTGTATCCTGAGACTTTGCTGAAGTTGCTTATCAGCTTAAGGAGATTTTGGGCTGAGACGATGGGGTTTTCTAGATAAACAATCATGTCGTCTGCAAACAGGGACAATTTGACTTCCTCTTTTCCTAATTGAATACCCTTTATTTCCTTCTCCTGCCTGATTGCCCTGGCCAGAACTTCCAACACTATGTTGAATAGGAGTGGTGAGAGAGGGCATCCCTGTCTTGTGCCAGTTTTCAAAGGGAATGCTTCCAGTTTTTGCCCATTCAGTATGATATTGGCTGTGGGTTTGTCATAGATAGCTCTTATTATTTTGAAATACGTCCCATCAATACCTAATTTATTGAGAGTTTTTAGCATGAAGGGTTGTTGAATTTTGTCAAAGGCTTTTTCTGCATCTATTGAGATAATCATGTGGTTTTTGTCTTTGGCTCTGTTTATATGCTGGATTACATTTATTGATTTGCGTATATTGAACCAGCCTTGCATCCCAGGGATTCAATGCCATCCCCATCAAGCTACCAATGACTTTCTTCACAGAATTGGAAAAAACTACTTTAAAGTTCATATGGAACCAAAAAAGAGCCCGCATCTCCAAGTCAATCCTAAGCCAAAAGGACAAAGCTGGAGGCATCACACTACCTGACTTCAAACTATACTACAAGGCCACAGTAACCAAAACAGCATGGTACTGGTACCAAAACAGAGATATAGATCAATGGAACAGAACAGAGCCCTCAGAAATAATGCCGCATATCTACAACTATCTGATCTTTGACAAACCTGAGAAAAACAAGCAATGGGGAAAGGATTCCCTATTTAACAAATGGTGCTGGGAAAACTGGCTAGCCATATGTAGAAAGCTGAAACTGGATCCCTTCCTTACACCTTATACAAAAATCAATTCAAGATGGATTAAAGATTTAAACGTTAGACCTAAAACCATAAAAACCCTAGAAGAAAACCTAGGCATTACCATTCAGGACATAGGCGTGGGCAAGGACTTCATGTCCAAAACACCAAAAGCAATGGCAACAAAAGCCAAAATTGACAAATGGGATCTAATTAAACTAAAGAGCTTCTGCACAGCAAAAGAAACTACCATCAGAGTGAACAGGCAACCTACAACATGGGAGAAAATTTTTGCAAACTACTCATCTGACAAAGGGCTAATATCCAGAATCTACAATGAACTCAAACAAATTTACAAGAAAAAAACAAACAACCCCATCAAAAAGTGGGCGAAGGACATGAACAGACACTTCTCAAAAGAAGACATTTATGCAGCCAAAAAACACATGAAGAAATGCTCATCATCACTGGCCATCAGAGAAATGCAAATCAAAACCACTATGAGATATCATCTCACACCAGTTAGAATGGCAATCATTAAAAAGTCAGGAAACAACAGGTGCTGGAGAGGATGTGGAGAAATAGGAACACTTTTACACTGTTGGTGGGACTGTAAACTAGTTCAACCATTGTGGAAGTCAGTGTGGCGATTCCTCAGGGATCTAGAACTAGAAATACCATTTGACCCAGCCATCCCATTACTGGGTATATACCCAAAGGACTATAAATCATGCTGCTATAAAGACACATGCACACGTATGTTTATTGCGGCACTATTCACAATAGCAAAGACTTGGAACCAACCCAAATGTCCAACAATGATAGACTGGATTAAGAAAATGTGGCACATATACACCATGGAATACTATGCAGCCATAAAAAATGATGAGTTCATGTCCTTTGTAGGGACATGGATGAAATTGGAAACCATCATTCTCAGTAAACTATCGCAAGAACAAAAAACCAAACACCGCATATTCTCACTCATAGGTGGGAATTGAACAATGAGATCACATGGACACAGGAAGGGGAATATCACACTCTGGGGACTGTGGTGGGGTCGGGGGAGGGGGGAGGGATAGCATTGGGAGATATACCTAATGCTAGATGACACATTAGTGGGTGCAGCGCACCAGCATGGCACATGTATACATATGTAACTAACCTGCACAATGTGCACATGTACCCTAAAACTTAGAGTATAATAAAAAAAAAAACATTTAAAAAAAAAAAAAAACATGGAAAACCTAAAAGATATTGTACCCCTGTTAAGCATTTTAATAAAAAGTTGACAAACTGTCCCCCAAACTGTGCAATGAACTGAGATTTTAGTGGGGAGTTGTATTGAGACTGCAAAAAAAAAAAAACCAATAAAATTATAAACCAAACTTATTTATAAATACAGTTGTCAAAATGTAAATAAAACATGGACTAACATAACCCAGCCCTGTGGTATAATGACATCATGCCCAAATATGGTTTATTTACGATATGGGGTATAATACAATAGGATGTATGATTATCTCGATAGATGTCCCTAAAAGCGCATTTAATTTGTGTGTGCGTGTGTGTGTGTGTGTGTGTGTGTGTGTGTGTGTGTGTGAGAGAGAGAGAGAGAGATTGATTTCTCATTTTAAAAAAAATGTGTTTAGTAAGCTATTATCCAAAGGACATTTTTTAAAACATGCTAAGGCTTATTAATCTCAACAGAGTAGTTGGCATCATACTTTAAAAATGCGAGCTGCTTTAGGATATTCCTAATTAAGGGGAAAAAAGAAAGATAGATGCCTGTTTTCTCTGCAGTTAGTCAACATTGTTTCCTAAGTGCCAGCTAATGCAAATAGCTTTCATCAACCGGCTCCCAACTCAGGCTTCCAGACCAGTTCTTAATCTGACACAATCAACAGAAAATAGAGTTCTAATCTCAATACTCTGTGATACCACAACAAATAACATTCATAGTAATATCTTTGCTCTGAAATGAGTCTCACTTCTGTGGCCTAGTATTTTGTCTTTATTTCATTGCCTTTATCTGTATTTCTTACTTGTATCTTTACCTGTTTTCTGTTTTCTAGAGTTAGTTTCTTTCTAGAACAGTTTAGTTCCAAAGATATTTGACCCATCCCTTGTGAAGATATTTGTTCAGGTGACAGGACCTACTTTACCTAGCCTGGTTAGTGTTTTTGTATAATTGAAAATGAAATCAATTAGAAGGTTCAGTCTAGGAAAACCAAAGACTTATCTGGCTTGTTCACTGCAGTATTCCCAGTGCCTAATAAAGAAACAAACAGAAGACACCTCATAAATATTTGTTGAATGCATAATAGTCAAATCTCAATTTTAAATCAGTATGTGGTCATGTTTAAAATAATGCTAATATGAGTGCTGTCAAGTTTAGACATGCTAGGCAAAACAATAAAGATAGGGAGAGCAAGAAGAATTGCTGTTGGCAGTGCTATCAAAGGGCTCAGTGAACTCATGTGAGTTCTGATATCATCAGGCTTTGGGTATATAATATAAAGGTATCTGGAGGACATTGGTGGTATGGAAGACAGAGCAAATGGGACAAAGAAACTTGGTATATGGGTAATTAAAATATGTGTTGGTATTTGGTATTTAAAAAAAACCTTCTTCTTCCACTGATAACTCCACAAAGTTTTTGAAAAGCTCTTGTTTTTCAAGAGTCTTGGATTTAGGTCCTAGCACATCATTAAAAATTGATATTATTCAAGTTACTATGCCCTCTTCCTACTTGAGATGTTTCTCATTTTTAAAATCAGGGTGCCATCCTCAATGTAACTGGGATGTGACTGAGCTCTGGTGTTTACTTATTCTGTAACACTGTAAGGAGTAGAGGCTTTATTTTCAATAACAAGGGCAATGCTCCTCAGGCACAAGAAATACCCTGGGATGTCTATCCTGGTTACTGGAACATCAAAATATATGGGGTAATTCTGACCACTATTGATGGCTCAATCTGGCCCATGGTGTCATCTGCCAGGCAGAGCAGTTATTGAAGATTTCTGCTGGGCAAATAATGCTTGGAAACAGCTGAACTTGACCTGAAAGTGGCACAAATATGTCTGGAAGGCAGAGTCAGGTGACATCCAAGCCATTTAAGTATTTATTTGTATTGACCAGATTAAATAGAATTTAGGTCCCTCTTGGAGACAAAGACACAAATCCTGTCCACTATTGGAGGTTCAGTTCTAAAGGATGGGGACAAGAAGGTGTGATGGAGGCCAGAACGTAAAAAGGAAAAATAGAGCCTTTCAGATAATCTGTAATCAAAGTGAAAAGACCAGAATAAAAAAATAACAAATGAAAAACGACCAAAAAAACTAGGCTAAGTTAGACCAAGGTATTCAGGAGCCTGGCACTTCTGAATAAGGTTTGTTGTGATCTTGAGAATACAGTCCCACAGATGACATATTTGTCCCTAGGCAGAAGGAAAAAAAAAAAACTGTATTTGTAAGGAGTTCCAAATTCTGATAGTATAACAGTCCAAGTTATCTGGCCCTGGGGACTCTCCCATACTGCCCATTTAATAAAGATATAAAGAAGGAAATTTTCTTTATAGTTTAATAAGTAACTGCTTGGGTGTCAAAGCCATAGTGTCCACACACCACGCCGCTGGTTACACAGGAATTGTCCAAAGAAGCTTGCCAAAAATGCAGATTTCTTGGTTCTTAGTCCCAGAAATACTAATTCAATATGAACAGAGGCACGAAAGTCTACAGTAAAAAACAAACAAACAAAAAAAAACAGAAACAAATAAACATCTGTGGTGATTAAATGCCGAGCAGTACAAAGACCACATTTTGAGAAACAGCGCTCTGATACATTGACATTCACTGTGTGGTCCATGGACTGGCAGCATCACATTGAGAGGTTATTAAGAGGGAAAAATCTCAAGCCCCACCCCAAAACAGTTGAATCAGAATCTATGTTTAGCAGAATCTCTGTATGAGACAAATGCAGATTAAAGTTTCAGACTCATTCTAAAATTTCAGTTGTGCTTAATTTCAGGAAGCAGTAACTCTGAGGTGTACAATGCCGCTGCAATGTGCACCTTAACAGCTAGTACTGAGCCTCCAGTAATAGCAGCAAAAATCTTCAGCAACTAGCATGCTTAACTTATGCAGACAGGGATGATAGAACTGATGCACCTGCTTACAAAGATTTTGGGCATTATAAACAAGTAACTTGGGGATAGGAACAGGACTCTATCTTCAAAAAGATGGAAGCTTAGAATTTTTGAAAACAACAATTTTTGAATACAATATACATTTTTGTATTCACAGGCTGTTTAAGGCTAGAACATTTACATTATAGTATATAAAGATTAAAACTGGGATTAGAAATTTAGGGGTTCCTATATGTGATGACTTTTCTCTTTCTGTTCCTTAAATTTGAAAATGAATACATGATATAAAAGGTTTCTTTAAACTAAAAAAATAAAAAATCAGTATTTTATTTCCTTAATACTAAGGATGATTGTCCTCTGTATGCCTGACTTCAGTTGAAAAAATCTGGCATATTCACTGATGTGGGCCCTTATTAACACCAAATCATGACCAGCTGTCCTCCATTTACTTATTTCAGCACTGTCTCTTGTTTGTGGCTGCTGAGGTTATTTACAGAGTTTGTCATTTTCTGTGACTTTTCACTATCTGCCTAATTATTTTTTTACAAAAAAAGAAGTGCTGCCAGGAATTGAGTCATGCCAGATGCATCCATCTATCTCTCATGTTTCAGAGTAGCCAAGACTCTGGGCTATATTTTATCCATCTATCTATCTATCCATCCATCCATCCATCCATCCATCCATCCATCTATCCAAGCTTCCTCTTTTTTGTTATTTTTCTTTCCTCATTTTCCCTTTCCATCTTTCTATTTCAATTCATTTAAATCCCTCTTTCCTCTTCCTCTAGTATTGACTTTTTAATGTGTCATTTATGTATTTTAGCAAGACACACAAATCAATTCAATTGGAATCAATTAAAAGTTATTATCTTCTGTGCAAAATGGCAAAAAAAAAATAGCACCTGGCAAATACAGGCATTTTACAAATGTTGGGCATTCACCAAATATTTTTAATAGATGATTACATGGATTTCATGTTGCTATGGAGAGTGTAGGATATAAAGTATAATGCAGAGTTTTTGTTCATAACTGAGTTAGGGAGAATCTCAAAGAAGCTGCCTAAGCTGAGAATGGCTAAGTGGTTTGGAGGAATGCAAACTGTGGCTTGTTCACCAAGGTGATTCCCTTTGTATGTTCGTCCTTGAATGGGCCCATCAGGGCACAGTACTCTTATTCAGACAAGAACAAGTTCACTTGTCATTTGTTTCCAGAACCAGCTACATAATTTGCTGGGCTCAACGCCAGTTGATAACATAAAATTCTTTTAAAAATTATTAAGAATACCAAGATGGTGACAGCAGAGTGGGATCCTCCTGAGTGTGGGCACCAGTCACACACCCATAAAGCCATGGCAATGACGGTACCCTCAGCCGAAAGTTCTTTTCGGATTGTTTGGCTCTGCTGCTAGTTTGAAAACAAAACTTTTAGCAAATACATATTCCATTTTCTTTTTGTTAACATAGAACCATCCCTTAGAGTGTATCCATTATTTACCTCTGGTAGAGCAAAGATAATACATGAAAAGGGAAATAGTAGAATGGCAGAACTTAAGTATCACAAAAGAATGATCCTGACTACTAAATAATATTAACTGAAAAAATTTTTATAATTACTTGTAATCTAGGTCCACTCACCACCAGTACAGGCACATATAAAAAACTGCAGCACCTTTTTCCCCTCTCTCACAACCCCTGGAATTCAGAGAATAACAGGATACATTTTCTGGCTGAAAAAATGGGAACAATGAGCTATTAATACTGACTGAAATATGGAGTAGCTTCTTGGCATAATTTGAAAACCCGTCCTTTAACTTTCACTACATGGCTACAAAGAATCCTCTGATAATTCTTGTTCACGTACACTTTCATAACACCCAGCACTCTGACCCTGTTCACACAGTATCGTGGTTGTTTACCTATCTGTATACATCACTAGACTCTAAGACCCTTCACAGATGCTCTGCTGTCTGTTTTTTATTTGGCATGAGAATTTAAGATGGCTTTTACTTTTATAAATAATGGAAAAAATCAAAAAGAATACTTGATGACATACGAAAATTACATAAAATTCAAATTTCAGAGTTGGAACACTGCCACACCCATTCCTTTATAGGCATACCTCTTTTAATGTAGTTCACTTACCATGCATTGCAGATATTGTATTTTTTTATAAATCAAAGATTTATAGCAACCCTGTGTCAAGCAAGTCCATCAGTGCCATTTTTCCCACACCATGTTGCTCACTTTGTATCTCTGTCATATATTGGTAATTCTCACAATATCTCAAACTTTTACTTATTGTTATATCTCTTATAGGGTTTGGCTCTATGGCCAGGCTGGATGGCACTGGCACAATTTACAGAGTGTGTCATTTTCTGCAACTTCCGTCTCCTGGGCTGAAGTGATTATCCCACCTCAGCCTCCTGAGTAGCTGGGACTCCAGGCACACACCACCACACGTGGCTAATTTTTGAATTTTTTGCAGAGACAGGATCTCACTATGTTGTCTAGGCTGGTTTCAAACTGCTGAGCTCAAGCCACCCATCTGCCTCAGCCTCCCAAAGAGCTGGGATTACAGGAGTGAGGCACCGCGCCAGCCTTTCAACGTTACTATTGTAATTGTTTGTGGCACCAAGAATCATGCCCGTGTAAGACAGCAAACTTGATAGATAAATGCGTGTGTTCTGACTGCTCCAGCCACCAGCTGCTCTCCTATCTCTCTTGCTTGCCTCAGGCCTCCCTATTTCCTAAGACACAACAATATTGAAATTAGGCCAATTAATAACCTTACAATGGCTTCTAAGTGTTCAAGTAAAAAGAATAGCCACACATCTCTCACTTTAAATCAAAAGCTAGAAATGATTAAACCTAGTGAGAAAGCCATGTCAAAAACTGAGATAGGCCAAAAGTGAGACCTCTTGTGCCAAATCATTTACTTTTATAAATGATTTTTTAAAATGAAAAATAATATTTGATGACATATAAAATTATGACTAAAATTTATGTGTAAGAATTGTGAGTAAAATTGTTAGTAACATTGTGAATGCAAAAAACCAGTTATTGAGGGAAATTAAAGTTGCTACTCCACTGAACACACAAATGATAAGAAAGTTAAACAGCCATATTGCTGATAGGGAGAAAGTTTTAGTGGTCTGGATAGAAGACAAAACTAACCACAACATTCCCTTAAGCCAAAGCCTAATCCAGATCAAAGCCCTAAATATCATCAGTTCTATGAAGGCTGAGAGATGTAAGGAAGCTGCAGAAGAAAAGTTTAAAACTAGCAGAGGTTAGTTTATGAGGTTTAAGGAAAGAAGCTATCTCTGTAACATAAGAGTGCAAGGTGAAGCAAGTTCGGATGTGGAAGCTGCAACTAATTATCCAGAAGATTTAGCTGAAATCATTGATAAAGGTAGCTACATTAAAGAGCAGATTTTCAATCTAGACAAAGTAGCCTTCTATTAGAAGAAGTTGCCATCTAGGACTTTCATAGCTAGAGAAAAGAAGTCAATGCCTGGCTTCAAAGCTTCACAGGAAAGGCTGACTCTCTGTTCAGGAGCTAATGAAGCTGGTGGCTTTAAGTTGAAATCAAAGCTCATTTGCTATTTTCAAAAATCCTAGGATTTTTAAAAATAAAGAATCCACTCTTTGGAATAACAAAGCCTGGATGACAACACATCTGTTCATTGTATAGTATAATTAATATTTTAAGCCCCCTCTTGAGACCTACTGCTCAGAAAAGATTTTTTTCCAAAATATTAACACTCATTGACAATGCACCTTGTCACCCAAGAGGTTTGAAAAAGATGTACAAGGAGATTAATGTTGTTTTCATGTTTGCTAACAAAATGTTAATTCTACAGTCCATGGATCAGAGTTATTTTGACTTTTAAATCTTATTATTTAAGAAACACATTTTATATGGATTTTATATGGATTCTTTTCATGGATATGGACAAAGTCAATTAAAAGCCTTCTGGAAAAGATTTACCATTTTAGATGCCATTAAGAACATTCATGATTCCTTGGAGGAGATCAAAATATCAACACTGATAGGAGTTTGGAAAAAGTTGATTTCAACTCTCATGTATGACTTTGAGGGCTTCAATACTTCAGTGGAGAAAGTAACTGCAGGTGTGCCGGAAATAGTAAGAGAACTAAAATTAGAAGTGGAGCCTGAAAATGTGACTGAATTGCTGCAATCTCATCATTAGTATTGAATGGATGAGGCAAAGAAAGTGGTTTATTGAGATAAAATCTACTCCTGGTAAAGATACTATAAACATTGCTGAAATGATACCAAAGGATTTAGAATATATGTAAACTTAGCTAATAAAGCCGTGGCAGGATTTGAGGGAATTGACTCCAATTTTGAAGGAAGTCCTATTGAGGATAAATTCCTATTTAAACACTATTGCATGCTACAGAGAAATCTTTTGTGAAAGGATGAGTTAATGAATGCCTCAAACTTCATTTTTGTATTTTGTTAAGAAATTGCCGCAGCCACTGCAAATTTCAACCTTCAGGAACTACCACCCTGATCAGTTAGCAGCCGTCAACATTGAGGCAAAAGAGAAAGAGATTATGAAAAAAAAGATTATGACCCACTGAAGGCTCAGATGATCATTGGCATTTTTTACCAATAAATCTTTTTAAATTTAGATATGTATGTTGTTTTCTCAGACATAATGTTATTGCACACTTTATGGACGATGATATAGTGTAGGCAAAACTTTTGTATGCACTGAGAAACCAGAAAAATTTTGTGACTCACTTTATTCTGATAGTCACTTTATTGTGATAATTGCTATATTGTGGTGGTCAGGAACTGAACCCACAATCTGTCTAAGGTATGTCTGTATATATCATCTGTGACCGTTTTGGCACAACAGAGTTTAGTAGTTGGGACAGAGACCATATGGATCATGAGGCCTAAAATATTTCCAATCTGGACCTTTATAGAAAAGTTTGCTGACCCCTGCTTCAGTTTGAGAACCGTGTCTTCTTCATCAATGTATTACCTGAGCCTAGCACAATACACCTTGTAGTATATGTTCCCTATGTTGACAATAGCAGGAATAAAGAGGGGAAAAAATAAGGGAGGAGAGTCACCTCCTTTTTATGTGACATTCTTCTGGGGGCCCCTCCAACTCCCTGGGCTCTCTCCTGAATGAGCTCTAGTCTAGTTCACCTAGATGGCTTTTAAATTATGATTTGCCTTTCTGGGCAAGACACGAGAGCACCTCTTGTATTCTAGATTGTATTATACATAATTGTGTTCATGAAGGAAGTCTTAGTGCTGTGATGTTGATGGTCATATCACGGTGTTGACTAAGATCCCTAAGGAAGTTTAATATTGGCTGCTGATATCCAAGTCAGCAGTAATTGTAATTGTATAGAAATTACCATCAGTAATTGTACAGAAAAAGAATAGTTATAGCAATTTACTCCTTATTCACCTACATTAATCCCTGTTACTTGTTGAATCTCACATGGCTGTGGAATTTTCACACTTAGGGAGGATAATTCCAATGGACTCCAACTGCTATTTTTTTGGTTTTTCCTAACTTCATGGTCCTGCAGGAAATAAACATTTCATTCAATAGTGTCCTTTGCAACCACAAACTTTACCAAATTGCCTATGATAAAAAGCATTGACTTTTAAAAAGATCAGTTTTTAATTGTTTATTTTAATGGTCACTATCTCTCCAAAACATATGCAAAAGTAAACTTTTTATATTCTAAACTAGGTGGTTTTATGATGTGAATTTACTCAGGCCTCTTGACCTACATGATAGCGTGTTTTTTCATTCCTGAGATTAAAAAATTACCATAAATTTCCGCTCATACTTTTTAAGGTAAAGAATAGATAGTGGTATATAATAATACAATATGTTTAAAGCCTTAGAGAAATATTGTGCATTTTACAAATGTAATTTTTTTTAAATGTGGAGGATATATTGGCTGGTTACCCTGTCTGAATTAGGGCTCTTAAAGGCAAATGGGAGAAATGAAACACTTCTATTGACATTAACCAGAAATGGAAATGGAAAGACTGGAAAACCAGGCATAGAACATAAGCAGAGACTAAGAGAAGCAGAGCACTGACAAGGTCACTGCTCCTGTGCCATCTTCTTTAAACATCTCTGTGTTCCTTCAAAATTCATATGCTGAAGTCCTAAACTTCACAACTCAGAATTTGACCTTCTTTGGAAATAAGGTTGTTGCAGATGTAATAAGCTAAAATTAGGCCGTAATGGAGTAGGGTGGATCCCTTATCTAGTATGACTAATGTCCTTATAAAGTGAAATATTTAGACTCAGAGACACATACAGGGAAAATATCATGTGAAGACGAAGGCAGAATTTGGGATGATCTTTCAATGAGCAGAAGATGCCAAAGTTTCCCAGCAAACCACCAGAAGTTTGGGAGAGGCACGGAACAGATTCTTCCTCAAACAGCCTTCAGAAGGAACCAGTCCTGGCTGACACATTGCTCTCAGCCTTCTAGCCTCCAAGACAATAAGTTTCTGTTGCTTAAGATACCCGTCATGTGGTATTTCACTTCGGCAGCCCGAGGAAATTCGTGCTATTGCTGACTCTACCCTGCCACACCATCAACAGTCTCTAATGGTTGCAGTGTCTTTGCTCATCTCTTGAAATTCAAAGTCCCAGGAGGAATCATTCAATTCAGCAAGCCCCATCACACAAGCAAGCTGGTTGCAGGGAGTTGGAGAAGGAGTATTTTACTCCTTTAAACTCCTTTCAAGTCCCTGTCTCCTCCCAAGAAGGATCACTGGTGACTCCATAAATAGGAAAGTGTTGGGGTGCTATGTTGCCAAAGGTAACTACTAATGGCTATGGTGTGGGGTTAGCATCATAGAAATTCCAAGTTGGCTGAAAAATCTACTGCATCCTATAATGGTTTGGAATCATTTTGCTGCCAGTGATTTCTTTCTCATGTTAATCCCAGGCTAGGCCCAGTAGCTCACACCTTTAATCTCAACACTTTGGGAGGCCAAGGCAGGAGGAACACTTGAGCCCAGGAGTTTGAGACCAGCCTGGGGAACAGAGTGAGATCCCATGTCTACAAAAAACTTAAAAACTCACCAGGCATGTTGGTGTGCACCTGTAGTCCCAGCTACTCGGAAGGCTGCAGGAGGGGCAATGGGAGGTCATCCATGGTGGAAGCTCAGGGTTACTTAAGCCCAAAAAGTCGAGGCTGCAGTGAGCCTTGATCATGCCACTGTACTCCAGCCTGGATAACAGAGTGAGACCCTGTCTCAAAAAAAAAAAAAAAAAAAAAAAAATCTAGTCCTTTGGGAGGCTGAGGCAGGAGGATCACTTAGGGTCAGGAGTTTGAGAACAGTCTGGGCAACACAGTGAGAGACAACTCTGTCTCTACAAATAATAATAATAATAAAATTGTGAGAGCTCCCATATGTGAGTGACTTGTTACTTAGAGTATACATAATAGAAAACCTAATAAATCACAAATACTTCTATAAATAAATTTGTATTTATTAACCAAAGTTGAATAAATATACATTGAGAGAAGATTTTATCTGTCTGGGTAAGGCGTTATTTATTGCATCAAGAGACCATGTTTATTTGACATATTGCTTGGCAGACCCCTTGTAATAACTTGCAGTAACCTCAGGTCTCCCTTGCTTATCCCCAGGGTTCTACAATTCACAGGCTTGGAGCTGTTGTTTTCTCATGAAACTGATTTATTGGAAAAGCTCATTTCTATGAGAGCATAAACATGAAAAGCCTTTTTTTTTCCTCCAGTCCTTACTTTCACTCATGTTTTGTTGAATCATTCTTTTCCATCATTTAACAACTTGGAGAAACCCTATAATTTCATAGGTTTTTTCAGTTACAACTAGTTCATGTTAATTTCCAACTTCAATCACAAATTAATTTAAATCCCATCGTTTCCCCTTCCCCCAGCAAAGTTGTAGAGCCTAGCTCTGAGGAGCCTTCTCCCACTCCTCTGCAAGGGCTAGCTTCCCTGGTGCCTTGTGACAGGGAAGGGGAAGAGGAAACAGGACAAATGTTTCCATTTGTAGATGGCCTGTCTCTAATGGCTGTCCCTGTGTCTAGGCAGCACTGACTGAGACAGCATTTGTCTCACTCAGTCTTACTCATTTGACTGAGACAAGTGCTGTCTCACTCACAGTGTGTGTGTGTGTGCGTGTGTGTCTTTCAGAGTCCCTGTAGGAGCTTCTTACTTCACAGTTCCTTGACTGAGACACTCAGCTGCAGTCTAACCTCTCCTCTGAGCTTCCACCATTGATGACCTCCCCATTGCCCCTGCTGCTGAATTTCCTTGACTAGAAGACAGCACCCATGAATGAGGTTCAGCAAGACTATTCAATTCTACCACCTAAGTGTTATTAGCATTAGTATCTTTGCATACCAAGTGGTATAGTACACATCTCCACTCAGGCATCTCTTGCCAATTGTCTCCTGCTCAAGCCAAGTCAGGAAGTTTGCTGTTTAATAATACCTAGGAAGTATTTCTTTACAGAAGTTTGGGTTTAACAGGGATGTACATTGGTCAAAGCAAATTGAAGTGTGCAATTAACATCTGCATATTTCACTATGTGTAAGTTAAACGTCAATTTAAAAGGAAGACTGCCTAAGAATGAAAAATGAATAAGAATTCTAAGGAATACAAATAAGTGCCTATTTTTTTTTCTGGAAAGCACCCTCAGTTTCTTTGACTAAAGTTCATGGAGGCTTTTCTTTCTTGGCTTGGCTTTGGATGGAAGTACTCTTTGCCCCTGCAAGAGAGGAGAAAAATCTCACTGTACCATGAATACTGTGTTCCCTATAAATCCAAGAATCAAATTACTGTGACTCTTCCTTTCTCTTTTGACTCACCTCTCCTGAATATTGACTGGGAAAGGTTCAGAAGGTTTGGCGTGGTAACTGGTGTTATGTAAGAGCCAGATCTGCTGCCTCTCGGTAAGCTCTTAGGGAAGTATCTGGCCCAGGTATTAGCAAAAGTGACTTGATTAAAGTCTCTTAATTTTAACTGGGTCTTAGTGATGAATTTCCTGGCAACTTGCATCATCAACAACCTCTTACTAATAAATAAATATGACACATATAAAGATGTATATAAAAAGGAAAGTTTTAGGGAAAACAATGCCATGGGAATCAGGAAACTTTTAGCCCAGCTCTGATTATGCCAGTCATTTATTTTATAAATAACTACTGAGCATTTACCATGTGCCAGGATCTTGGTGGGCACCAAGGATTTGATGAAGAACAATTAAGATCAACATACAAAGTTTTACAGATGGGGAAATATACACCTGTGGATGAATACAAAGTAGTTCTATAGGAATGCAGAGGAGAGATGCTGAACCAAGATCTGGGAGGATCAGAGAAGAATCTTTTGAAAACATACATTTAAGCAAAGACCCAGTTTTAGTAGAGTTAGCCAAAATGAAAAGGACACCTGATATCCTAGGAGGGAGAACGGAGTGTCATTGTATTTGTTTATTTAGGCTGCCACAACAAATTGCCACAAACTGAGTAACTTAAAACAAGATAAATTGATGCTGTCACATTTATGGAGACCAGATGTCTCAAATCAAAGTGTTGACAAAGTTGGTTCCTTCTGGAGGCTCTGAAGAGAATCTGTCTCATCCTTTTCTCCTAGCTTCTGGTGGTCACTGACAAATCTTGGCATTCCCTTGTATGTAGATGCATCCAATCTCTGCATCCATCACCGCCCCATATCCCTGCCTGTGTGCCCTCTACTCTCCTCTCCTCTCCTTATAAGGGCATCAGTCATTGGATTTAGGGCCCAACCTAATTCAGGATGGGTTCATTCCAACTTAACTAATGATATCTGCGAAGACTGGATTTCCAGACAAGGTCATATTCTGAGGTTCCAGGTGGACATAAATTTTTGGAGGACACGATTCAACCCACTATAGTCACTAAATGTCTGTGTAATATATAGCAACTTATTGCCATGTTGCTTTCATAGTAAAATCTCTTACATCTTCAATTCAATTTTTCATATTTTATTGTAATTAATGAATTGAGAGTCCATTATCCCTCATAAGCACATTAGTTCCTTATAGGAGAGAATTGAGACAACCTCAGCATCTGCCCCAGAACCTAGACAACCAACAAATGTCCCTTGAAAACTGATAATTTTTTGAGGCTTAAGTTCCTCATTTAAAATTACATAGTGGTCTTTCTACATAAAATATGATCTTTCTTTCTTTATCCAGGGGCTGTAAGCCAGAGTGTGTCTTGGTCTAGAATACAGCAATACATACAGGTCAAGTACAAGAGAATGTGGTTTTAAAATGTGCTTTTGGGCTGTGTTCCTTCTATTACAACTCATTGCCACTGTTATGTTTGTGATAACAGTAATTATGATAATGCTTGGGCAACTGAGAAGGAATAATGATAGTTTATAGACATTGTAGCCACATATTTTGCTTTCCATCACACTTGTGAAAAATCTCTTGAAAAACTAATCTCAGATATTTAGTAATATTTTGTTTGCAAACCTTGATAAGGTTTCTATTAAATCAGAAAGTTCTTCATTACTTTCATGCTAGAAATCTGAAAAATTACGTAAAGGCATATAAAAACAGAAAAATTATAAAAGATATCCGTTGCCTTCCAATAACATATTTTTCTATGTAATTTCATCATTTTTAATGTGGTTTAGAATATCATCCCTTTGATCCTCACAAAGGTCTCATATGGTAGAGCATGTTATCTGAGGTCCAGGTTCCTAAAAGCTATAAGATGGGAATTTTGTGCAAGTGACTTATTGAGGTAGGGCTCTGAGGAGAAACACAGAGCAAGTGAAGGAATCAAGACATCCTAAGGGAAGAAGCCAGATGAAGTTGTGGTTTTGGCTGAAGTTTGCTTCAGCCTAATCCCACAGGAAACTCTGGAGTGTGAATAGCATCACAGAGTTGTCCTACATCTAGAAAAAGGGGACAGGCTTTTGTGCCTCTACATTAGTCAGTTATTGGCTGTGTGTCTGTCACTGGGAGCCACAGATGTGACCGTTCAGGCATTTTGGGTGAGCTGGCTCCTGTGTGCCAGGCCATTATCTGAAGAAAGGATGGTTGTGGACCATTAGTGTCCAACCCTTACAGGTGGCAGGGGCTGAGTCAGGTAAAAGGTATCTGGACACAGTAGCAATAGCATCTATGCCAGTGAGTGTCATAAATAATCACATTTTACAAAAGTAACAAGTAAGGCTTAAATAAGTTAAGTCATTTTCCAAGGCTACTCAGCCAATAAATGGCAGAATTAGAAAATAAATTCAGCTCTTGCTTCATAGACTATGTTCTTCCTGTAGCCTCTGGAGAAGCTCCCTTCTGATGAATGTCTCACAACCACTTCTTTGATAAATTCTCTCTGCTGTTATGAATGATCCCTCTGGGCAAAAATAGGAGGGCTCATTCTAGAAAATACTAAATGGTATTTTCTTCTTTGGAGCAAATTATAATAGTGATGGTTGCAGATTACACATGTGTAGATGGACCAAACTATGCTTTTATCAACAATACCTTATGGTCTCTAATTTTTCTTATACACAAATCTTACTTTTCTCATTTTATTTTTCTTTCGATGAAAGATCTTGCTCACTATCGCCTAAAGACTGTTAAAAGTTAAAAAGTTGACTTCAAATGAGCTCAAGGGCAAGCATTAAAATATTTTGCAAGCTACTACTAAGAATAATCAGAAAATTAGAATTTTACCAAATCACCACAGGCACAGTGCATTCTATCCTCATATTCCTTATCTCAGGAAGAGGAAAACATATTTGAATATCTGGCACTTTTACTAGAGCACCCAGCAATAATATCGAGCCATGAGACATCATTAGACCAAATGTAAGTAGAGCAAGCCTGAGAAAAAGCATTATTTCTTAAAAACACCATAAAAAACCCATTTCATGCAATATTCTCTTCCAGAGTAGCATTTAGGCTCATTCTGGCACTTTAGAAATGAATCACTTGCTCTGATCGTCTCATCCGGGAACTTGAGTAAATCATCCTGCCTCAGAGATGTTGCTAAAATACCGGAAAGAAAATTAACTTGCCAACATACATATTCAAATGCCTATATGTTACCTGCTTTGGATTAGATTAGATTAGATTAGGGATTTTATTTCCGTAGTCAATTTTGTGAATTACATTCCATTTTCGAAGGTAACTAAGCGCGTGTGTGTTACAAAGTCATCTCAGGGTCTTCCACAGCATCCATTATTTTAGTTGTAAGCTATATTCACTTCTTCATTAGGTTATGAATATTCAAGCTATGATAGTCCTTAACATTAAATTTTCCATCATCTGACTAAAATGCATATTTAAAGATGATTTATCATAGTATTGGTTTGTACACAGTCCTTTTCCCACACCCAAATTACGAAAGTGATAGAAAATTTCTGGTGTATCTGACCTGGCTAAGTCTTTGGTACTAATGTCCCCTATAAATTGTATTAGGACACTGAATAAAATGCCAAGAAGTTGCTATCTTAAAGTAATCTAAAAGTAATCTAATTAAAATGACACATAAACTGTGTCTAAGAGGAAAGATGTGATTTAACTAAACAAATTTATGCAGAAAATTTACACTTAAAAATGTACTTGAGATATAGGCAATTTTGAATTAATTTGGTACCTTAAAAGTGAACTGCTTATAAAGAACAATTTAATTTTATGCTAAAGAGATAACATGCCAATAAAGTAAGAAATTACACATATATGTGTATTTTAAATGAATATTGATGTCTATAGTTAAAAGAAAAGTGCCAATAAAATCTGGAGACAGTTAATTTTTGTCTGCAAGAGAATGGGAATGTAGTAATCCTTACCTATATAGACTTGGTTAATGTTTGCAAAGTGCTTTGAGTTCTTGCATAATCTCCATAGCAGGATGAAACAGACTATTATGAAAACCTGAGTAAGCCACTTGGAAAAGCTGTCATAAAAACTCAGGCTTCAACCACTAAGAAGAAAATGATACATTAGTGTGTGTTACCATCAGAGGAGACTTTTGACCTATCACTTCCAAAGAAAAAATAAATGAAATAAAAGAAATATTCATTTCAGCACCATCTCATGCCCTCCTACAGCCCAAGTTGCTACCTTAGCCATTTAGTTTTTGATCCATTCCAGGGAGGTCTTGAATTGAGAGAGGTGCTGTATGATTAATATTATCTGTTACTGTTAGCTGGTTAATATTCATGTGTAATCTTTTCTCATAGGTGTCTGAGTTTAATAAGAGGGCTATTGGGATGCATATAAAACATTCTTCAATACTCCTTTATTGAAAAACCTACTGATCTCTAATGCTATTATTTTCATCAAATAGATAGTTTTGCCTTATTATCACTACTGATTATTATGATTCTTGGATAGGATAGTTACTGATGTAATGACAGGTTAGGAAAATGGAGGATTTGCTGATCTTTGACTATCTTCTACATAATAGGAGGATATTTTTCAAGCCAAAGTCTCTTATCTCATGTCATTACACTAACTTCAACTTTTTTCCTAAAACAGATTCTATCTATATGGAGAAACTATTTTGATAAAGACAACACGTAGTGTGTAGGATCTAATAACAAGCAACTGCCTAGGGGAAGAGCCTTTTCTGACTATGTTTCAGATCTAGCCAAAATCACCAATTACTGGACTCTCTGGGGACCAGACCTTACAATGAGTTTTCTGACCCCATGAGGATTTAGATAAGCTCTGGATAAGTTCGGTTCTGTGACATGAGCACTGAGTTGCTTAGCAGTAAAAATCTTTCTCCTCTCAAAGACCTCAGTCAACAATATTTCCCCAGAATTTACGAGGATGCAACAGGAGGAGGATGCTGAGAGTCTCCATGTGAGAGCAGTTTTTGCCAATCTCACATCAGGTTTAAGATACTAAGGGCATTTTCAACCCTTTCTGACCCCTTTTCTAGGTTCAAGGATGGAAGGAACACTGCAAGTGGTTCTGCTCTTCCCTCCCCCCATTGATATGGACAAAATCAGCCAGATAGGGCTTAGGAGAGGTAAGAGTTCTCAGAACCTAGAGGTGTTTGTCAGCTACATCTCCATAATGGGGATATAGCATCTAAGGGAAAGAAACAATATTACATCTTTAGGGGCCAATTTATGCACCAAATGTTCAGGGAGAGGCAACGTGGTTGTCAAAACCATGGTCTCCGAAGTGGGCCTGCCTAGGTTTAGGTCTCAGCTCTGTCCTTTCTGGTAACCACTCTGGAAATCTGCTCCCCATTTATGATAAGGGATGATTTTGCAGAAGGTATCTAATAAGATATTGTGATGAGCAAACAGGAGAGCAGTTAAGAAGCCTAGAAGAGGGGCTGACACATTGTAGACCCACAATAAATCTTAGCAAGTATGCAAATTAAAAAGGTATTGTTACTCCCATTTTACAGTTGAAGAAACTGGGGATCAGAAAGGTTAAAAATTCGATAACCAGGAACACACAAGTAGGTAATAAATGGAAGAGTTGGAATTGAGTCCAGAAATGGCCCCTTGCAAAGCCCTTTCCCCCTTTCCCTCAGCTCCAGGCCATGCTAATATTGTCAGTAGATTTCATCACCCATTATGGGGTAGAATCCAAGGGGATCCAGAAATGTCATAGTGCCCAGAAAGCCACAATTAGAGGTTCATGTTTTCCAGGACAGAATTGTGTTTCCCTCAGTCCTTTTCTACAAAGAAATTTTTCCTGGAAGGAGTGTCACAATTAAGAGAAAGATGAGGGAATTGGTATCAGGCTGAGCAGGTGCCACCTGCTGGGGACTGGGCTAGGAACTTTATATGCACCACTCATCTACCTCGCACAACGACATTCAGTGTTGGTGTTATTATCCTCATTTTACAGATGAGGAAATGGAAGCTCAGACAGATAAAGCATCTGTCCCAAGGTTAAGAGCTATTAATTGATGAAGCTGAAGCTCTCCCACAGCCAGTACTGTCTGTTTTCCACTCTAAGCTTGCTTTCTGGCAGTACACTACTTAAATGTACCAATTTCTTAATGGACCTTAGATCAAATTGCTTTATCAACCATCTGGCAGTTACAATTCTAGCCAGACCTTGGGCTGCAGGCACCTTAATAGGGGACAGGCACAAAGGAACTGTGGAAATGCAGAGAAGGGGATGAGAAGCTTGAGACACAGGAAGCCACCAGCCCTTATCCTTACTCAGCAGACAATCAGAATGCCAAAGGCCACTTGCCATACTGGATACTAAAGTGGATTCAGAGCAACAAGCAGTTAAAAATGCATTTTGCCATTAATGCATTTCTGATTAATGCCTTTCACTCTGTTCAGAAGTAAAGCAAGTTCATTTTCTTTGCAGAAGACCCATACCTTGGAGCTTTTCTAAATATTGCTCTTAATTTAACTCTTGTGAAGGAATGGCAACATCCCTTTGAGTGAAATTACTACCTTTTAGAGGCACTGTCTCTCCCTGGTTGCTGCTGCTTCCCTGAGCACTCATTAGCCTTCCCGTGGATAGGAAATAGTTTTGTACAAGACCCTGAAATGCTAAATGTCCTTAGGTTGAAGGGCATTTGTTCTCCAAGCCCGTCTGACTCAGCAGTGATATATGTGCAGAGGAAGTCTTTCTTTGCCTGTCTTAGCTTTGCTCTTGTTCCTCTTTCAATTGAAAAAATGTGATTTTTCTTTTTCTACTCAAGTTCTATTCAGAAAGCAAAGGAAGTGCATAATTGTTTGGTTGTCCCTTGCATCCTTCTGCAGCATATTTCACAGGAAATCTCATTACTAAAATAAGAATATTATTCCTAATTTATTAAAATAGATGTGGGTTGGTCAAAAGCCATGGTGGGGGATGGTGGAATAAAAACTGCATCTTACAGCAAAAAGGTCCACTTTATTGAGTTACAGCAAGTAACATTTCGTCAATTGAATGATGATCAGACAGATACATTCTGGACATTCTTGAAAGTGTTTCTTATTGCTCTTGGTTTGAAAAGCTTTCCTGGTGTTTCAGAGTTTTTTCTGGTTGCCTTAAACTATTAAAGGACATATCTAACCATGTTGGGTAGCAGATGCCAGATCCTTCCACTGAGGCCTCCCCAGTGGAGGCCTGATGGGCCCTGTCGCAGAAGCTGTCAGGTTGTGAAATGTCACTACCACATAGCAAAAGCGCCTGGCACTGCGCAACTTCTTTTCCCCAGACTTTGCAAAAGAGGGAGAAATCAGGGACTCTTGCAGCATCACACTATTCACACAGTATGACCCCAAAAGATCCAACTAAATGTGGGCTCAAAAAGCCACTGGCCTTCTTTACAGATCTTGTACCCAAATAATTAAATCCATCATCAATCTCCATCTGTCTGGGCTCTGACCTAAAAGTGACAGTTGAATAACAATCAATGCCAGTCCCTCAATGACTCAGTGTTACAATATCACAAAATAATTTTGATTACAAAGACTTTGATTTTCCATAGAGAGGGAAAAAAACAATTGAAGAATCCTAACAGTTATGACTGTGGAAGCCAGGAACGATCATTCATAGATGAGATGTAGTTTTGCCTCCAGATACTACTGGAAGGGATTTACCTGATTTAAAACAAAATAGAACCAAACAAACAAATTACCTCCCCAACATAAGAGAAATCTCACTGTTCACTAGCTGTGCGACTGGGGGTAAATTGTTCGACTTTGCAGTGTTCTGGTTTTCTTATTGTGAAGTAGGTATTAGAATATATCTACATCATAGAACAGTTATGAGAATTAAACAGGTACTTAGAACAGTACCTGGAATATAGCTAATATTTATTTGTTACCTGTTTCTATTAATTTTTCATATAAAGGATGTCAGTTTCTGACTACAGATGCACACATGAATGCAGCCCAAGAGTTCATATTCATACCTAACTCTCCAAGTCCCTCACCAACATTGTTGTATGAATCCAAGCTTGACTTCCCCCACCTCTAAGTAAGATTGGCCACACAATTCTCTATACACAGGGATGTGATACAAAAGACCTCATTGACTGGCACAAGGCTCCGATGCTCCCTGGAGTGACCGATGTGAAAATGAGTTTGCTAGATTAAAAACTCAACGTGACATATATGCTGACTACAGCTCTTCCTGAAAATATTGAAGTTGGAACATGAAGGGAATATCATTGTCAATATTGTATTTTCATTGAGCTGCGGGTTCATGGACTTAAAAAATAATAATAAGTAAAAAGCCTGACCATAACAGGTCAGACTTTTTTTGTTGTTACTTTCTATTTTTGTTCCTTAAAAGTTTCTCTTTCTGAGGATTTTTCTGGCTGCAGGCTAAATAAATGTTAGCTTAGCCCCCATGTGCTATTGCCTATCAAGGGATCCTCTAAATGGCTTAGTGCCTCCAGCACAATGAAAATAATAATAATATGAGTTTTCCGGGGACCTACTGTAGCCAAATAAGGCCGTACATCAGTGGGCCCTATTTGAAGCTATATTAACCAGCTAAAGAATAATGCTAGCAGGGAGGAAATTGACAAAGGATACCGACAGGAAAGGTGTGTGCCTGGATGGGCAGGCAGCGGAAGGTCAACAAATCAGGTCAGACAGAGGAAAAAAATGTTCTGGAGATGGAATGAAAGAAGAGCCGGGGAAGCAAACCCAGCTGCAGATACTTGTCAGCAGTACTGGCACTAAGGGCCAAAGGGACTTAACATTCATTCAGAAAAGATTCACTCCAGACAGTCATGGTGTTTGCCAAATGTTACTGGAATTTCACAGCAAGTATGTTGATAAATTCCAAAATACCCTCAGAATACCTGGAAAGTTATTCTCTTCTAGTTTAAAAATAGATAATACCAAGTTACAGATTATTAAACTATATATACCTATTATTTATATGTTAGTCATATAGCCTTACTAAGTGCCATGTCCTTCATCTTTAGTAATCATGACTCTTGTTGCATGAGACTTAAGGAACAATGTTTAACCTTGTATACATACTTATGTTATAGAAGTACAAAAAACAACCTGATGCTACTAAAGCTAAGGGCTTTGCAGCCAGGCACTGCAATAAATGCAATTTGATGAAGGAATTATTGCATAGACTTGTCCTTTCCTTCCTCTTTTCTCCCTCATTTTCATTTAATGAGAAGTGCCTTAACCTAGACATGCAATGGCAATTGTGTTTGTGCAGTGGGATGGGGAAGGCTGATTGAGCAAGACCAGGCCTGGGGAAAATTGTGATGCTCATTGATTGTATTTATCTTTGCTGCCCTTCGTCTCCTTGTTCTCTAGAGCTCTTTGCTCACCATTTCACTGCCACACAATGCCCTTGTCCTCACACCAATTTCCCCTTATCAAAACTTACTCTCAAAAAATAATCTGATACTCATCATATTAGAACTGAATAAAAGAAAAAAAAACTCTACCTATGAGTCATTCTGTGAGGAATCAACGTTTTGGCAGACATCACAGCTTTAATATAAAGAGTAAAGGTCTAAGGTAAGAACAAATTTTGTGAAATTCATTATTTCAGCAGCCAATGCCTTCAATGTGTTCAAATTCATTCTATATGTTAATGGAAACAGAATAACATGGAGCTTGCCCTAGCAGTATTTACAGCCTAACAATAGACATGAATACAAAGCACACCGCCACACTGAGGTGTGAAAAATGATACAAGAGAAGTATAGAAACATGCAGAAGAGTCAGTAACTCACTCTCCCTAGAGAAGTTGGAGACTGTCAGATTGTTGGTCTTAAAGGAAATATAGGTACTTTGCCAAGAGAAGGAAGATAAATGTTTATCCTGCTGAGGAAAGAGAATGTGAAAAGTGATTATGGCATGAAAAACATGCCATGCTGGAGACCTGGCCAGAAGAATTCCACAAGACCTAATAGTCACACATTGTAGGTGACTCTGTATGAGACCAGGCCTGAGAATGTGAATAGCTCTTGCAGGCAAGCAATTATATTTTTTTTAAAGAAACACTGTGGACCCCTTGCTCATCATCAGTTTACAGAAGTACCGCCCCAGTGAGAACAGTTGAACATGTTTTTATGATATTCAAGGATAAGAGTCAACTGCATTCCTGGTTGGTGAATTCCAGTATCTCACAAACCTTACTCTGAAGTGCTGCGGGGACTTGAAAAGGGGCACACAGATGTAAAAATTAGACAAGCAGTAGGCATTGACCCATGGCAGAAATAGAAACCTGCCCTCCCAGTCTGACATATTATAGATGCTATCTGCCGTTAATTTTGTCTCATTTGTTTCCCAGTATTTATTACTTGGGTTCCACTAATTTTAGTTTTTTTTTTCCAAACACTGTGTTTTCACTTCAATGCTCCCAGAATTCTCCATTCAGAATTTAAGTGTTGAGAAGTTTGATAAAAGTTTTAATTACCAACACATTTAGTTGGCACCTGGGGAAATGGGAGGGATCCGTGCCATGGTAAGTTGTATTTTACTCTGAATTTGGAAAAGTGTCAGTTTCAGAGATCAGAGTTCCAGTTATTATCCTGGTTCCTCTGCCTCCTCCTCTTCTTCCTCTTTTTCTTCTTTTTCTTATTCTAATCTGGTGTCCGATTTAGCCTGGCCTCCTCTAGAAAGAGACAAAGTCATCTTAGAAAAACAAATGCACTGCTCACTTTCTTACTATAGTTTCATGTTGCTTTTCAGGTTATCCGGTGGGGACATTTCTGAAAGCTACCAATTTGCAGTTGCAAAGGGGTACTACGTGTAATGTGCCCTGCATTATTTCTATGTGGCCAGCACCACTCATATCCCTTTGATCAGTTTAGTTACCATCATAGGCATGGGCTGCAACATATTTATGCTCTAGGGTTGCTGTTGCTGCCAGACAGGATGTTGCCTGCCCCACCACTATTACAGGGACAAATTTAAATGTGCAAACTCAGGAAATGATAGGTGTAAATGCAAGAATTAAGACAGTTCCAGTAGAGTGACATCTATTTTTAAGACATGCAACAAGTGGGTGATGAAGAAATTCCAAGAAGAATCAAGGACTAAAACAAGCACTAGGGAGAATAGAAGATAGTAAAGTATGGGCATACAGCAGTGTGGTCCAACAGCACTGAGATCATGATTTAGAGCAAAGACCATGAATTGTTATAGACCAGGTCAGGATGTAAAAATTGAGAAGGCTGCCAAAGCTATCTCTCTCTCTCTCTGTTTTTTTTTTAAGTGAAAGATCATAGGTATTAAGGATGTTTGTAAGAGTTTGGATTGAATTGATGGAGCAGATAATCTAAGACTAAGAAGAAAGGAAGTGAATTCTGAAATTTATTAACAATTGGGGAAAGTAAATGGGTCAATGTTCCCCAAATGTCAAAGCACCAATGAATAAGAAATAATTGAACAAGTTATCCAGTTAGGGAGTAGGGCGCTTGCATCTAACATATCAAAGGTAAAGCTTCTCTGGACGACAAAATATGCTGTATATGCTCATGACAGGATGTGGCTTTGGTGGTTTAAACAGAGACAAACTCTTTGGAGTAGAGGTCAAGAAACACAGGTGTAATCAGGTAGCCATTAAAGTCACCGAAATAATGTTAGACCTTGCATGGTAAGGAAGAAAAAGAGCCAGAGAGCAAAGAAAGCGTGAACAATAGGGTGATTTGCAGTTTGAGAATATAGAAGAAAAATGTAAAGGTTACTCTAAAATGCCTCTTTTTACTCTGTAGAAAATGAATTATATTTAGATAAATATAAAGTGCCTCATCTTCCCATGACACACCCAGCAGGATCCCTTTATGGTGTCAAATGTCATGGCAAGTTCTGAGCTCATACTGGCAAATTCTTAATGGGAGTTCTTGGAAAGGGGATAGTATGAAGCAGATTTAAAGAAGCTAAATGTTACTTTGAAGTCACCTCACCCTTTTCACTAAAGTTGAGAGTCGTCTAACTATACTCTTTATTAGTCCAATAGTTTAGTGTTGTCATTAGCTCCAAGAAATAAAGGTTATCCCTGCTTGGAATCCTCCATCTATTCTTTTCAAACATAATCAAGATGGCAATTAGAAGAAATCACTTAGTTTTTGGAGTTCAATTTGATTTCAAGTATTTTACAAAACATAATGTTCAACGAACTCTATTAGTATTCAGAAAACAAATGTATCCGTTTTTTTTTTTTTTTCTCAGCATACATCTATTCCCTCAAAGTGAAGTGAATGGTAATTGGGCTAAAAAATTAATTTAAAAGCATATATTTGTTTCCTACTGTGAAGGATGCACAAAAGCTAGAGATATAACCACTGTGGTCCCAATCTTGGTAGCTAGAGAAGCTGTCAATGTTTACATATCTAGTGGAAAAAGAGAACAAATGAATGAAATTAGATTTCAGGCACTGCGCTAAGTCCGAACTGTAAGATACTTGAGATGGTTAGCCTTTCCCATAAAATGAAGACATAAAACAGTGTTCTTTGCAGAAATCTTTTTCATTCTCATTCATAGGAAGGTGGCAAGAGAATCAATGTGACATTTGGGAGTGGGGTGGCATTTGGGCCAGAGAGCAGTTGCACACCAGGATGACCACTTGAGAAATTTGGCATTAGTACATTAGCATCTGTCTTGGAAGCCCAGCAAAGTGCCAGATGTTATTTGTGAAATAATCATTTTTACATGCCTGGCATTTGTTTCACATACTATACAACGGAACCTCATGAACATTCACTAGCATGAGAACAGTGCCCGCCACTAAGAAATATATGAGAGGAAAAAAGGAGGATCCCCAGAAAATTATTATTGTAATTTAAAACTTTTTTGAATAATTCCTTCTTCTTTAATATGCCATGATAGACTCTAAAAGTTTCATTAGAGCAATATTTTATTTATGTAATTAATAAGATGTCTTATGAGATAGCAGTTAGGTGCAATTGCAAAAACTTATTCTTATAATAATACTTAGTATCTACATACCATTTTGAATTCCACAGCCATTTTGCATTTATTAATTCACTTCATCTAACAAGTATTGCTGTGCATGTAAGACATGCAGTGATCTTGACTCATAGGATCCAGAGAGGTCATAAGAGATCAGGAGACAAGGGATAAGAGAGGTGACAAGGCATTCTCTGAGTCACCTAGGTAAATTCATGCCCTGCCAATAATACAACAGTTGTATGTGAACCCAGTTCATCCTCACTCTAACTTCAAAAGTTACAAAGTTTACCTAATGTGTAATGCCAAACTTTGAGACAAGAATTTTCCTTTTCATTGATTATTGTAACCAAATGAAATGACAAATAGTTTTCCAATTAAAAAGAGGAATATGAACCCAGCAAATCACATACACATCATAAAATGTGGTGAAAGCATGCAACACTGGCTCAGAAAAGTTCTTTCTGGCTCCTTTGTGCATTTGGCATCCCACGTACTCTATCACAAAAATAATTATTTTGGAAAATCTCAGAGCCTGTGGTCAGTGCTTGCTCCTATGGAGAGCCCTGGCATCACCCTGCAAGTTAGCCAATGCACATTTTGGAAAGCTCCAACTGAGTGCTCAGTAGTGAGTTCAGTTTTAAAAGAAATATAGTATAAATCTAAAATATGGCCTTAAGGGCTCACAAACTAGTTGTGGAAAGAAGATTAACCCTGATGGAAAGGGGAAATATTAAAATGATATTTGATGAGAAGACCCAGGAACACTCAAATCCTATCCTCAGGTTGACATGACTCATTACTGTGGAACAAACTATTTTAAATGAGTGGAGGAAAAAAACACCATTTCATAATTCTCACACACTTTTTTAGGAAGTTAGATAGGGCCCTGGGTGGAAGGCTTGCCTATGCTCTATAATGCCAGGAGCCTTAGCACTGAATGCTGGAGATGACTTAAATTGCTGGGAACTGGAATGATCTAAAGGTTTCTTCCTTCATGTATGTGACCTATCTGGTTGGGATGACTCAAATGCTGGGCTCACCTGAGCTCAACAGTTGACCCAGCACCCACATACATCTACACTCATACAATTGTGCTGAGCAGGCCATCCCTGCGTCTACACACAATGCCTATTCCAGCTTACTCTTAGATAAAGTAACGCCCAAATCACATTAGCAAAAAGGAAGGTAATTTTTCAGGTTTCTTCCCCAATAAAGAGGGAGAAACACATTAGAAACTGTAGAAAAGATAGAAAAAAAATGTGTCAATAAAAGTTTAGTCCAGACAACAGAGACCACTCTAGGAAAGGATTCAATACAGAGAATTTGGAGTCTTTGACAACCTTTGTGAGGGATGGGGGAAGAAATATCAGGGAGGCCACTGCTGGCTTTCAGGAAATCAAAAATATGGGAATTTTAAGGATGCCACCATCAATGATTTCAGCTCCCTTCAGCACAAAATTAGGTGATTCTCAAAAGGATCTCTTTTGAAAACATCAAACAAAACTTCATGCGTGCCATCTACCATCACCCACACACCTGGGAATAATGACTTCTCTTTTCTTACCAAATATCAAAGAGTATCTTTCCCTGGCAGAATTTAACATGAAATCTGCTGGCGATAGATTATAGAAAATGCAGTTTCCAAGCTTTTCCCCCAAAATATAGAGACAAGTGTGGCACGGAATACAGACAATGTTGAGTGGGTGACAGACAATCAAGCAGAGTGCAATTGTATATTTCATTCAATCTAAGGAATCATCAACGGTAAGATAAACTGATTTGCAAGATATCAATTGCATAAAAAATGGCCAATGGTGTATGCAAGATGCTCTCCAACTTTAGAGATATCAAAATGTGAAAAACATACGTATGGTAAAATTGATAAAATGCAGTACATTTAGAAATGTGTGCCGATAGACAATGTGGGTTGCCTGTTTAACCAAGCCCACTTTCATCCTTGTTAGCTAATGGGAGACTCTAGTTTTATTTGGGTGTTAATGTTTTAAGCCTCAGCGTTGAACCAGAATTTGTCTACATCAGCCTTGCTGACTCCATTTCTTATTGCCAGTGATTAACCTGCGGGTGGGCATTTGTTCTGTTCTTTTATGTGATGGTCAGTCAGATAAGGCCAAGGAGACACGGGAGAAGCATAAGAAAGCAAAGTTTATTATACTCACAGGTCCTAGAGAGGGGGTTGCCACATGCCACTGGGGCCATATGGGAAGTGCCAGGTTTTGGTCAGGTGGCAGAAGACAGGAGCTAGGAAAGAACTTAGGCCAAGGTCTTTAAAGGGAAAAACAAGACAGGGCAAAGTAAATCATGTAGGATTGGCTAGTTTGAATAAGTTCTGTTGGCTCTAAGCTAGAAAAGTGGTCTAGTTGCCTGAAACCTGGCCCTGGGATGATTAAGGCAGAAGAATATTGCCTCCTGGGTGTATTTCTGAGGTATGTGGGCCCAACAGAGGAGATATGACTCTGGATTGGTTAGTTTGCACATTAAAGACATGTCCTCAGCAGAGCCCTTCAGCATCTCCAAGAATCCTCTAGACCCAGGAGGGGCAGTCTCTTCAGCCAGAAAGGTTTTTAAGATTTTAAAACATAATAATATACAAAAAATTACACACACACACACACGCACACACCAGCATTTAACTTGGTTCTACCCAGAAGAATATAGAAGGACATGGGAGAAATATTTTCCTTGCCCACCAAAAAATAAACAAATGGTAAGGAACAGCAAGATGAGGAAGCCCCTTTGCTCACAGCTCCTTTTTCCTTGCTTGGAGTGCTGTACTCTGAGAGTAGGATGCTTGGGGCAATGGTGGTCATTTTACACTTGGGATGGGAGACAGCCTCTACATGATGAAGATGGAAAAACAAAGGGACTATGAGAATCTGGGTGCAGATGACACTGTTGAGCTGGTATATCAATCCTCTAATGTTTTCTCCTTATATTTATTATTATGTCAGATGAATTCACCCTTACTTTTAATTAAGTATTACGTTATTTACAGCTGAGCATATCCAAACTGAAACATACAAATGTGGACAGATTTCTGTAATAGCAGCAACCAATTTTTGGTTGGATTCATAGATCAAGAAGTTGTATATACAGAGGAAAGCAACCTTCTCCAACTTTAGAAAGCTTAGTACCACTATTTTGTGTTATGGCCATTTTATATCCTATCCCCATCAATATATTTAGCAACAGCCACTTGAATATGAGAAATCCAAGATCCAGGTTCCAATGTCTGTAAAGTTAGGTAGATGCATCCTATTCTGCTCTTCAATGTTATTCAACCTACAAAGAAAAAGGAAAAGAAAAACTGGTTTTCTTTATTGTTCAGCCTATGTGGTATAAAATGTGAATACCCTGGTATGATGACCTGAATGTTTATGTTACCCCAAAATTTATGTTGAAGTCCTAATGCCTAATGTGATGATATTAACAAACGGGGCCTTTGGGAGGTAATTAGGTCATGAGCTTGAGCCCTCACAAATTTAATTAGTGCTCTAATTATTAAGGCACACAAAAGAACTCTCTTGTCCTCTTTCCATCATGTAAGAATTACAACAAGAAGATGGCATGGCAGTTTGTAACCTAGAAGAGGGTCCTCACCAGAACCAATCATGCTAGCACCCTGATCTCAGACTTACAGCTTATAGGCCGCTTGCAAATATATTTCTGTTGTTCATAAACTACCCAGTCCATGATATCTTTTTATAGCAGCTTGAATGAACTAAAACACCCTTGGTTTTTATTTTGCCATTCCAGTCACCCACCTAAAGACAGAGTTCTCCGATTTCTTGGCGTTTCCTCATCTTGAATCTAAATTCCTGCAGAAGGGCCACTGTTTGGTTGGACATCCTCTGTTAACAGTCTGACTGAGAGGGGGCAGAACGTCAGCGACAAATGACAGAAAATGGAGAGGGAAGGGTGAGCAGCAACTGATAAGATCTGCCATTAAGGGGAGCTCTTGGAGTTAGGCCAAAGGTCACCTGGTAAGGGAGCACTGTGGTTGGTCACCACAGGTAATAAGAAGAAGCAAACGTAAGCATGACTCATTCCTTATGCTGTGCAATTCCAGAACAAGTGTCTTAGTCCATATCTGTGTTACTATAAAGGAATACCTGAGGCTGGTAATTTATAAAGAAAGGAGGCTTATTTGCCTTATGGTTCTACAGCCTATACAAGAAGAATAGTGCCAGCATCTACTTCTGGTGAGGTCATCAACCTGCTTGCACTCATAGTGGGAGGTGAACAGGAGCCAGCATGCACAGAGATCACATGGTGGGGGAGGAAGCAAGAGAGAGGAGAGGGAGGTACTCTGCCCTTTATAACAAGCAGCTCTCATAGGAACCCAGAGTGAGAACTTACTCACCCCCTTCAAGGGAGGTCATTAATCTATTCATGAGGGATTTGCCGCCATGATCCAAACAACTCCCATGAAGCCCTACCTTCAAATTTGGGGACCAAATTTCAAATGATATTTGGAAGGGACAAACGTCCAAACTATAGCAACAAGATACATACTGTGGCATCAAAGGTACCAATACAGGAAAAGTTAGGAAAATAAGAGTGCTCCCTGGAACACCCAGGACAAAGCTGAAGACTCTGTGCTCTCCTCCCTAGCAGTGTTTGGAATCTTGAACACATCTACTTGGAGCATGGATATTTCAATTACGGTAATATTGTATGATTTAGGATACCTTGATGTTCTCTGACAAATTGCCCCTCTGCCCTCTGGCAGACATTATATTTCTTCAGCTTAAATCTTTATTCTCAGATTTAAATTCACTAGACAGCAAGTACTTTATACAAGTATAAAACCATGCATATAGCTACATAACTTGCTTTCACAAATTAAAGTCTCTGGGTCTCACCTCTTGATTCAGTAGGTGAGCATGAGTTGAGGTGCAGAAATCCAGCTGAATCTAATGCAAGTGGTCCAAGGACTACAGTGTAAGAAATATGGCTTTATATCCTTTAGTGTGAATGCAAGTACCAAGGGCAAGTCTACTTAAGAAAGTCCTCTTAAGTTATGTAGTTCTGGAGAGTGAGATATAGAAGGGAGGGGGTGGGGTGAGAAGGGGGAAATAGCATAAAAAGAGGTTGAGTTGCCAGGTATAGTTCATACAGCTAAATCCCAACACAGATTTTCCCAGATGAGTCAGGAAGGGTAGGATATAACGTCCAGAGAAGTGTTCTATTATAAGTGGATTTGATAACCGGGAGTTGAATGAAGACCTGTCTTTATTAATTATTCAATATTTGATATCCTCAGTCACCTCTGCTATGAATTTGAATTAAGAGAGGGGCAGAAGCTCCACCATAGCCCTTTGTCTTATGCCCAGCCCCAAGGAATGCTTTCAAGCAAAAACTGAAAGGGAAAAAAAAAAAAAACTCAGAGAGGAGATGGAGACCAGCTGGGATTTATTTCGGTGTGTCAGCTTGACACAAACATGGGTGAAGGCCAGATATGGATTGGTGACTCATCCACATTTAGATGCAGCCTGTGTAAAATGTTTTCATTTCCGCATCATGGAAGCAAATCTGAAAGCTTTCACTCAAACCGTGGAATTTAATTTCTTGCAACAAAAAATGACCTACCTCCTAGAACAGCTTTTAAAAGTCCCTCTTTGACTTCTGCTTAGTTTCCAAATCTTACTTAATTACGTTTTGTCTAATTTCAACATAGAAACAACCAAAATCATGATCATTTTGCCTCGAGGTAATCCTCTGCTTCTGCATGCATTGTTTTTAAATAAGTATGAATTGAAGTTTGGCTAATCATTAGTACCACATAATCCTTTCAAAAGAGACTTTAGATACTGCATATTCTTTTGAAAGGCACTGAAATTACAGTCAAAATGCCTGCATTGTGGGGGTCAAAAGAGGTCAGGAGAATCTGTTAGCCTGTGTCTGTGGCCATTCACTCCTTGAATATTCATTTTGAAGAGAAGTATTACCATTTTTGGCAAGCTTTCAGAAAAAGCAAGAATTCTAATATTAAGACTTTATCCTCTGCCTTCAGACTTTTTTGTCCAACATGGCTTTTTAATGTTCATGATAAAACCAGTCAAAAAAATTCTCCCTGACTGCAGCTGTAATGTGGACATTCCTGCGCATCTTACCATACATACCAAAGGAGGTCATCATAATGCACAGACATGAAGATCCAGGGATTCCTGATCATCCTCACAGCATCTGGATGACAGGAGATGTGAATTTTGGTGGCAGGTAGTTCAAAATTATTTACTGAGTAATTACTATGTGCCAGTCTTGAGATATACCTGTGAGACCAAAATCCACCCCATGACTTCTAGTAAGTCATATCCCTTTTTAATCCCCAGCTTTCCCATTAAGAAAGATGGAGAGAATTGAACTGGATCTCATATAAGGTGTAGCTTAGCTCTGTAATTCAGTAGATATAACGAGCTTGCAATCCTTGTGAACTGTCAGCAAGGGCATGTTAGTGGGTACTGGTAATAAGAACATTTAACGAATGAAGGACTTCAAAGGGTCTTCAGCATTTTTATCATTCTCTACAATTACAGATGATTATCTTTTTAATCCAGTTAATTAAAAAGGACACCCAGCCAATCCTAGTGACAAATGTTGTTTTATTTTCTCACATTGTTTTGTCAGGAATAAATGAAAAAATTAATGTCATTAAAAAAAAAAAAGTTTCCCTGGAGGACAGAGAAAAAATTCTTTTGCAAGTAAGCACAGGATCCCTAATGTCCCCAAACTTGGCAGTGATGAGGGATAGTCCCTGGGAAAATAAAGTCCTGTTTTGTTTTTATTTATTTATTTAGATACAGACTTTCACTATCACCCAGGCTGGAGTGCAGTGGTGCAATGATAGCGCACTGCAGCCTCAGTCTCCTCAAACAACCCTTCTTTCTACCTCAGCCTCTTGAGTAGCTGAGACTACAGCCCACCCTACCTGGCTAAAAAAATTTTTTTGTTTGTTTGTTTACATAGAGAGAAAATCTCACTCTATGTCCCAGCATGGTTTAGAACTTCCGGGCTCAAGTGATCCTCCTGCCTTGGTCTGCCAAAGTGCTGAGATTATGAGTGTGAGCTGCCATGTCTGGACCAAAAATATCATTTTAATTTTTTGAGGAGATCAAAATGCTGAAATCTTAAGCTTACATTATCAATCAACAATATGATTTTAGCCCCCCCAAATTAAAAAAGTAATCAAGACAGGCTTTAAGACTTTGATGGCAATTTTAAAAGGAAAGGACAGAATCATATAGTGTTTTTACCAATCTTCAATATTAAGGGAAAAAATATCTTCAGGAATCTCATTGATTGATTATAGAAAATTTTTATTTTACACTAAATTATGTTTTAATTATTTTCAAAGTTGCTTCTAGTTTATTTAAATACAAACAAGCTATAATGGATGAAAGGATAGATGACTGATTGATTGATAGACTGATAGATAAGTAGAAATTTAGGTAAAATCCTGGAAAGAAATATTTATTTATAAATGTGAAAATGAAAAATATCCCTTTGGATTTCTGGCCATAGTATAAAACTAAAACTACTTTCTAAATAGTCATTATATTTTCCCTCAAGTTTAAAGAATGTTTGTTTCTAGAAGTAGTATAAATTAAATTAAACTTTTTAAAAATTGAGGAAGCAAAATGTAGATAAAATTGCTCTCTGGAGAAATCTGACCTATGAAGTATTAGGAAACAATTGTTCCTACATTCTCCATTTTCCTCGATTCTCCAAACCTACTTGCTCCTGTCTCTTCTTACCTTGTCAGATTACTTTGCTCATTCTTCATAAAATGGATAGAAATCACAGATGGGAGCTCCCTTAAATTCCCTCCACCACATCTACAAAGCTGCATCCACCCTCTACTCCATCTCTTCTTGTGCCTTTGAAGTTTCTCTCCTCCCACCGAAGGCCAGTGCTCTCTATCACCCTCTCAGGGACCTCACTCAGCTATTATTCCTTCTATCTCCCACTGCCAACTCTTGAATCCTTCCAGTTAGATATCAAATATGCTTTCCATCTCTCATGTTAAAAATGCTTTCCTTGAATCCTATAACCGCCTCCAGCTATCTCTTAATATCGTGGCTCTATTTCAGCATGAATCATACCTCAAAGAATTTCTGTGTAATATGGTTCGGCTGTGTCCCCACCCAAATCTCATCTTGAATTGCAGTTCCCATAATCCCCTGTGTTGTGGGAGGTACCAAGTGGAGATAATTGAATCATGGGGGTAGTATCCCCAATCCTGTTCTCATGATAGTGAGTGAGTTCTCATGAGATCTGATGGTTTTATAAGGGGCTCCCCACTTCGCTTGGCTCTCATTCTTCTCCTTTCTGCTGCCAAGTGAAGAAGGACGTGTTTGCTTCTCCTTCTGTCATAACTGTAAGTTTCCTGAGGCCTCCCCAGCCCTGCAGAACTGTGAGTCAATTAAACCTCTTTCCTTGATAAATTAACCAGTCTTGAGTATTTCTTCATAACAGCATGAGAACGGACTAATACACCATGTATCCTTGTCTCCACTTCCTACCAATCATATTCACTTATTTTGAACTTGTTAAGACTGTTTTGTTGTAACTATCAATAACTTTCACAGTACCAAAGAGAATGGGCTCTGGATAGTCTCCATCTTGTTAATACAGTTGACCACAGCATTCTTGAGAAATTTGTTCTTTTTTAACCTGTCATTACACACTCTCCTGATTTCCTCTTACCTCTGGCCATGCCTATCTCAGGACTCTGTGCTCAGGCCTAGGATGTTCTCATTCTAGTCCTGTTCTCATTCTGTGCTTCCTCTGTCTACACTCTCTCATAATTAAGCTCATTTCTCTCACTCACCACAAGCCACTTATGCACCTCATCTCTGATGGTTAACCTTTATAATTACATACACTTCCTATCTTAATATCTCCACTCAGATGTCTCTAAAGCTTCTCAAATCAATTATGTTCAAAACTAAGCCCTCTTAAAATTATTCTTCCACATTAGCATTTTCCACATTAGAAGCTGATGCCATTATCTGTCTCCTCATATCAGAACCACATGGAAGGACTCTTGATATGCCCCATTCATCTCCCAAGTCAGTCATCTCTCACCAAGTGAAAATGTTGATTCTATCTACCTCCAAAATATATCTAAAATCTATCAGCTTCTCTTCCTCTCTATTCCCACCACCTGAGTATAAGCCATCATATTCTCTTCCTGATGTGTCAGCTCAGTTCCTACTAATTAGTCTTTTCTCCTCTCCATTCAGTCTGTTCTCACAGCTATCACCTTCATGTTTTAAAATATATCACTACAAAATGCTTCTGCTTAAAGTGTACATCAGAAGCTTCATTTGCTCATAAAAGTCTGAAATCTTCAGCAGTCATAGACTCTATGTATCTGGCCCCTGGCTGCCTCTGCGGCTTTGCTGAATGCCCAGCTCTCCTCATTCTATTTACTGCAGCCAGCTTGAGCCTCTTTTAATTCCTTTTTGCCCACGATCTCCTCATGCATTATTCCCTCTGCCTGGAATCCATCCCTCACCAGTTCACCTCTATCCATCTTTCAGGCTGCCTCAGCTAAACAGTCACTCCCTCATGGGAGCCTTCTTTGATCTTCCTCCACAAGTTTGGATCCCATTTATGTGCTTTTAGAATATCTCATGCTTATTATTGTCTTATTCTAGCACCACATATTGCCAGGAACATAATAGGCACTCTAGCATATTTATTAAATAAAGAAAATTTTTCAAAAATGATTTTCTAAAAGGTCAACATTTAAAAGACATAAGGACATAAACATTGAATAAGAAGGTCTTGGGCTCCTAATTGAGATTTTAATCAATGCTTAATCCACAAGTGATTTCCACAGTTGGTGTCCTCCATGTACATTTCTGTAAAATTTGTCACTGGCAGAAGCTAGAACATCCCAGAAACAATGTGGCTAAGTTAGTTCAATTGTTGCTTATATCACATAAATAGTTTGACCATGAAACACTTTTGGAGCAATGCTAGCAGCCTAGAAAGGATTGGCCCACCAAAGCCAAGCAGCTGGCAGCCCAGGCTTGGAATCTGGCACTGCTTGTGATCTTTAATGTGAGGTTAATAAATGAAATCTATGAAACCTCCTGTACCACTTGTAGAATGTATTTGAAAAAGAAACACTGATTATATATTGTTTTCTTCATGGGAGCCCAAGTGTGTATTTGTATGTATTTGTGTGTTGGGGAGAAGGATGTTGATCTCTCATTTTAGTAATATTTGTGCAGCTCTTGAATAAGTCCTTTGTTTATGAGCCTTATAAATGTAGTAATTTATGATAGTTTTGTCTTCATGATGCCTACCAGAATATAAAAACTCAAATTGTTTACCCATTTCTAGGACATGTGAATTCAGCCTATGTTTTGATACTGATCTTATTCCTAGTTTCATCTTTTTTCCTACTATTATTTTCATTTGGCTCACTTAACTTGCTTATTGTAAACTTATTTATTATTATTCATGTGCATACTATATGTATTGTATATATCTTTTTTACATTCACAATCCAAAATTATTTTTAAATGTAAGTATGATTAATGAGATTGCAAAAGATCAAGAATATAGATTTTGTATGTTGAAGATAAGCCAGCAATAAAATAAAGTAAAATTAAAGTCTCAAGGGACAACAGAATGAAATAATCAATAGGATTTATCTTGGTAGAGCCATAGGAAATAAAGAAGTGATATCAGAGATGAAAAATACTAAAGACTTTTAAATTTTTAAATGTAAACAAAATAAGCAAAGGGTCTTTCACCTCTCAAATTGGCAATGGTGTTTTTAAATTCTAAGACCTAATACTTAAGAGGCAGAGAAACACTCTCATATACTGGTCACAAGAGAGTGAGGTAACGCAGAAATCACATGGAACAATTTCTAAAGCAAATCGATAACCTTAAAAAAACTCACGCTTTTTTACCTAGAAATTTCCTTTCTGAGAATTTATTCTGAAGTAATATGCATAAAGGTTTACAAAGATTTAGTTTTAAGAATAGTCATTAAATAATTTTTTATGATATTAAAAATATATAAAACATCCTAGATATCCAAGGAATTAACAAGGCATCATATCTAAATACTATGGAATACTAAATAACCATGAAAATTATTATTATAACATAATAACATCAAAGAATGAAAATAATTAGATATTAAGTGAAAATCAAGTTACAAAATAACAGATGCTAGCCCCTTTATGTTAAACATATTACTAAATATACATTTCAGATACATTTATATATATATATGTTTGTGTATATATACACACATATGTGTATTAAAATTATCTCTGGATTGTGGTATAAGATTTTTATTTTTCACTGTCTGTATCAATACTAAAGATAAACATTTTTAAGCAGTTGAAGAAGCTATAACATAAGATTACTGAAATTGAATATGTTCAAGGATAACTTATCCCACAGCCATTTCATAGAACTCCTAGACACTATTTTAGGCATTGTCCTCTTCTCAGGAACCTATATCCTAAGGTAAGTCCATTACATGTAACATCTAATATAGTATACATTCTTTTCAATATTAAATATTCTCTTAATCAAAATCAACCTCAGGTGAATTAGTAACAAATTAAAATGTTTTGGGGTGCAATGTGGGGCCACACAGATGAGAACAGTAGAGCTGTCTGGGTAGCAGCTAAAGCCAACCTAGCTAGCCTCTCCTACTGCCTCAGTGAAGATGTGTCCAGCCTTAGGGGGCACCATGTCCAGGCCTCTGAGCCCCATCTGGCCAGCCCTGAGTGGAAGTCAGGGTACCCCTTCTGTAGCCTGGGGCATACTTCCCATCCCCAGGCTGAACACATTTTTCTGACTTCCGTCTCCCCAGTTGGGTCTTCTCATTGATAGTGTTAAAAACTAGAACCAGATCAGGGAGAGATCAGATCTAAATCTCAGGAGCCCCTGCCCACCTCCCACCTCACCTGTGGGTATGCTGCTGCCCCCCTGAATGAGCTTGGACAGATCCAGCTATCAGTAGAGTGGTCATTTGCATCCAAAATGTGTGGCCTGGGGTGGAGGCAGCCTGAAGGAGTTGGGGGCTTCATCAAGAGCCACTCCCATTACGGTTCAGCACAACTCTCCCACCCTTCAATGCTTCCCTGTACCCCACCCCACCCTGCTCAACATGTTCACACAATTCTCTATGTTCCAAGGATCTTTCCCAGTGAGCCTATCCCATGAAAAGATGGCCACACACCACATTCTGCTTTATGCCTCCTTCAAAGTGGGGAAACTTGAGCTTCTGGAGTGCTATGCTATGGGTCCATATCAGTCAGAGCCCAGTCAAGAGACAAAAGCCACTTAGTTATTTAACAAAGAGAGTTTAATAGGTAACTATAGGAATCAACTTCCACCCATAGGGAAAAATTGCTCTCCCTAGGGAGAACAACAGGAAGAAGTGGGAATTATTAAAACTTGGAACCTTGAAGCTGAGGTCCTGTGGGGCTGGGACTCAGATCTCTGAAAGATAAGTGTTTCTTGTAGATGATTGTGTCTCTGAAGTGGACACAGTGAGGCTGGTTCTATAAACTGATGGAGAAATTGCAAAGTGGAATCAACTGCTATTACAGAAATGAGCTGCTGCTGCAGGGGTGAAGAAGCATTGCTAAATGATACTCAAAGAAACAGGAATCAGATAGGAGAGCACAAGTCCTTCTTTGGGCTTTGAAGTCTCCCTTCAGTGCCTCTTATTGGCAGATCCTAATAGAGAACTGGTGGAAAAGTGGCAATATAGTTGTCACATCATAAAGGAGAGTAGAAAAGACTGGGTTGGGAGCGGAGAGAAAATATCCCAATAAGTGGCACAGAGTCTGAGCAGCCCTTGGCTTCCTCTGAACTTCTTATCCACAGAGATTGCTAGCAGGATATACCTGGGAGAGGCTGAAACCAAGGGCTCAATAAAGCTTTCGGCTCATGGTTATTGCTCTGTGGCTTCCTAACTCTGGTAAGGCTGGGAATCTTACTTGTTTCCAAGCTGTCTTCCAGAATTGTAACCCTTCTTCTCTAGAAAAAGCTGGCAAAATGCTTACATTTTCAAAGCTCTTACTGGAGAGCTACATCTGGAAATCAACCAGTGAGACTACTAAATTCTTGTGATCCAGTCCTATCTCAAGCACCAGTGAGGGGATTTTGCTAAGCCTGGGATAAGTCATAATTAATTGAGCCAACATTAAGCTGGAATGCAAGGACATCAGGAATGTGACTCTATTAGTGCACCCATTGCGAAGTTGTCTCTATTGCCAAGCCTATGGGTATTCCTCCATAACCTTTGAGGGATCTTTTGTGGCCTATCCCTGCCCATCTCTAAGAAAATATTTACCTGGGGAAGGTGTTTATGTGGGATTTTTTTCATCCTTTTTTTTTTCAAGAAAAAAGAGCTAGATACAGAGAATGCTCTAATGTGTGACTGATATCAATAAAAGACATGAAGTTTCAAGAAATTGATGTGACAAAGATTGCTTCAAATCCTCATGCTCTAGTGCATCAGTTTTCTGGAGCTCCACTGAGAAGACTTCAGAAAGTGTATATTTTCTACTGCAAAAACAAGTCTATGGGTCTTCGCTAACAACAAAGCTAAACAAAGCTTGTTGAACCAGCTTTCCAGCCACTAGGGCGGTGTTCACTACAGCCATTGCATAGCTCTGTGCTGGCACTAGATAGACTGGCATGCCTACATTTCTTTTGTCTTCTCTTTCAGAAAAAATCAGATGCCTTCAGATGTTATATGTGATGTTTTATCAACTGATAGAAGAACAACTCATGTGCCTGTGACACTATCATCAAGTCCTGGCCACTGTGAAACTCTTGGAATGCCTTTACACCCCAAACTCCCCAAACTGATGTTTATGTTTGTGCCTTTTTGAGTGAGGATAGGATAGAGAGACAGCATATTTTAAAAGTATCTTTCCACTGAAAAACCTTTTGTTTTTCACCCTTGTTAATGTCTTGTTCCTGTAAAATCAAGTATAACAATACTTCCCACTCTTTGTAAATAAGCATTTGACTACATGCATTTTAAGAAGACAATATTAAAAATAAAAAAATTGACTATGGTGACTGTTATTAGTGCTTGAATTTATTTGGAAAAGATAGACTATTTGCTCTAACTTTTTTGCTAACTTCCTGCATTGCATTTAGGAATGAAAAATATGTTATGTTTCTAAATGCAATAATATCATAGATAATCCAGTATGAAAGTGTCCAATTACCGATTTTTCTAGTTTATCAACATAGTCTGTTTTTAAAAGGCTTAGTTTTTAGACCTCAGTGGATTGAATTATTCTATTTTTAAATGACAGATTAGAGCTCTTAATTTTATTATTCTCAAAACTCCATTACAGAGAGAGCAGTTTTTAAAAAGCACTTGCATAGAGAAAGTTCCTTTCTTATTATGGCCTAGAAAAGGATGGCTTTTTCTATTTTTTATTTTTTGGTTTTACCACCCATATCAATGAAACTTTACTTGTGGATGGTGTCTCCCAAAAAGGTACCATTGCTAGGCATTTTTACAACCCCCAAACACACACACGATCAGACACGTACCTACACAGGCACCCACATACACACAGGGCAAGTTCTTTTCCACTACTGTAAACCTTTAACTAGAAGAAATTTGAGCAGGGGGTGAAGCATAAAGAAAATGAGAGCTAGAGGGGAAGGCACAGCTTCCTAACTGCCTGAGGCGAAGATGGGTGAATGAATGCCTAGAGTTCTGACTGGTACAGGCTCGGGATATTTGAGGCAGGAATGGATAGAAAGCGAGGCATAAAACCTCTATAGAAGTTTTAATATTTATATTGTCAATTCCATCAAGCCTCCTACATCTTTTCAGAAGGTGTCTATTTCTTGACTCAAAGTCGGAGAATATCATATGCCAAGCCTTTAAAGGTATTCCTCATTACTGTTCCATCTACCTTATAATTAGTGACAATTCCTCCCAGATTCTGGCATCAGGCTGTCGGTCTTTGTTCCCATGTTGCTATGAGTTTTTGCCTCTTCCTGTTACTTCAGGCATATTTTAATGAGAATTTAAGAACAGCCATATCAGTGGATTCCATCAAATTCTATTTTGGATTAGTAATTTAATGGAAAACAATCCCAATCAAGAGAGCATTGATCCCCTTTTAAATTCCAGTTAACACATAATTATAAATAACAAAACAAGAAATAAGAAAGAGGAGATAAGCAAAATGTTACTAAGAGGATTTAAATGAAGAGATGAACCATGCTCCTTGATAAGAAAACTTTATATTGTTAAAAGTCTATTTTCCCCCAAATATTTGATAAATTGTTTCCAATCAAATTTTTGAGAATTATCTTTTTGGGACTCGACACAATGAGTCTAAAGTCATCTAGACATGTGATTCAAAATAATTTTTTTCAAAAAGAAAAATAGCTAAGTGAAATTTACACAAAGAATATTAAGAGTTATATGGTTACACAATTCTTAAAGTATACTAAAGGTAGATTAATAGGCAGAACAATGTCTTACAACATAGAGTTCAGACTAACTGTACTGACCAGACCCAGTGATCACAGGTCAGCTCAGGTCACCACAGGTCTGCTCAGCAGATCAGAGCAGAAAAGAAAAAGAACAGGTTCCTTGAGAGGGTGTCAGCTGGAACATGGAGAATGGATACACATATGAAGATTATCAGAGCACTGCAGAATGGCTTCTGTTTCACACCAAGCACTGAACACAAGTGACAGTGATCTGTGGGTCTGAATTAGGAGATCTGACTGACAAATTAATTCAGGCCCAAATCTTTAACAACAGTGAGATGCTCAACTTTTTCCAAAGTACAGTGCCAGGTCATGCTGTTTGACTGGTGTTTGGGTTCCTGAATGGCACAGTGTGTGTGATGATGCAAGGAAGGTTCTACTTGTATGATGGGTACCTGCTCTGGAACATGATATTTTTGCATGAGGTTTTCCAGCTTCTGGGTGGAAACATCTTGGTGGCCACCGATGCAGCTGGAGGGCTCAACCCCAAGTCTGAGGTTGGAAGGATCATGCTTCTCTGTGATCACATCAAGCTACTTGGTTTCTGTGATCAGAACTCTCCCAAAGGGCCCAATGATGAAAGGTTTGGAGTTCATTTTCCTGCCACGTCTGATGCCTACAACTGGACAATGAAGCAAAAGGCGCTCAATTCTTAGAACCAAATGGGGAAGCAGCAAGAGGTACAGAAAGACACCTATGTGATGGCAGTAAACTGCAACTTTGAGACTGGCAGGGACTCATCTGATGCAGAAGCTGGGGATGGATGCTGTTTGGCGTGAGCACAGCATCAGAGTTAGAGTTGCATGGCACTGTGGACTTGGAGTCTTTGCTTCTCACTCATCACTAACAAAGTCATCATGGATTATGAAAGCCTGAAGAAGGCCAATCATGAGTAAGTATGAGAGGCTGTGAAACAAGCTGCCCAGAAATTGGAACAATTTGTCTCCATTCTTAAGGCTAGCATTCCACTACCTGACAATGCCAATTGATCAGCCCTGGAGTGGTGTGATGTCTCCCACATTGGATCCAATTAGCTGCTAATTACTTTTGCCCCTTGCTGGAATCACATGCCTCTGCTCTTAAGTGGTAGCAGAACAAAGAGGAATATTCCTCTTCTTCACCTTCCCCACTTTCTCCTACCAGACCCTCCTGCTTTTGCTTAGTTGTCAATTTCTCTTTTGCTTAGTTGTCTTATCAAACCAGTTTCTATCCCTGTTTTTTTTCAAGAGCAGAAGCCCATGGCTACCACACATCCATGGATATGCCCAGGATTTGACTTGGGCTTTCAAACTTTGCAGAGTAGCTGATACTAGCTTTTTGAGATAACACTCTCACATTCCTGGGGGCTCAGTTCTGCCTCACCTACCGCACTAGAGACCAAACAAAGACTAACTCAATACTCTCTGGACTTAATTAAACCATAATGTTTTGAGAATAAAGAGAAATATGAAATTAAAACAGAACATAGAGTTCAGAAAGAATTTATAATTTGATAAATATAAAACTTCAATCCAATAGAAAAAGTGTTGGCTTATTTCAAAATGTGGGAACTACAGAAAATTGTGAACCACCAGAAATAAAATAATAATATATTTTGTCATTAAGCCATACACTAACAGAAATTCAAAATTAATTGCAAGTTTAATGGATTACGGAAAAAAATAAAAGTGCTAAAATAAAACATATGTAAATATTTATATAGTTTTCAAGTGGAAAAGCCCTTTTTAAACATACAAACAAAATCACATTCAGTGAAAAACTTAATTATACAGAAATAACATTGTTGTGCAGCATGAAACACCATGAACAAATAAAGAATAAATAAAAGAGAAAACAAAGGGAATTTTTATTAAAAATATTACAGAATAATTCTCCAGGTGGCCTTGGACTGGCCCAATTCCTACCCTTTTCTCAGTTGTAATTCTCAAGAACAACTGCAGAATACTTTGGGAATGTAACATTCCGAGACAAGGAGGAAGTGACCAGATCTGCCTTGGCTCTTTTCCTGCCCCTCTTAGAACAGGATATTCTATAGCACTTTAGCCCAGAATGTTATAGTGCCCCTGGGGTATAAAACCCAGGATGGACTGCTTTCTGGAGCTCCTCAGTGGCAGTACAATGAGGGCATGTGCAAACAAGATTCTATTTGCCCTGTGCAACTTTCTTGAGCCTTGGGCAAACAACTTGCTGTGAATCACAGACTTCTACTGTCCCTCTCTGCCTATTTGTAAGTAGTCAGGTTGCTTAACTTAACTTGTTATATGCGAGTGTTCTGTCACATTGGACTTGTGCAAATGATAGAAACTGTAACCTAAAATGCAGTGGGCTGAGTATTTAGACTCCCATTCCTTGTGGTTGGCATAGTGATGTCCTTTGCTATTCTCCATGCAGTGGGAGTCCACCCCTAGGATTAGCAACCAGTGTACAATGAGCCAGCTTCACACATATGACAAACAAATGGCTCACAACGTTTTTGATGACAGATCACACAAAAAGTTCATTAAAAATGAATATTCTATTGCCAAAAAGGGTAAAAGACATAAATTTAAACTTTATTATATAATAAATAAAATGTGTCAAAAATTAGAGAAAAGCTATTCGATTCCAATTATGAGAGAAACCGTGACAATTTAAAAAAATAAAATGTCATGTTTTAAATAAAATATAAGAACAAAGTAATACTAATTCAGAATGCTTGTGAAAACAGGGATTTCCTTAGTCTTGCTATAGATTATAAACTGATAATATAATTGGAGTTAAAATATATGTTAAAATAATTTAAACTAGGCATATTCTTTCAGTTTCTTTTTTATGATGTGTTTCAAAGAAATTATGGTAAGAATATTTACAAATAAGGATGTTCTGCATTGCAAATGTTATAAAGATTAAAAAATATATAGTTTGAAAGTTCAACAATAAAAACAGTGTTTAAACAAGTATGGCACACTTAATCTGTGGTTCTGAAACGAGCATGTTTAAGAACTACACGGGAAGGCATGCTAAAATGCAAACCATAACCACATGGCATTCCCTTTGTTTCAGTCAAGACTCAGATTCCAATTTACCTATATCTATATTGGCATTTTTAGCAAAAAAAAATTTAGTAAACATAGGTAAGTGTGTGTAGCCTTCGTTTTAAGAATTAGTGATATATTTCAGGAGTAGTATTTAATCATTAAATTCGTGTTGCAGGTGAATGCTTATTGATCATAAATGATGCTAATAGATTTTCAACTTTTAGCAAGACGGTAGACTGAGCTGACATTAATTATCTTCTAATTCAAATAGCAGTAGTTCACATGCTAAGTAAAGTATAATACACAAAGAAAATAAGTTTATAATGAATTTCAAAGTTAAAAAGTAAACTCACTAGACACAAAAAACCCACTAGAGTTCAAAGCCAATATAGCAAGCACAAGGTGAACGATACCCTGTCCCTGGGTTTTCTGATGCCAGGTAGACCTTGGGCATGAAGGGACGATGCTCTCACACCCACACAGATGGTACAGGGGAGACGTGGTCTTATTAACACTTAGGGCAGGCATGAGAACTAAGATCTTACCTTAAGTCTGGACTCTCAAAGGCATGTTTCTTTTATATAAATGGTGTTAGAAAAAGTTCATCCTTAGCCAAAAAAGTAGTAAGAAAACTGCCTTAGCTCAGAAGTTGGGTAGAGAAGGACAGTGGGGTATTTCTCATGAGAAATCGAAATTCTAAGCCTAGTCAAGCGTGAGCTCAGGCTTGGAAATTATACCATGGGAATGCCATAAATCCCATGACAGGATGTTAATGTTAAAAACTGGCCTAAAGATGAGTAAGATGCCTTAACCTAAGCAGAAACCAAAGCAAAACTGCTCTGGAGGGATACTTCCAAAACTCTGGGTGAAAAGTACTACTCTGGCTAAACAGGAAACAAAAACAACTGAATTTACAATAAAAAACACAAACCACACAAATAAATGATCCATTATGAAAGTGTAACATGACACCAATACAAAAAAAAGAATTAGCACACCTAGAATAGATAATATGAAAATCTAGACAATCAATGATATGATATATTTCCATAATTTAATGGATTAAAAAATAGAAAACACCAAAAAGTAATAGGTCATTATGAAACAAGAACAGACATTTGGAAAGAGACAAACAACCTCCCAAAATAAATACTATCATTAATCATAAACCCTCAGTGGACAGTTTAGACCATGCATTAGACACAATTAGTAATGTAGTGTTCAGAAAATAAATCTAAAGAGTTTACCAGGAAGCACTACAAATTGATAATGAAATGAGAAGTAGGAATGTAAGTTTGAGAGATATAGAATTTAAAACAAATATTTAACATATATTTGATATTATTATCATCATCAGATGAGAACAGAAAGCAAGTGAAAGAAGGAATGTTTAGAAGATAATGCTAGAAGTCTCTGGAATTTATAAAAGACACCAGGCCTCCTAAGCTATCTGAAGCTCCTAAGCTTCTATCTAAGCTCCTACGCTACCCTGAGCAGGGTAAATAAACAAAACCAATATCTAGATACATCATACCAAAATTTCTGAATATGAAAACCAAAGATAACACCTCCTAAACAATTACAGAAAGACTCAGATTTCCTACAGAGGAGGAATAATGAGACTGAAGGCATACTTCTCTTAAACATCAAGAGGACAAAGGAATACGGAATAATATCTTTAAAGTGTTGAAGAAAAATCAGCTGTCAACCTAGGCAGTTTAAAGAACTTGAAGGAAAAAGAAAAATGTCATTTTCAGACAGCCCAAGTTTGCCAGGCAGGATGAAAGGAATTCAACAAGAAATATTTTAATAAGAAGATGGGACTTAGAAACAAAGTATGAAACAGAAGAAGAAAATATGAGCAAAGTGATTTTTGTTCAATCTAAGTAAGTATTAACTTTAAAACAATACTTCTTTCAGCTTTATTGAGGTACATTTGACAAATAAAAACTGTATATAATTAAGGTGCACAATGTGATGTTTTGATACATGTATACATTGTAAAATGGTTTCTACAGTCAAGCTAATTAACCTATCCATTACTTCACAACTGCCTTTGTAAGTATGTGTGAGTATGGTGAGAATACTTATGATCAACTCTCTTAGCAAATTTTAAACATACGTTATTTTTAATGTACATTAGGATTACAGAACTTATTCACCTTATAACTGCAAGTTTGTACTCACTGGCCAACATCTCCCATTTGCCCCACGCCCCAACCCCTGGTAACCACCCTTCTACTTTCTATTTCTGTAAGTTCAACTTTTAAAAATATTTCATATATAAGTGAAATCATGTAGTATTTGTCTTTCTATGTTGGATTTATTTGGCTTAGCATAATGTCCTCCAGATTCACAAATGTCACAAATACAGGACTTCATTCTTTCATTCTTTTTAAAGTACAATAATATTCTTGTGTGTGTGTGTGTGTGTGTGTGTGTGTGTGTGTGTGTGTTCATATATGCCACATTTTATTTTCTTTAGTCCCTCGTTGATGGACTCGTAGATCATCTTCATATTTTGGCAACTGTGAATAATGCTGTAATGAACATGACAGCAAGTGCAGTATCTCTTTGGCATATTGATTTCATTTCCTTTTGGAATTCAGTAAGTTCTCACTTAATATTGTTGATAGGTTCTTGGAAACAGTGACTTTAAGCAAATTGAGGTACAGCAGTTCCTTGAATAATGTTTTGTTCAACATTGTTTCATTATCACGCTGATGAAAAGAAAATATTGGTTTCATTATACTTCTCTTTGCTGAAAGTCAGTTTCCAAGAACCTATCAATGACATTGAGGACTTGCTGTATACCCAGAAGTGAGATTACTAAATCATATGGTAGTTCCATTAATAATTTCTTGAGGAAACTTCATACTCTTTTCCATAATGGCTATGTCAATTTACATTTCCACCAACAAAGTATAAGGGTTCCCTTTGTGCAACATTCTCATTAATACTTGTTACCTTGACTTTTTAATAAAAGCCATCCTAACAAGTATGAAGTGATACTTCACTGTGGTTTTGACTTGCATTTTTCTGTTGGATTACTTAATGGTTAAAGCTGCCAGTGTTCTCGGCAGAAGCAACTGCTGGGGTTTGTGTGGATGAACACTAAAGGGACTTCCTTTGAAAAAGCTGCAGGAAGTCTTGGCTGCCTCAGTGGCTGTTGAGGTCCTCACCAGGATTCTCTGTAGAGCAGGCCACTGAGGACCCTGGTGGCAGCTGCTGTGTGGCTAATATGTTTCAGGTATGCTGATCTCCCCAGTAATCTTTTCTGTGTTGTTATTATTTTCTCTCCACTGTGTTGCTGTAGGTTCTTAATTGTGTACATGAACCCTCCCTAGACTATTTGTGTCTGTGGATGTTAATCGCTGCCTTCTTGTTTTTAGGAAAAATGAAAGCTGATATCTCCTACCCCACCATACTATTGACATCCTGAAAATATTTACAAAATGGGGAAGGTAAATATACAAGTTGACATGAATATATTTAACACTAATCACATTGACCACTGGGGAGGGCAATGTGAATCAAACTTTTTAACGTTCTTTGTGTTGTGCAGAAGAAAGATGTTAGTTAACTTTGAATGCTGTTAGGTCAAAATGTACCTTTTAACTTCTAAAATAATAGAACTATAATGTATAACTTCCAAATAAGCATGGGTAAAGAGAGTATAAAAAAACCTTAACATAAGTAGCCAAGATATAAACACATGAATGGAAAGGATATAAAAAGCTGAGAAAATATAAAACCACTAAACACAAAGTTTCATCTCAGTGTAGGAGAGCTCCAACTCTGTTGATTGTGGAAAAGAAGTTGGGTAGGAAGTGGGGAAAAGACTGTAAAGTCTGCCTGAAGCATTCTCTATCCTGAAATCATGACGTAAATGTGAGAAAAATATTAACATTTGTTTAATCTCAGTGATAAACACATGAATTTCAAACATTTTATTTTCTGGAATATCTTATTTGACAAATCATAAAAACAGAATAAAAGGGAATATATCTCTAAAATATTGGTAATTTCAAAAATATTAATCATAACATTATAATCTCATCATTGAAAATAATGAATTTATATTTATGTGTATTTATGTGTGCATTCTATCAACCATTCTGCAACAGTTATTAAGGACATCCATATCCTAAAGATAAAATTAAGAAACAGTAGCCACTGTCTCCTTTCCTGGATAACAAAATCAAGTAATTTATCTTTACCAGTTCTCTGAAAAAGTTCTACTGGTATTATTTATGAACACCTAGCAAAACAGGCACACAAAAAATACAAAATCAAAATGCATTTAATATAGAAGTATAGTAAACTTCTTCCAGTAAAATGTTTTATGCAGTTATTTCAGGCCTTGAACATACAATCTGTCACTGTCGAGAGTTTTTAAAAATGTCAATCATTAATTTTGCTGTCTGCTCAAGGCCACATGCTTAGTGTGGTGGTTAATTTTATGTATTTACTTGACTGGACCACAGGGTGGCTCAGATTAAATATTACTATGGACGTGTCTGTGAGAGTATTCCAGATGAGATTAACATTTGAATAGGTGAACTCAGTAAAGCAGGTTGATGTCTTCCCAATGAGGGTAGGCATCATCCAATTTGTTGAGGGCCTGAATAGAATAAAAGGTGAAGGAAGGAGAAATTCACCCCTTTTCTCTGTCTTGCTGCTTGAACTGGGATATCTCATCTAATCTCATCTTCTCTTGCCCTTGGACTGAAAGTTACACCATCAGCTCCTCTTGTTCTCAGGCCTTTGGACTCAAGCTGAATTATACCACCAGCTTTCCTTGGTCTATAGCTTGCAGACAACAAATCTTAGGACTTCTCAGCCTCCATAATTTCATGAGCCAATTGGCTCACATGATTATGGAGGCTGAGAAGTCCCATGATATATAGAGATATATAATATCTAGTTAGTTGCAGAATTGAGATTATTATTAACTATATCTCTAATCTCAATTACCTTTCTTTTTATTCTATGTTAATAAATTAAGATAGTTTAATATTACTAAAGACAAAAGCAAGACAATAAAGAGATTAATTTTATTCATGATATTGAACATCTCAGATCCAAAGATCAGAGTATCAGGCACAGTGACTTTTCCTTAGATATTTATGGTGGGGAGTTACAGGTAGAAGGATTCAGAGCTAGGATTGTTTTGCAATCACAAAAAGTCTCAATCAGTTAGCTGAGCAGGAAATGCTTATCTCTGTCTAGCTAGTTTCAGAGGAAAACAGTCCCAATATTAGCTATTCACTCATGAGGCAAAGAACTGGAAGTTAGATAGGGATGAAAGTGAAAGAGTCTGTGTCTGGTCTTGTCAGGAGGATCAGGCAAGAGGAGAAAGGACTTTATTTGGCTTTGCTTGTATAAAGGCATACGTCAAATACACATTTTAGTTACACTGTAGCAAAAAAAGTATAGACAATCTTGGACTTATGATGTTTTGACTTAATGATTTTTCAACTTTATGATGGGTTTATCTGGATGTAACTTCATCATAAATCAAGGAATATTTGGACTTATGATGGTTTGACATAATTTTTCAAGTTTATGATGGATTTGCAGTATATAAAATGCACTTTAACTTATAATGTTTTTGACTTACAATAGGTCTACCGAGACGTAACACCATCATAAGTCAAGAAGCATCTGTATAGCATTATGGCTAAACATGCAGGCTTAAGATCTAAATTTCTTGGGTTAAATTCTCCATTCTATGGATTATATGACCTCTGACAAGTTACTTAACCCCCATAAGCCTCACTATAGCCACCTGTAGAAGCATAATAATCATAATACTTATTGCTTCTTGTGATAGTAAAATAATCAAAGTAAAACACAAAGTATTCAATGAATCTTAAAAATAAATTTAAAAACAAAATTTATATCTCATGATGAGAGAAATATTGAGTGCATAATCAAAGTCTTTCAATGTAAGTAAAGTTGTCATTATATATTTTCATTCCAGGCTATCCTTGTCAGTCAACAAATATATACTAAGCTTTTTATTTATTTATTTATTTAGATTTTTTTGAGTTGGAGTCTTGCTCTTTTGCTCAGGATGGAGTGCAGTGGCAACCTCTGCCTCCCTGGTTCAAGCAATTCTCCTGCCTCAGCCTCCCTAGTAGCTGGGATTACAGACACCACGTCTGGCTAATTGTGTGTGTGTGTGAGTGTGTGTGTGTTTGTGTGTGTGTGTGTGTGTGTGGAGATGGGGTTTCACCATGCTGGACTGGCTGGTCTCAAACTCCTGACCTCTGGTGATCGCCTGCCTTGGCCTCCCAAAGTGCTGGGATTATAGGCATGAGGCCCGTGCCTGGCCAACTAAGCATTTAAAAGTGTCTATGTTTCCTGTCTTCTACTCTTTCTAACATTTTACTATGAAAATATCTAAACCTACAGAAAAATTGAAATAACTGTAAAGTGAACACCCATCTACCCACCCTAGATTCTGCAATTAATATCACTAAATATGATTTATCACATGTCTATTTAACTATCTATCCACCAATGCACATTATTCATTAAGTGCATTTCAAAGTATGTTTCAGACATCAGTTCATTAGACCCTTAAATATTTCCACATGCATATCATTAACTAGACTTTGTTATTTGTTTCCATATCTTTTTCCATCTTCTACTTTTAACATATAATGCTTCTCCTGTTTTTCTGAAAGGTTTATAAATATAGGAGCATCATGAATGTGTGTTTATTTTTCACGTATTTGATAATATTTAAATTTCTTGCTAGCATCAACATTCAATTATATTCCGAAATGACAATAACTTACACATGTAAACCACTGCTGTCTTCCTATCAGCCCTGTCAGAAAGAGAGAGAACATAATTTTTCATCAAAAGATCATCAAGAGAATTGAGTAACACACCTCAAGCAAATATATACCCAAATCCCAGCTTGGTTCTATTCAAATTAGATTAAGTTTTGGTTGTGGTTGATTGAGAACTTTTTCCTTGGGGCATCTTAAAAAAAGTCACATTCTTGAGCTTTTCAGCTGCTGAAGTATAAGATAACACAGTTGTATTGTAATTGGATTTTTTTGCACATAGGTTGAAGAATGCATTTATTTTTAACAATTTAGTGTTACTGAAATTGCTAAATTTTTTTGCTTTTAACACTTTTTTCTTAGTCAAATAATAGATGTTCACTGTGAAACAAATTGAAGATACACATAAGTACCCATAATCCGACTGTCCTGAAAATTAACATTAACATTTTTATATTCTTTCGGACTTGATATATATACACAATAAAATTTATTTTGTCTATTTGCCTATTATCACATCAAATAAAAAATGTCGTGTGGACTGTCATTGAATTTGAAGGATGTTAGAGATGGCCAGACTGAATATACAGCCTATATATATGGCATGCTTAAACTTTACTTCAAGTACCTTAAGAAATATCTGAAAGAAACATGGAATGCTATTTTCAAAGCCTATAAAATAGAAGCACACCAAGCGGCCCTTGAGACTACAGCACAGACAAAGCATGATGTGCACATTAAGATACTATGGACAGAGGAAACTGACCTTGGCTTCATATTTGAGCCTCAAGTAGAAAATCTAAAGTGTAGACAATTGATTTTAAATTGTTTTTCACAATGACTACACTTTATACCCTGTTTCAGTAAGTAGCAGCAGGGACCTACTTGGCTAGCTATATTTGCCAATGTTTTGGAATATTATCTATGAAGCCTAATAATGGGTGTGTGTATGAGTTTTAATTTGCTTATTATAAAATTGTTTTATAAACAAAAATATATATGTAATGGTTTTATGAAAATTATATATACACATATATATACATATATATATTTTTTGAGACAGTGTCTTGCTCTGTTGTCCAGGCTGGAGTGCAGTGGCAAAATCTCAGCTCACTGCAACCTCCTCCTCCTGGGTTCAAGCAATTTTCCTGCCTCAGCCTCCCTAGTAGCTAGCTGGGATTACAGGTACACACCACTATGCTCAGCTACTTTTTTTTTTTCTTTTTTTTCAGTAGAGATAGAATTTTACCACGTTAACCAGGCTGGCCTTGAACTCCTGACCTCAGGCGATCCACCCACCTTGGCTTCCCAAAGTGCTGGGATTACAGGCGTGAGCCATGGGGCCCGGTCTGAAAATTATAGTTGTTAATATATGTTGTAGCTGTATGCCAAAGAAAAATCAAATTAACATTGACAAAATTTACAATATTTTATTCTGTCAAGCAAATAACCTCAAGTCCATGATGTGTTATACAGTGGCTGCAATAGCTCCACCTATCACATCAGGATTCAAGCTAATAGAGAGAAAAAGAAGGGATAAGAGGTCAGTCCTTTTACTAAAAAATAACTCACAAAAGAATTGACTAACTTTCCAGTCAGCAAGATGGCTAACTAGAGATACCTGGCACTCATCTCTCTCACAAAAGAAGTACCAAGGCAATAAATAAACAACCAAAATTCAACTAAAGTGTTTGGGAAATAGTGCTGCAACAAGGGAGTGGTAAGGTCCTTATAGAGCATGGAGGTCTGAGGATGGAAGCATATAGAGGGAAGGAAAGCACCCTGCCTCTGCCAACCCATTTCTCCCATTTGGATCAGCTCAGAGCCAAAAGTAACTTCCCTTTGTGGGAAAAGGTAAGCAGAAGACTGCCACCATCCCCCATTGCCACCGCAGACAGCTGCAGTTCTTACTACAGTCGAATCACAGTCCTCATAATCCCCAAGCCCAGTTTGGGAGGCTGCCTGGAATTTATACAGCTGCATTGCTCAGAATTAGGAGTACAGGATGTGCTCTGTAAATCCTCCCATGACCCAAACTGCTGCAGCACAGCACTATCTTAAAACCAGAACCACAGCTGAAGTGTGCCCTGAGCTGGAGGCCAGTTGCTACTGTGCCTCAGCAGCCTTGGGGCTCCAAGCCTACATGGATGACTGCAATGCCACGACCCTGGTTTTTCAGAGCCAGGGCCCAAGAACGGTCATGATCCTGCAAAACAGGGAAGCCAACGCCATGCCAACCAAAGCACTGGGAAGCTATGTTTTGGCCAAATAAATAGTCTGGCAGACATGCCCCCAATAGACATGCCCCCAAGCTAACCAAGCAGCCATGTGCTCATGCCACTGATGCCATAAACTTCTACAACCTAGGCCATTGAGACACTTGCAAACATCACTAACGTCAATTACAACTAAATAAACTACACACAAAAACAAAGTCAACGCACTCCACCAAACTGACACCCTGGGACCCATCTATAGGAATAAGTATTTCCCAATGAAAGCTACTCCATTATTTGGAAGAGGCAGCTGTTTAACCATATGTGCAGAAATTAATGTAGAGACACAAGAAATATAGAAAGCAAGGAAACATGACCCCTTCAAAAAAAAAGCAATAATTGTTAAGTAAGAGACCACAAAGAAAACAAAATATATAAAATGTCAGAAAAGAAATTCAAAATAATGGTTATAAGAAAACTCACTGAGATACAAAAAATACCGATGGACAATTCAATAATATCAGCTATGATTACACACTGCTCCCTATCCTGGGAGACAGAATGAGACTCCATTTCTTAAAGAAAGAGAGAAATAAATCAATTCAGCAAGAGAATATAACAATTGTAAATATATATGCACCCAATACCCAAATATCTAAAGTAAATATTATTAGAGCTAGAGAAAGAAACACATATCACTATAAAACTATTTGGGGACTTCAATACCCCAATCTCAGCATTGAACTGACTATCTAAACAAAAAAGCAATGAAGAAACATGGGATGTAAACGGTACCACAGGCCAGATTGTCCTAATGGACACTTGCAAAATGTTTCACCCAACTGCTGCAGAATACTCATTCTTTGAATACCACATGGAAAATTATACAGGATTGAAAGTATGTTAAGCCATAAAACAAATCTGAAGTTTTTAAAAATGGAAATTATTTTTGTGTGACAATGAAATAAAACTAGAAATCAATAACAAAATAAACTGTATAAATTCAGAACTGCACAAATACATGAAAATTAAACCACATGCTCCTGAATAAACAATGAGTCATTTAAAATTTTTAATTTAAGAAAAAAATTAAAAATTATTGGAAACAAATGAGAATAGAAACACAACATACCAAAACCTGTAACCAACAACAAAAGCAGTATAGGCACATTTGCAGCAGTAATTACCTACATTAAAAAATATAAAATTTCAACTAAACAAATCAATAATATAATTCAAGAAACTAGAAAATAAGAACAAGCTAAGCCCCTAAAAAATAGAAGGAAATAAATAATAAAGATAAGAGCACAAATAAAATTGAGGCAAATAATTTAAAAGATCAACAAAAAGAAAATTTTGTTTTTTCGAAAGATAAAGGTGACAAACCCACTAGATAATCTACATAAGGAAAAAGGAGAGAAGATCCAATGTGTAAAATCAGCAACAACAAAAAAAGAGACATCACAACTGATACTACAGAAATATAAAGAATCATTACTGACTATAATGAACAACTACTTGCCAACAAGTTGGAAAACCTAAAGAAAACGGATAAATTCCTGGATACATAAACCTATCAAGACTGAACCAAGGAGAAATAGAAAATCTGAACATAGCAATAATGATTGAAGAGATTGAACCACTACTAAAAATAAAAGCCCAGGACCACATAGCTTCACTGCTGAACTCTATGGAACTTTAAAAGAACAACTAACACCACTTCTTTTCAAACAATTTCAAAAACTTTAAGGTGAGGGAATGTTTTCCACACAAATTTAATGAGGCCAGCATAACCTTGATACTAAAAACAGATGAGGGTACAACAACAACAGCAAACTATAGGCCAATTTTCCTGACAAACAAAAATAAAAAATTCCTCAACAACCTAGTAGCATACTGAATCCAACAGCACATCAAAAAAATTATACACAATGATGAAGTGAAATTTATTCCAGAGATACAAGGATAGTTCAACATATGCAAATCAATAAATGTGATTTATCACATCATAAAAATGAAGAAAAAAACAACCCATATGATCATCTCTATAAGTATAAAAAATCATTTAATAAAATCCAAGATCCTGTCATAATAAAAACTCTCAATAAATTAGGTATGGACAAAGTATACCTCAATACAATAAAGGCAGTATATAACAAACCCATAGCAAACATCACACTGAATCGGGAAAGCTAAAAGTTTTTTCTCTAAGAATTGAACCACTTTTACCACTCTTACTCAATATAGTACTGGAAATTCTACCAGAGCAGTTAGGCTAAAAATAAAAATAATAAAAAGGTAAAGGGCATCTAAGTTGGGAAGGAGAAAGTCAAATTTTCCCTATTTGCAGATGCCATGATCTTATTATATAGAAAAATCAAAAGTCCACCAAAAAACTCTTGGAAGTAAGAAACAAATAAGTCAAGTTTCAGGATACTAAATCAACCTACAGAAATAAAGAATGTTTCTGTAAACTAATAATAAATGAGCTGAAATGAAGAAAGGAAAAATCCCATTTATAATAGGTACAAAAAGTAGAATATCTACCAATAAATTTAACCAAAAAGGTAAAATACCTGTACAAAAAAAAAAAAAACTACAAAATACCATGGAAAGAAAATGAAGAGGACACAAACAAATGGAAAGATATTCCATGGTCATGAATTGGAAGAACTAATATTGTTAAAATGACCATACTACTTAAAGCAATATAAAGATTCAATGTAACGCCTATCAAAATACCAATGACATTCTTCACAGAAACAAAAAAAATCCTAAAATTTGCATGGAACCATAAAAGATTTCAAATAGTCAAAGTAATTCTTGGCACAAACAACAAAGTTCAGGGCACCATACTAACACATTCAAAATATACTATAAATCTATAATAACTAAAACAGCATGGTACTAAGATAAAAAGAAACACAAACACCAATGGAGCAGAATAGATAACCCAGAAATAAATCCACAGTTTTATAGCTAACTCATACTTGACAAGGGTGCCAAGAACATTGGTAAAAAGACAGTGTTTTTAATAAATAGTGTGGAGAAAACTGGATATTCATATGCAGAAGAATAAAACCAGGCTCCTATCTCTCATCTCATACAAAAATCAACCCAAAATTGACTAAAGACTGAAATGTAAGGCCAAAAACCATAAAGCAACCAGATAAAAACATAGGAGAAATGCTTTAGGACATTGGTCTAGGCAAAGATTTTTATGACTAAGGTGTCAAACTCATAGGCAAAATAACTAAAAATATATAAATGTGTCTACATTAAACTAAAAAGCAAACGAAGCAATCAAGACAGTAAATAGAAAACCTGTAGAATGGGACAAAATATTTGCAAACTATTCATCTGATAAGATAATAATATCCAGAATATATGAGAAATAAAACAACTCAATAATAAAAAATTCTGGTGAAAACATGGACAAAGGGTCTGAATAGACATGTCTCAAAAAAAGACATACAAATTGTCAACAAATATATGAAAGAATGCTTAACATCACTAATCATAAGGCAAATGCAACTCAAAACAACAAAGAGATATCATCTTATCACAGTTAGAATAGTTATTATCAAAAAATATCCAATGCTGGTGAGGATGTAAAGAAAAAAGAACTCTTATGTACTCTTTGTGGGAGTGTAAATTTGTGCATCCATTTTAGAGAACAGTACAGAGATTCCTCAAAAGAATACAAATGGAACTACCATACTGAGTATTTATCCAAAGGAAAGGAAATCAGTATATCAAAAAAAAACCCTGCACCCCCATTTTATACAGCACTATTCACATAGCAAATATATGGAATCAACCTAATGTTTATCAACAGATAAAGAAAATGTGGTACATATGCATAATAGAATACTATTCATCCATTTAAAAGAGTGAAATCTTGTCATTTATATCAACATGTATAAGTCTAGAGAACATTATGTTAAGCAAAATGTGAAGAAAGATAAATACTGCATGTTCTCACTCATATGTGAGAGCTAAAAATATTAAAGTTCATGGAAGTAGAGAGAAGAATTTTATCAGAGACTGGGAAGAGTATGGGATGGGGGGATGGGGAGAGATTGGTTAACAGATACAAAATTACAGCTAGATAAAAGAAACGAGTTCTGGTATTCTGCAGCACTGTAGAATGAATATGGCTAATTATAATTTATTGTATAATCTCAAAAAACTAGGAGAGAGAATTTTGAATGCTCACAACAGAAAGAAATAATATATGTTTGATTATGGTCATGGATATGCTAATAACTCTGATTTAATCACTACATATTATAAACACATATCAAAATATCACTCTGTATCCAATAAATGTGTATAAAGATTATATGTTAACTAAAAATAAAAGAAAAAATTTTAGTCTTAAAGGCAGAAATCAAGATTATTATCTATAATATATGAATGATTTTGGCTGGGCCTGTTGGATCCCCGAGATTCTTTCAGGGTATTTGAAAAGTAAAAAGTATTTTTATGATTATAGGAAGACACTATTTGCCTTTTTATCCTCATCGTCTCACAAGTGTACAAGGTAAAAAAATTACATTGGTATGATATCAGACTCCACATTGCAACTAACCTTAAAAGACTACTATTTAAGTATCAAAGTAAAATGCCCACAGTTATTGCAAACACTATAAAAATGTTTCTCTACTTTCCAAATACATATACGTGTGAAGCCAAATATACATCACACACCTCAACCAAAACAACACAGGGCAACAGACTGAAGGCGCACTCAGATGAGAAAATTTAGATGGATGGTGACAGATTATCACATGTTCCTCAAAAGCCAATCTAATTCTCTACCCCAGTAATAGACGGCAGAATAAATTCTAACTTTTTCAGACTTGTTTTCTACTATGTGACTAACATAGACAGTGAGCTGTGAGAAGTGGTGTGCAAGTATTTTTCTCATTGAACATAATAATTGTACATATTTATGGGGTATATGGTGATATTTTGATACATATGATGTGTAGAGATTAAGCCCACAGCCTGTGAGGACCAAGGGGCCCTTCTCTGGCTAGGATTTCAAGTGTCCAAGGTAAAATGTAAGCTGCTGAGAGTCCTCTGTTTACCTTTTTCCTGCAATGGGAATCTCTCCTAGCTCCAAGCCAGCCCTCTCCAGCCTGGCTGTTTGTTCCCCTTACCATCAGTGCCTCAGAGGCTCCCTGTCACATCCTTGCTCAATTCCAGTGTTATCTCTTAGATCCTGTATTTGACATGTGGTTATCTACTTGCTGACTTGGTCCTCCAGTCAGCTACTTTGATTAAGGATGAGTTTTAATCAATCTTTATCACTTAAAGAAGACTTTAGTTGTATTTCTTACTGTATAGAATACATAATCCTTTGATATTTACATTGTTAAAAGTTTTCAACTTTCTAGAAATCTTTGTTCCCTCTCATTTCTCCTTGCAAAACTGCCAGTTGCATCCTAAGCTCATAACTTTCTTGTAACATATTGTTAAATATTGCCAATACTAACAAGCACATACTACAGTTTAAAGCCTCTTTTGCTACAGATGCAAACGTAATAAACACACAGTATGCTTCTTAACCTAGCACACTTAAAATTTTTACTAAAAGATTTAGTGGCAAAACATGTACTGCCAACTTTCCAGGCTTTATATAATTTTTATTTCTGCCTGCCTTCTAACCACTAAGCCAAAGTGTCCAAGGTAAAATGTAAGCTGTAAAAGGCGTATCTTTTAGGCCCTGCCCTTCCTAGGACCAATAGCTCGATCAACTGCAGTATCGACAGTTAGAATAGGATAAATTATGCTGCAATACAAAAGAAAATCAATATCTTACTGGCTTACAAAGAATCATTTCTTCCTTATATTACATGTCAAACTTAAATCATCAAGGTCCTCTATCATGTATAGTCACTCAAAGACTAGCCCAGTACAATCTCCATTCTTTGATGCTGTTATCTTAGCATCAAAGCATCAAATAGCAAAATGATTTTGCATATGCTGCAGCAATGGAAGACAGCAGTAGAGTATCTCACATTGGCAATTAAAACCTTCAGCCTGGAAGGGACACCATTAGCCAGAATTGATCACATGCCCCCCACAAAGCACTAGAAGACTCTGAAATATAATCATGTCTTGTGTCTGGAATTACCAGATCAAACATTTTACAGTTATAATTATGTAGTTATTCTTACTCTAATTCTCTTTAACAAAACAAAAATTAGTTTTCAGATCATAATGTAAAAATATTAGAAAATAATTATAAATAATTCTAAATCTCTGAGGTAAAAGATGTTAATTCTTTAAGGATACAATTATCTCACCTCAGACCATTTGAAACCATCTTTCAAACACTTTTGTTATTGCCTCTCAGCTTGAAGAAGTGTTTTAATTAACTGAAATACCTACGAGTAACCAACCAGATTCTCATCTGTCATACTGATACAAGGCACTGGGTCCTATTTGTAATCTGTCAGTGACTCTAGAACAAAAACTTGGTAGTGATCACCTAGCCTATATTAAAGGATTTGAGTCATAAGTTAATTTTCATATAAGATTAGAATCTCTGGGTAGACTATCACCTAGGTATCTACAATACTTGATTAAGTGCAACTTAGAGCTATACTAATTTGGTCTATTTTGAAATTTCCACTCTTCATAATTAGTGAAAATTAAAGGTAAATTACATTTTATTGGGTTATGTAAATGGCAAAACTGTTAGCTCGATGTTCAAACTCCTGAGATTTGACAGCATGTATGTAATACCATAGCTATATTTTTTGTCTCATGTCAAATGCATGAGACAAAAATTAACAGAATTGCAAGAAAAATTTGACCAACCACCCCAAAATTAAAAATTGTTAGTAAGCCTCTAATAATAATCAATAGATAAGGCAAAGTACTAACAAAAATATATTTAAAATTGCCAGTTGATCTAGTGATTATATTTAGAATCAAGGACAAGCATTTAGAAAACACAAATTTAATTATGTGTGTGATATGGAGAAAACTATGTACAAGGCTGTAAAAGAATGAAGAATTTTTAAAGGAATAGTATCATCATAAAGATCTATTCTCTAATCATAATGTCTTTGACATAGAAATTGAAAACAAAAACTAAGTTTAAAATAAAATGTACATTTCAAAATAAATACACGTACACAAACACAAACACACATTCTCAGACACTTTCCAGTAGCTCAATGGTTAATAAATAAATCATGAATGGAAATAGAAAGCATGTAGAATTGCATAATTATTTGTTTATTGCAGCTCAAGCAGTACTTGATGGGAAATTTATATGGTTAAATGTTCACATAAGAAATGGAGGTCTAAAAACTAATGAGCTAATCATTGATTTAAGAAGTTAAAAAAGAACAAATGAATGTATTATAATAAATTAGCAGAAAAAGAATACAATAAGAACAAACAGAAAAGATTAACAATGCCAAAAGCACATTTTTGAAGAAAAAAAAATTGAAAATATCGGGACAAAGCAAGCCAGAAGAAGAAAGGGAGAAGGCACGAATAAACAGTATTAAAAATGTTAAGGGCATAAAACTATCAATAAAGCACAGTTTGTGACTCTTAAAGAGAGTATAATAAAAACTTTATGACAAATTTAGAAAAATCAGAGGAAATGAACATTTTTTTCTAGAAAAATACTGCAGTTGCTTAAAGATAAATAGCTTTAAAAAAATCCTATAGATATAAGAAATTTAACTAGTAGATAGGAAGAAAAGAGTAAGATGGTAGAGTAGGACTTTCCAGCAATTGTCCCCCTGCAGAAACACCAATCTGAACAACTATCCATGCTCAAAAATACCTTCACATCAGTGAAAGAAACCAGGTGGGAGGTTACAGTGCCTGATTATAGCTGAATAATAAGAAAAGCACATTGAAGGGGGTAAGAAGGACAGTTTTACGTTATTCACATTACGTTTCCCGAACTTCAGGTAGTACAGTGCTGCTATATTGTCCATTTTGGAGATAAAAAGGAACGTAAACATAGAACTTTGTCTTAAAACCCAACATTGAAGCCACCACAGTAGAACACAGCACCAAACAGACCTCCATGGTTCCTGACTACAGGCTGCTTCCCATGAACTCAGCCTCTAAACTTACTCCAGCACCAGATAGAAATCCCCAGCCACAGCAAAATAGACTCAAGTTCTGGCTTACATCACTGCCAATGAACTATGGCAGCCATGGGCTCAAAATAATCCACAAGGACAGGTAAACCTCAGCAACCAGTGACTCTGATTTCAGCTCAACATGATGCCAGCCTCTGCAGCAAATAGATTCCAGCCTGGTGCAGTGTCTGTTGCAGCAATCCTGGGCTTAGGGTTCTTCTAGCACTGTAGCAGCTGTAGCAGTTACAGGTTTAGAGACCACAACAGAAGACTTGCCTAGAATTTATCATTAAAGGATGTCCTATAAGAAAGTCATGTAAAGGTGGGAATAAATATCTACTTCTTCAGTGTGCACAAGACCACATCACCACAAGAATTTAAAATAATCAGGGAAACATGATATCAACAAACAGGTAAAACAAGGTGCCAGTGACTGACCGTAAAGAGAGAGAGATCCATGAACTATCTGACAAATAATTTGAAATTGCTGTTTTAAGGAAGTTCAGAGAACTTCAAGACTATAAAGAAAAATTATCCCAGGATAAGAAAGTCAAAAGTCACCAATGAAATTCAATCCAAATAAGACTACCACAAAATATATTATAATCAAACCATCAAAGAGCAAAGACAAATAAAATAATCCTGAAATCAGCAAGAGAAAAGAAGCAAATAAGATATAAGAGAGTTTCAACACGACTAGAAGCTAACTTTTCGGTGGAAACCTTACAGGACAGGAGGGAATGCGGTGATATTAGGTTGGTGCAAAAGCAATTGCTGTTTGGCCATTAAAAGTAGTATACTGGCTGGGCATGGTGGCTCACACCTGTAATCCCTGTACTTTGGGAGGCTGGGCAGGTGGATCACCTAAGATCAGGTTGGAGACCAACCTGACCAACATAGTGAAACCCCATCTCTAAGAAAAATGCAAAAATTAGCCGGCTGTGGTGGTGCATGCCTGTAATCCCAGCTACTCGGGAGGCTGAGGCAGGAGAATCACCTGAAGCCGGGAGGCAGAGGTTGCAGTAAGCCAAGATTGTGCCATGGTACTCCAGCCTGGGCAGCAAGAGCAAAACTCCATCTTGAAAAAAAAAGAAAAGAAAGAAAGTAATATATTAATATATTCAAAGTGCTACAGGAAAAAAACTGCCAAGAATACTGTACCTGACAAAGCTGTCTTTCAAAAATGAAGGAGAGATAAAGACTTTCCCAGATATACAAATCAGAGAGTTCATCATCATCAGACCGGTATTACAAAGAAAGTTCTTCAAACTCAAAGAACAAACATCAATGAGTAACACAAAAACATCTGAAAGTATAAATTTCACTGTTAAATGAAAGAACACAGTAAAATTCATAATATTTTAATAGGATATGGTGGATATGGTGGTATAAAGGTTGAATGACAAAACTACTAAACATAATAATTACAATAATTTGTTAAGGGTTATACAACATAGAAAGTGCAAATTATGACATCAAAAATTCAAAATGTAGGAGGGGATGGAGCTTACGGATAGAGTGTGTGTGTGTGTGTGTGTGTGTGTATAATCAAACTTAAGTTGCTATCAGCTTAAAATAAGATGTTATTCCTATGAGAATTTTTGGTAAGCCTCATGGTAACCACAACGCAAAATACTATAATAAATACACTAAAAATAAAAAGCAAGAAATCAAAACATAATAATAGAGAAAATCACTTAAGAACAAAGAATGATAATAAGAGAGACATAAAAATCTACAAATTAACTAGAAAACATTTAAGAAAAAGCTAGAGCAAGATATTACCTATCAATAATTACTTTGAATATAAATGGATTAAATATTCCAATTAAAAACTGAATGGCTGAATGGAGTAAAAACAAGACCCAACTATACGCTGCCTACAAGAGGTTCACTTTACCTGTGAGGACTTACATAGACTGAAAGCAAAGAGATGGTAAAAGATATTCCGTGCTAATGGAAATCAAAAGAGAGCAGGACTAGCTGTATTTATATCAGATAAAGTAGTCTTTAGATCAAAAACTACAAAAAGAGACAAAAAAGGTAATTATATAGTTATAAAGAGGCCAACTCAACAAAAGGATAGAGCAATTGTAAAACTATAGGCATCCAACATTGGAGAACTTAAATATATAAAGTAGATATTAATTGAGCTAAAGAGAGAGATAGACTACAATACAATACTAGTAATGGGCTTGAACACCTCACTTGCACCAATGAACGGATCACCCAGCCAGGAAATTAGCAAAGAACCTGCACTCTAGACCAAATGGACCTAATATTTACAGAACGTTTGATCTAACAATCATAAAATATATATTCTCTTCAACTGCACATGAAATATATCTCAAGATAGATAATATGTTAATCTACAAAACAAACCTTAGCAAATTTAAGAAGATTGAAATTATATAAAGTATCTTTTTTAACCACAATGGTATAAAACTAAAAATTAACCATTCAACAATAATGGGAACACTGGAATCTTTTTAAATACATGGAAATTAAACAATATGCCCCGAATGATTAATAAATCTCTGAAGAAAATAATAGGAAAACTTTAAAACTTTTTGAGAAAAACAAAAATGTAAACATAACATACTAAAATCTGTGGTATACAAGAAAAGGAGTTCTAAGACAGAAGTTTATAAAAATAAAAGTGTTCATCAAAAAAGATTTCAACTGCACAACCTAACACTATATCTCAAGGAAGTCACAAAACAAGAACAAACAAAACCCCAAATCAGTAGAACGAAGACTATAATAAACATTAGAGCAGAAATAAATAAAATATAGACTAAAAAACAATACAAAATATTAACAAAATAGTTTTTTTTCCCCAAATATGAACAACTTGACAAAGTTTAAACTATCCAAGAAAAAAGAGAGATGACCCAAATAAATTAAATCAGCAGTGAAAAAGCAGACATTACAACTAATACCACAGAAATACAAAGGATTGGCCAGGCGTGGTGGCTCATGCCTGTGATCTCAGCACTTTGGGGGGCTGAGGCAGGTGGATCACTTGAGGTCAGGAGTTTGAGACCAGCCTGGCCAACATGGTGAGACCCCATCTCTATTAAAAATACAAAAATTAGTTGGGCATGGTGGTGCATGCCTGTAATCCCAGCTACTCAGGAGGCTGAGGCAGGAGAATAGCTTGAACCCAGGAGGGGGAGGTTGCAGTGAACTGAGATTATGCCACTGCACTCCAGCCTGGACAACAGAGTGAGACTGTCTCAAAAAAAAAAAAAAAAAAAAGGAAAAGAAAAGAAAAGAAAGAAATACAAAAGATCATAAAACACTATTATGAACAACTAAATTTAACAAATTAGATAGCTGAAGGAGAAACGAATAAATTCCTGGACACATGCAACCTAGCCAGATTGAAATATAAATAAACAGAATATTAGAATAAACCAATAACAAATACAAAATTTCATCAGTAATAAAAAGTATCCCTTCAAAAAAGAAAATCCAGGACCTGATAGCTCACTGCTGAATCCTATTGAACATATAAAGAAAAACTGATATATAAATTCTTTCCAAACTAGTCCAAAAAATTGAAAAAGAAGGACTACTTCAAATGTATTGTACAAGGTCCACATTACCCTGACATCAAAACCATACAAGAACACAACAACAAAAAAAGGAAAACTAAAGGTCAATGGCTTTAATGAACACACATGGAAAAATCTTCAATAAATTAGTAGCAAAGTAAGTTCAACAGCACATTAAAAATATCATTTACCGGCCAGGCGTGGTGGCTCACGCCTGTAATCCCAGCACTTTGGGAGGCCGAGGTGGGTGGATCACGAGATCAAGAGATCGAGACCATCCTGGCCAACATGGTGAAACCCTGTCTCTACTAAAAATACAAAAATTAGCTGGGTGTGGTGGCGTGTGCCTGTGGTCCCAGCTACTTGGGAGGCTGAGGTAGGAGAATTGCTTGAATCTGGAAGGTGGAGGTTTCAGTGAGCCGAGATCATGCCACTGCACTCCAGCCTGGAGACACAGGGAGACTCCATCTCAAAAAAAATATATATATATATCATTTACCAAGTTCAAGTAGAACTAATCCTAGGATTGCAAGGATGGTTCCAACATATGTAAATATATTTGATACATCACATTAACAAAATAAAGGACAAAATCCATGTGATCATTTCAACAGATACAAAAATAAACACTTGGCTAAATTGTTATTTTATTTTTTTGAGATGAAGTCTCACTCTGTTGCCCAAGCTGGAGTGCAGTGGCATGATCTCAGCTCACTACAACCTCTGCCTCCCGGGTTCAAGCCATTCTCCTGCCTCAGCCTCCCGAGTAGCTGGAACTACAGGCACACGCCACCATGCCAGGCTAATTTTTGTATTTTTAGTAGAGACAAAGTTTCACTATGTTGGCCAGGCTGATCTTGAACTCCTGACCTCGTGATCTGCCCACCTCGGCCTCCAAAAGTGCTGGGATTACAGGAGACACTTGACTAAATTTAACATTCCTTTATGATAAAAATTCTCCACAAATTAGGTATAGAAGGAACATACATCAATACAACAAAGGCCATATATGACAAATCCACAGCTAACATCATACTGAATGGAGAAAAATTGAAAGTGTTTCCTCTAAGATCTAGAATAAATCCAGAGTAGCCACTTTTGCCATTTTTATTCAACAAAGTACTGGAAGTCCTGGCCAGAACAATTAGGCAAAGAAAGAAATAAAAGTTATCCAAATGGGAAAGAAAGAATTTAAATTACTCCTGCTTGCAGATGACATATCATATATATATATATATATATATGTGTGTCTATATATAATATTATATATATGATAAACACCTTACTAAAACAGTCACAACTAAAAAATTAGTAGAATTTTTATACATGAATATGCAACTATCTTAAAAAGAAAACAATACTATTTACAATAGCTACAAAAAATAAAATAAAATAAAATGCTTAGGAATAAATTTAGCTAAGGCGTTGATAAATCTCTACCACTAAAAAGTATAAAAATGCTGAAGAAGAAAGTGAAGAAGACACAAATAAATGAAAAGATTTCCCATGTTCATGGACTGGAGGAGTAAGTATTGTTAAATCATCCATTTACCCAAAGTGATGTACAGATTCAACAAAACTCCTATCAAAATGCCAATGACATTTTTTCTCAGAAATAGAAGAAACACCCTTAAGATTTGTATGTAATCACAAAAGACCCCAAAGAACCAAAACAATGTTGAGCAAAAAGGAGAAAGCTAAAGGCATCACGCTACTTGATGTCAAAGTGTACTAAAAGTGATAGTAATCAAAACAGCATAATACTGGCATAAAAAAACGGCCACACAGACCAGTGAAACACAATGGAGAGCCCAGAAATAAATTCATGTATTTACAGTCAACTGATTTTTGACAAAGGTGCCAAAAGCAAACAAAAGAGAAAGGAAAATTTGTTCAATAAATAATAATAGGAAAACTGTATATCCATATGCAGAAGAATAAAATTAGACTCTTCTTTCTCGCCACATACAAAAATCAACTCAAAAAAGATTAAGACTTAAATATATTATCCAAAATTATAAACTTCTAGAAGAAAATATAAAGGAAATGTTTTATGACATTGGTTTGGGCAATAATGTTTTATTTGGCCTCAAAATAAAGTCAAATGAAGCAAAAATAGACAAATGAGATTATATCAAACTAAAAAGCTTCGACACAGCAAAGGAAAGTAACAGAGTGAAGAGACAACATACTGAAAGGGAGAAAGTATTTGTAAACCATACTCCTGAGAAGGAGTTGACTTCAAAATTTATAAGGAACTTAAACAACTCAATATCAAGAAAACAAATAACCCTACTAAAAAAAAATGGGCAAAAGACCTAAACAGGCATTTCTCAAAAGAAGACATACAATTGAGCAACAGGTATATGAAAATATACTAAACATCACTAATCATGAGGGAAATGCAACTCAAACCACATTGGGATATCATCTCACACTGGTTAGAAAGGCGATTATCAAAATAACAAAAAATAGTAAGTGTTGGTGAGGATGTGGAGAGAAGGGAATCCTATACACTGCTGGTGGGAATGTAAATCAGTAAAGTTTTATGGAAAATAATATGGAGGTTCCTCAAACGATTAAAAGAGAACTACCATATGATCCAGCAATTCTACTACTGGGTTTATATCCAAAGGAATTCAAATTAATATGTTGAAAAGACGTCTATACTTCCATGTTTATTGTAGCACTATTCACGATAGCCATGATATGGAATCAACTAAGTGTCTATCAATAGATGAATGGCTAAATAGAATGTGGTATATGTACACAATGGGATGCTATTTAGCTAGAAAAATGAACAAAGTTTTATCTTTTGCAACAATGTGGATGAACCTGAAGACCATTGTGCTGAGTGAAATAAGCTAGGTATAGGAAAAGAAATACAATAGCTCACTCATATGTGGAATTAAAAAAAAATGATCTTATAGAATAGAATAGTGGTTACCAGAGACTTGGGTAGTTAGTGGGGATGGGGAAAAGGGGAGATGTTGATCAAAGGATATATAATTATAGTTAGAGATAGAAGGGATATTTTCAAAATGTTCAGAATAGGCAAATATATAGAGACTGAAAGTGAATAAGCGATAGCCTGGGGCCAGGGACCTGGGGAGAGAAAGTAGTGGGACAGGGAGAGTAACGGAAAATGACTATTAATGATTATGGAGTTACTTTTTTTGGTGATAAAAATGTTCCAAAATTGATTGTGGTGATGGTTGCATCACTCTGTGAACAAACTAAAAACCTCTGGATTGTACTTTTTAAATGGGGGAATTGCATGATATGTGAATTATATTTCAACAAAGTTGTTTTTTTAAGAGCATTAACCAATAAATAAAATTCAATCTCCATTCTATAAATAGTAGATCCATTAAGTTTATAACTGAGTTACACAAAATATTCAAAGGAAAAATCATTTCAATTTTTTTTAAAAAAAAGAAAAAAGCATTTCTTCTATGAGACTAGGAAAGAGGGAACATGCCTCTCCTCTCTCCTTGTTTTATGAGGCCAGGTTAAACTTGACATTAAAACCAGAAAACACTAGAATAAATAAAGAAATGTATAGGTTAATCTTAATCATTAATTTAGATGTAAAATACCAAATAAAATATTACAAAACCAAATCTATCAATGTATAAAATATAACAATTTATGATCAAATTTGGGGTTATCCTAGAAGTTCAAGGATGCTTTAACATTATAAAATCTAATAATGTAAATTACCACATAAGCAGATTTAATGCAAAAGAACATAAATGATCACCTCTACAGGTAAAACATATTTAAAATAAAATGTAAATCATTTTAATTTGAGAAAACCTTTATTAAGTAGAATAGAAAAATATTTGATAGCCTGATAAAGAGTATCTTTTACAAAAACTACAGCAAGCTGTACAAATGGTAAAACAGTAAAAACATTTGCTTTAAAATCAGGAAAAATATGAGAATTTTTTTTCTATTATTACCTCTGTTCAACACTGTGCTATAAGTGTTATTCAGCACAGGGGCACAATTAAAATAAATAAGAGGTTTAAGGAATGTAAAGAAATTAATCAAACTGTTCATTGCAGGGCACATTATAATCTATATTAGGCAACCAAAAAGCCACAAATTATTGAAAGTAACAAGTTTAGCAAGATTGTAGACAAAAAATCAAATCTAAAATCAAATTATATTTGATTTTATTTATATATATATATATATATATAGCCTTACGCCTACAGGCAAGAGATGGACAGATACGTAGTTTTAAAAACATGCCATTCGAAACATCGGTAGACATACTTGTAATAGGTAACATAATAGATGCAAACCTTTACAGGGAAACTTAAAAGAACTTACAAAACTTTACTGAAGAATGAATGCCTAAACAAATAGAGTTGTTGCATTCATGTTTAGTGATTCCAAATTGTAAAGACCGATCACAATTAACCATGTAGTCAATATATTCTCAGTAAAACCCATATCAAGATTTTTTATTTGAATTTAGCATGCTGATTCTGAAATTTAAATTTCAGCACAATTGAGAAAATCAACATAAGATTTGCCTTATCAGAGATCAATATTTATTATAAAGCTTTAATAATTAGCACAATATTTTATTGGCACAGGGCAAGCTAAATAAAATAATAAAAACAAAAATAAAATATATGTAGACAATATATAAAGGAAATGTTACAGCAGCCTCTTTTGGTAAAGACAGAATATTCAATAAGTGTGTTCTAATCTGGAAGGTTGTCCATATAGGAAAAAAAAATTGACATTCTATCTCTACCTTACAACACCTAAAAAATCAATTTTATATAAATAAAAACCATAAATATAAAAGACATAATTGTAAAACATGGGAGAGAAATAAACAAAATATCTTTACGAATTTCAGTTACGGGGATAACTGGGCCATGTGCCTTTCATCGTCCAGCAAAGCTTGTGCAGATTTGTTCCAGGGTGGTGTGAGTTTTTGACATCACCAAGAGAAACCAAGTCCCAGTGTTCCATCATTTTGCAAATCTGTCTGTGGCATTTTCTGATGAGCCATTGACCAAAGCAAGTCACATGGATTAGACCAGAATCGGTGTAGGAGTGGATTTTCCAAGAGTGTGGATTCAGAATGGCATGAACTAATGGGGTGAGGACTCCCGCAACAAATACTCTACAACACATACATATTTTATAAAACTAAAATCCAAAACAGAAAGAAAAAAAAAAGACATAAAACACAGGTTACTGGATACCCTTTGCTCTGGGAGTACAAAGTGAGAGTCATAATTGAGGAAAAATACACAAAGACACAAAGCTTTAGAATATTTTATTTCTTAAGCTAGATTGTAGGCATAAGAATGTTTACTATATAATTCTCTATATGTATGCTCCAATATTACTTGTGTTATTAAATAGTTCATAATACATTTTTAACTAAATTATCCAAAAGACAGAGAAGCAAGTTACTCATAATTTGTTCTTCTGTAACAAAAAAGTCAAGAGACAAAAAAGCAGCCTCCCAAAGTGCCGGGATTATAGGCATGAGCCACCACGCCTGACCGGTAAATGATATTTTTAACGTGCTGTTGAACTTACTGTGCTACTAATTTATTGAAGATTTTTCCATGTGTGTTCATTAAAGCCATTGGCCTTTAGTTTTCCTTTTTTTGTTGTTGTGTTCTTGTATGGTTTTGATGTCAGGGTAATGTGGACCTTGTACAATATGTTTGAAGTAGTCCTTTTTCAATTATTTGGACTAGTTTGAAAAGAATTTATATATCAGTTTTTCTTTATATGTTTGATAGGATTCAGCAGTGAGCTATCAGGTCCTGGATTTTCTTTTTTGAAGGGATACTTTTTATTACTGATGAAATTTTGTATTTGTTATTGGTTTATTCTAATATTCTGTTTATTTATATTTCAGTCTGGCTAGGTTGCATGTGTCCAGGAATTTATTCATTTCTCCTTCAGCTATCTAATTTGTTAACATTTAGTTGTTTATAATAGTGTTTTATGATCTTTTGTATTTCTTTCTTTTCTTTTCTTTTTTTTTCCTTGAGACAGTCTCACTCTGTTGTCCAGTCTGGAGTACAGTGGCATAATCTCGGCTCACTGCAACCTCCACCTCCTGGGTTCAAGCTATTCTCCTGCCTCAGCCTCCCGAGTAGCTGGGATTACTAATTTTTGTATTTTTAATAGAGATGAGGTTTCACCATGTTGGCCGGGCTGGTCTTGAACTCCTGACCTCAAGTGATCCACCTGCCTCGGCCCCCCAAATTGCTGGGATCATAGGGGTGAGCCACCGTGCCTGGCCAATCCTTTGTATTTCTGTGGTACCAGTTGTAATGTCTTTTTCACTGCTGATTTAATTTATTTGGGTCATCTTTCTTTTTTCTTGGATAGTTTAAAGTTTGTCAAATTGTTCATATTTGGGAAAAAAACACAACTCTTTATTTTGTTAATATTTTGTATTGTTTTTCTAGTCTATATTTTATTTATTTCTGCTCTAATGTTTATTATAGTCTTCCTTCTACTGATTTTGGGTTTTGTTTGTTCTTGTTCTGTGACTTCCTTGAGATATAGTGTTAGGTTGTGCAGTTGAAATCTTTTTTGATGAACACTTTCATTTTTATAAACTTCTCTCTTAGAACTCCTTTTCTTGTATACCACAGATTTTAGTATGTTATGTGTACATTTTTGTTTTTCTAATTGTTGCTATTCTGACTGTATAAAAGTTTTGGATCATACATTTTTTCATCAGAATTCTATAGACTTGGCTGCTCTTTGTGGAGCAGGGCTAACCCATGGGCAGTGTGCTCAGAGTAGCAGTGCATGGCTAGCTATATTTATACCCACTTTTTAATTACATGTAAATTAGGGGGGAACATTATTCCAAAATCTCTAGAAAGGGGGCAGCAACTTTTGGGTGTTGTTGTGGCATTTGTAAACTGTTATGGTGTTGATGAATGCCATTTGCTGGTTCCAGCCATTTTTTTTGTCTTTGTTTTTGTCTGTTTGTTTGTTTGTTGGGTCGGGGAAATAAGTCCTGCCAGTCTCCTATCTCATAATGAGGCTACGTTATTCATATAGAAAACCCAGGACGATTAATAGGCATCATCAGAACTAAAAAAGAAAAAGCCCAGCAAGAGGGAAAAGTATGAGATAATATAAAAACTGGTAATTGATTAGTAATAGCAAAATTATAGAATATTATAGACAATAAGACACTATTTATGGTAATAACCAAAAATATATATCTAGAGTGATCCATGTAAAAACTACAAAACTCTGCAAAACCCTAACAGAGAAAACTTTAAAAGACCTGACAAAAATGTGTATATATATATATACATTAATGGGTGGACCCCTAAATATTTAGTATAAACTCTTTAATTGTCCTTGTTAATAAACTCCACAAATTGTCCTTTGTTAATAAAGTCATAGCAAAATTGTAAATGGAAATTGAAAAACTGCTTCTAAAATTTACTTCCAAGAATATTTCATGAGGAGCTAAATCAATTTGTAAAACTAGAGGATCTTCATTTCATCATATAAGACATATTACAAAGCCCAAATAAATAAAACTGATAATGGTGTGGAGAGATCAGGAACTAGTGTACATAAATTGGCATAGTATGTAATAAAGAAGGCCACACAAGTCAGTGGATAAAGAATATATTATGGACTTCTGCGTAAGGCGCTAGATTGAACACATCTAATTTCATTAACTCCTGAAATCTAACTAAAATATAAATACAGCAAATTATTTTAAATCAAACATATTCAGGAGAGATGAGAACAAGAGAAAAAAAAATAGCAACAACATTTTGGAAGTCTGGAAGTGCATGAAAAGTGATCAATAACCTAGATCACCCAAGACAAGTAAATTCTAAGATAGCAATAGAGAAATGCAAAAAGTAAAATTAGCTAAAATAAAGAGGAGTGGTTAAATTTCATAATGCTATTTAACATGCTCTACTATCAGTTGCATGGAGACTGTCACTCCCACACTCTAGTAAAGGACCAAAGATTTATTCAATGTAGATGGTGAAAAGATGCTCTTTGGACAAATGAGCACTAGATACAATTTGGAATGGGAATACTATATGGGGGAATTAATGGGGAATGGTAATTAAGGCAGGGGTGATTGCTACATGTTTCACAAGAGGCTTTGTGGAAAAAAATATTATAAACTTTGCTGATATAAAGGATGTGTAGCACAATTTAAAGATTATAATGAAATATGCAATACTGTACTATAAATTCCATAAAATTAATTAATTCTCAAATTCTCATTGATTTTTATTTTTTGCCAAACTCTTTTATCTACAGTAAGTCTAAGGTTGCAATTGGAATAGTTCCAACATAAATGTGGGTTATTTTTGTTTACTTATGGAAGAAGACAACAGTGAAATTATACAGTTTAAATAAACAACGACTACTAGATTCTGAGATTCTCTAAAAAGCCTTACCAGTTTGCTCACACAGAGCTAGTGCCAGTTTTTCACTTTTCAGGCTGGGTCAGAGAATTCTTGCAAAATCTGACCAGTCTTATGAGAAAGACCTAAAATTACTGAATCAGAATTTCTCCTTCTAAATAACCCAGCCAGATAGATCCTCCCATGTGAAGCTCATAGTCAGCAGGTGCCTTTTGCAGACTGATGCTTCCCATTTGCTTTTCATTACCCTTAAATATAAGCAGACAACCAGGAATTAGCAGAACCTGAGAAAAGCAACCCACATGAAATATCGAATAAGGAAAGGAAAGAAAATGGGAGGAAACAACTCTATAGGATTAAGAAAATATCCATGTGTAGACACACGGAAAACTACATTTAGTATTTTTAGAAATAGGAGATGACATGATAACCATGAAACAAGATTAGAGTATTCTAAGAAAGAAATATTGAGACAACAAAAAATAAGTCCTTGGAAATTCTACATATGGCAAAAATTTAAACAAAAATTAGAAGGAATTTACTAGAGAAGAGAAAATTGAACAAAATGGCAAAGAAAGATAAAAGGTGAAGACAGGTATGAAAAGTAGACCAGTCCAGGAAATTCAATATGCAAATAAGACAAGTTCCCAAAAAAGTCATTAAAGAATAAAAAAGAAATGGAATTAATCTAGGAAAATGTCCTGGAAATGAAATACCATGTACTTTAAATATAAAGAGCCCAGGTGTTCCCAGCACAATAGATGAAAATTTACTTATACCATTGAACATGTTTATAAAATTTTAGAACTCAAAGGAAAATGGAAGTACCTACCAGCTTTCAGAGTGAAAAATAAAACATATATGTAATTTCAAAGGACTGCTTACTATGCTAGTTTCAGACTTCTCAACAGAAACACTTAAAGCTGTATGACAATATAAAAGCATCTTTAAAATTCTGAAAAAATATAAAGAACAAAGTTGGAGGCATCACGCTACCTGACTTCAAACTATACTACAAGGCTACACTAACCAAAACAGCGTGGTACTGGTACCAAAACAGAGATATAAAACAATGGAACAGAACAGAGCCCTCAGCAATAATACCACACATCTATAACTATCTGATCTTTGACAAACCTGAGAAAAACAAGAAATGGGGAAAGGATTCCCTGTCTAATAAATGGTGCTGGGAAAACTGGCTAGCCATATGTAGAAAGCTGAAACTGGATCCCTTCCTTACACCTTATACAAAAATCAATTCAAGATGGATTAAAGACTTAAATGTTAGACCTAAAACCATAAAAACCCTAGAAGAAAACCTAGGCAATACCATTCAGGACATAGGCATGGGCAAGGACTTCATGTCTAAAACACCAAAAGCAATGGCAACAAAAGACAAAATTGACAAATGGGATGTAATTAAACTAAAGAGCTTCTGCACAGCAAAAGAAACTACCATCAGAGTGAACAGGCAACCTACAGAATGGGAGAAAATTTTTGCAATCTACTCATCTGACAAAGGGCTAATATCCAGAATCTACAAAGAACTCAAACACATTTACAAGAAAAAAACAAACAACCCCATCAAAAAGTGGGCAAAGGATATGAACAGACACTTCTCAAAAGAAGACATTTATGCAGCCAACGGACACATGAAAAAATGCTCATCATCACTGGCCATCAGAGAAATGCAAATCAAAACCACAATGAGATACCATCTCACATTAGTTAGAATGGCGATCATTAAAAAGTCAGGAAACAACAGGTGCTGGAGAGGATGTGGAGAAATAGGAACACTTTTACACTGTTGGTGGGACTGGAAACTAGTTCAACCTTTGTGGAAATCAGTGTGGCGATTCCTCAGGGATTTAGAACTAGAAATACCATTTGACCCAGCCATCCCATTACTGGGTATATACCCAGAGGATTATATAAATCATGCTGCTATAAAGATACATGCACATGTATGTTTATTGCGGCACTATTCACAATAGCAAAGACTTGAACCAACCCAAATGTCCAACAATGATAAACTGGATTAAGAAAATCTGGCACATACATGCCATGGAATACTATGCAGCCTTAAAAAATGGTGAGTTCATGTCCTTTGTAGGGACATGGATGAAGCTGGAAACCATCATTCTCAGCAAACTATCCAAGGACAAAAAACCAAGCACCGCATGTTCTCACTCATAGGTGGGAATTGAACAATGAGAACACATGGACACAGGAAGGGGAACATCACACACCGGGGCCTGTTGTGGGGTGGGAGGAGTGGGGAGGGATAGCATTAGGAGATATACCTAATTCTAAATGACGAGTTAATGGGTGCAGCACACCAACATGGCACATGTATACATATGTAACAAACCTGCACGTTGTGCACATGTACCCTAGAACTTAAAGTATAATAAAAAATATATTTTAAAAATCTGAAAAAATACATAAAATTCAAAATTCTTTACCCAATTAAATCTATTCATCCAATCTATCAATCAAATGTCATTTCATGTGTTTGAGAGTTTAAAATTTTCCCTTCCCATTTATTTTTTCTGCCCTCAGGAAGCTAATATTTGATTTGCTTCATAAACTTAAAAGAACAACAAGCAAAAAGACTCCATAGTGGAAACAGGACATCTAGCACAGAGGAAAGGCAATGGGAATCCCCAGGATGAAGAAAGCCCCCAGAGTGACAGATGTGCAGCAGCAGAGCGGGCACCTACAGCAGACTATAGCAGATTACAAGGCCTGGGGGAGACTTTCAGAAAGATAGACTTCATAGCATACCTGATTTGTCTGACCATCTAAACGGAGCCTTAGGCAACTGTTTAAGAGTTTGTGTTTGAATTAATAATAAGTATATAGAAAATCAAGCAAGTTAATAGTACATATTTTTAAGGCTGCACAAAAAATAATTCACCCAAGGCTTAACTATGAGTATCATTTACATACTCATAAGAATGTAAATAGCAGTTATGAGTACTATCAAATTATAACTATATTAGGATAATAGAATTGGGAAGGATATACACTGATGTATGTGGTAGATGGAGTCATAGAGTCTTCTTTTTTAATAGGAAGTGAAAGGATGATATTTAAAACTAAGTAATAAAGAAACAATGTTATTTAGCATGTTATTTAAAGCTATGGAGGTAAATAACAAAAACAATGAGCTGAAAAAATGAAAGTAGATTTTCCCAAGTTAATACATATGTTAATGCAATTGTAATTAAAATCTCAACAATTTTTTTCACAAGATGGTGGGAAGAGAAGCTTGAAAAAATGCTTTAAAGCTGTAAAACAGTACTTAGAATCATACAATTATTTGCAAATGAGCGTAATTATGTGTACTTGCATGCCAGATAGCATAACATATGCTCTATTTTCACTAATTTAGACATTACGGTACTGTCTCAAAATTTTTCAGAACGGTGACGCTGAACAAAATGATCAGATGTAGACATAAGACCTTAACAATCTGCAACAGGATAATTTTTTCTTTTTCTTTTTCTTCTTTTTTTTTACGGAACAGAGTCTCACTCTGTCACCCAGGATGGAGTGCAGTGGCATGATCTAGGCTCACTGCAACCTCCACCTCCCAGGTTCAAGTGATTCTCCTGCCTCAGCCTCCCGAGTAGCTGGGATGACAGATGTGAATCACCATGCCAAGCTAACTTGTATTTTTAGTAGAGACTGGGTTTCACTATGTTGGCATGGCTGGTCTTGAACTCCTGACCTCGTGATCCGCCCTCCTCGGCCTCCCAATGTGCTGGGATTACAGGCATGAGCCACCGCACCCGGCCAGGATAATTTATTAGTGGTAAAACATAAAATCACATGATAAATAATTCTGGGATAGTTACCTGAAGAGTAAAAAGTAAGTGCACAACAGGCACGGTGGCTCACACCTGTAATCCCAGCACTTTGGGAGGCCGAGGCGGGCAGATCACGAGGTGAGGAGATCGAGACCAATCTGGCTAAACGGTGAAACCCCATCTCTACTAAAAATACAAAAAATTAGCCGGGCGTGGCGGCAGGCGCCTGTAGTCCCAGCAACTCGGGAGGCTGAGGCAGGAGAATGGCGTGAACCTGGGAGGCGGAGCTTGCAGTGAGCTGAGATGGTGCTACTGCACTCCAGCCTGGGCAACAGAGCGAGACTCCATCTCAAAAAACAAACAAACAAAAAAAGTAGGTGCAATATATTATGTATACATATATGCTTTTATGAGTAATCAAAAATCAAACATATACAATATTTTAAATAAAACGTACTTTAATATTTTTTTCTTCAGGTGGCAAAGGTATTTCTAAGCAAAACATAAAGAAAAAACAAGGAAAAACTAATAGTTTTGATTAAATAAAAACTAAGAGGTTATTGTATATCTAAAAATACCATGAATACAATAAATTTACCTCTACAAAATTGAAATTTTTCAATATTAAGAAAGCATTAGTATGTAGTTTAAAAATTATGTGGTATAAAAAAGACTGTGCTTAGATTGTAATAATTTCCCCAGTATCTATTTAATTAAAGTTATTTTAATTCTAAGGTAACATCCTAAAGATTTAAAATATTTCATTCTGAATTTTATTCAGAGCTGTTATAACTTGGTTTTAGATCAGTTCAGAATGACTATATCTAACAGGTATAAACAGTAACTAAATTTGCATTAATAAATATATTGTCTTTCTTACCCCTCGCTTTTTTTCTTTCTTTTTTTTTTTTTTTGAGGCAGAGTCTTGCTGTGTAGCCCAGGCTGGAGTGCAGTGGCATAATCTTGGCTCACTGCAACCTCCGCCTCCTGGGTTCAAGTGATTCTCCTGCCTCAGCCTCCCAAGTAGCTGGGATTACAGGCATGAACCACCATGCCCAGCTAATTTTTTTATTTTTAGTAGAGACAGGGTTTCACCATGTTGGCCAGGCTGGTCTTGAACTCCTGACCTCCGGCGATCCGCCCACCTCAGCCTCCCAAAGTGCTGGGATTACAGGCGTAAGCCACCACTTCTAGCCTTACCCCTCATTTTTATTCCAAATATGAAAGCATAGTTTGTATGTAACTATCTAAAATCTTTTATTTTTTGTAAGTGGCATAATGTATACTTAACACAAAATCATTTCAACCATTTTTAAGTGTACAATTCAGTGGCGATAATTATATTCACAATTGTTACAACCATTATAGCTATCCACTCCCACAACCCTTTCACTGCCCTGTATAGAAATCTCGTAATCATTAAAGAATCATAATCATTAAACAAACCCCTGATAGTCTCTAAACTACTTTCTGTCTTTACGAATTTTCAAATTCTAGGTATTTTGTATAAGTGGAATCATACAATATTTGTCTATTTGTGTTTGGTTTATTTCACTTAGTATTATGTCTTTAAGTTTCATCCATGTTGTATCATTTATCAGGATGGCATTTCTATTTAAGGCTAATATTATTCTATTGTATGTATACAGTATTTATCTATTCATCTATTTAGAGACATGTGGGTTGTCTCCTCTTGAGCACTGAATTTTAAAATGCTCTCTTAATCAATTTAGTTCCAGTTATTTTAATGTCATATTTGCAAGTTTTTGTATTTTATACCCAACTGCCACAGTAAGCATGAAAATACTAATTCTAAACCTCTTCAGTTTATTAGAAGTATAAATTCTTTTATTAACCTCTATTGCAAAAAATAAAAAAGCATCAGAATTTTCTAAATATGAATATTATATTTAGAGAATTTTTGTATGTGAAGATGCAACTTCTAAAATTTTAAGCAGCAAAAACTGCTTTGCCGGGCTAATATCCAGAATCTACAATGAACTCAAACAAATTTACAAGAAAAAAACAAACGACCCCATCAAAAAGTGGGCGAAGGACATGAACAGATACTTCTCAGAAGACGACATTTATGCAGCCAAAAAACACATGAAAAAATGCTCATCATCACTGGCCATCAGAGAAAAGCAAATCAAAACCACAATGAGATACCATCTCACACCAGTTAGAATGGCAATCATTCAAAAGTCAGGAAACAACAGGTGCTGGAGAGGATGTGGAGAAATAGGAACACTTTTACACTGTTGGTGGGACTGGAAACTAGTTCAACCATTGTGGAAGTCAGTGTGGCGATTCCTCAGGGATCTAGAACTAGAAATACCATTTAACCCAGCCATCCCATTACTGGGTATATACCCAAAGGACTATAAATCATGCTGCTATAAAGACACATGCACACGTATGTTTATTGCGGCACTATTCACAATAGCAAAGACTTGGAACCAACCCAAATGTCCAACGATAATAGACTGGATTAAGAAAATGTGGCACATATACACCATGGAATACTATGCAGCCATAAAAAAGGATGAGTTCATGTCCTTTGTAGGGACATGGATGAAATTGGAAATCATCATTCTCAGTAAACTATCGCAAGAACAAAAAACCAAACACCGCATATTCTCACTCATAGGTAGGAATTGAACAATGAGATCACATGGACACAGGAAGGGGAACATCACACGCTGGGGACTGTTGTGGGGTGGGGGGAGGGGGGAGGGATAGCATTGGGAGATATACCTAATGCTAGATTACAAGTTAGTGGGTGCAGCGCACCAGCATGGCACATGTATACATATGTAACTAACCTGCACAATGTGCACATGTACCCTAAAACTTAAAGTATAATAATAAAAGAAAAAAAAACTTAAAAAAAAAAACTACTTTGCCTTATATTATTATATTGTTCAGAATATGAACCTTAAAGTAATTGATCACAACATTTTATTAAAATAAAGTATTATTCTTACAGATAGCAACATTTTGTGAACATATACACTGATAATGAGCTAAATTATTCTCTTATTAAAGAATTACAACTACCAAAAAAATAATATTTAAAAAAATGCCAAGCTTAAATTTAATTTGCTTCACATCATTAAGAATATGTGGCCAGGCGCGGTGGCTCACGCCTGTAATCCCAGTACTTTGGGAGGCCGAGGCAGGCGGATCACGAGGTCAGGAGATCGAGACCATCTTGGCTAAGACGGTGAAACCCCGTCTCTACTAAAAACACAAAAAATTAGCCGGGCGCGGTGGCGGGCGCCTGTAATCCCAGCTACTCAGGAGGCTGAGGCAGGAAATGGCGTGAACCCGGGAGGCGGAGCTTCCAGTGAGCCGAGATAGCGCCACTGCACTCTGGCCTGGGCGAAAGAGCGAGACTCCTTCTCAAAAAAAAAAAAAAAAAAAAAAAAACAATATGCACATATGCGATAATTGGAGTCCTGATTTCCTATTGAAAGATGTTTGCAATGATAGTGTTAAATATACCAAAAGACCAGAAAAGATTGTAAATATGCAATTTTAACTCAAATTAATGATGTAATTTAAATTGACACACGTTGATTACATGTGAAGCATTTTCTCTAGAAATGTCGGGTGGGAGTTGTAAAAGAGAGTTAAATTCTGTTTGAAATTAGGTTCTCGGTCGGTGTTTTTTCTAAATGCATTTATGAAACGTCCCTTGATATCTTACTAAAGAGTTTTCTTTTTATTTCTTGTTTTTATTTCATTAAAAATAAATGTCATTAGGCCTTTAGCTTTTAATAGTTTATTTATACAAATAGATTAACGCAAATTTTAGAAAGTGTTTTGCTGAACAGTATTAAATTATACTTTTTATGTGACTTTTTCGGCACCTCTATTTCCTTGGCGTGTCAAATTTCTTTGTATCTGTCAGCCCTTGCCTATCTTATTATCACCTCCTACAAAGTTTTGTGTATTGAGCTATTTCAGCGATTATCTTAACACTAGACTTTCTTACTCCATTGACCTTGTATCACAATTATCTTGAAAATTCTTAAGAGGAAAATTGTCAAAAAATTATGGTAAATTCAAACAATAAAGTATAATGAAGTTATTTTTTAAAAAGCAACATCTATATATATTGATAATTCTGTTTATTTTTCTGCCTGGATAATTTTTAAAATTGTTCTTTATTCTTAGAATTTATACACTTGAATATGATAGGTCTTATTGCATGCCTCGTTTTTTTGCTGCTCAGCTAACATTTTCAATCTGATCACACAAATTATTTTACTCAGCTCTAGAAGTTGCAGTTCTAATGTATTTCATTTTTTTCTTTATGTGATGTCCTTGCTTCAAGTATTTCTATTTTGTGATCTTAGATCTTGTAATTGTGTTCGTTTTGTATTATTACAAATTATGCTGCTTGAATTGTTTGCCTCGTCTTGTAATTCTGAGTTTGAGATAGTTTTTTAAACATTTATTTTTCTAATTCAGCATTTTGTTCTTTATCCAGTCTTCTACCTATTAACCTACTTTTTAAGCTGTATGATCATAGTTATCTGAGGAAAATCTTTCTAAATCTCAGGATTGTGTATTTTGTTTTGTATTTTCAATTTTCATTTTTGTCCCTTGGCGTGTGTGCCCTACATATTTAACTCAATATAGTACTTAATATAGATTTTCCAAAACATCACTAGTTATTTGCAGGAGTATTTGTTTTCATGTCTTATATTAATTCCCTCTTTTTAATATGTTTATTCTCAGAATGTAGTGACTTTCTTCTATTTTGTCATCCTTACAAAATATCATGTCTCTTTTTTACAAAATGTGGAGTTAAACTGTGTTTTCTTTGAAGTCTTTATGTGCCCCTATTTAAAGTGTTCAGGTCCAGATGAAAAGAGAAGAGGAACACAGCTCTACTTTTGCCCTACTTAGTACTCCTCAAGGAGGCTGAGAGGAACCCACATTATGTTTGGGTGATCTCTGAAATCTGCTTTCCAGGAAAATAGGTAGCATCAATATTTGTTTCCTACTGACATCCCCACATTCCACTCTTGCTACACACCAAAAGCATTTTAAAATCTAATTTTAATCTTGCTATACTATATTCCCTCATATAAATGCAAAATATGAACATCCAGTTTTATTTACACAAGTAATCAATGACTAGAGTCCCAAAGGGAGAAAAGAGGAATTCAAACATACATAGAAAGCTAAATATCTCCATATCCACTTCCTACCCATTCTTTCTTTAGAGAGGCTACTGCCATCACTTTATTCTAGATGATTCTAGACTTGTTCCTATTTTCTTTATTCTTTTCCCAAGTAATTTCATCCTAACAGCTTTACATTCCATTTATATGCCATTGATGTCCAAATTTTATCCTCAGTTCTAACTTCTAAATCCTTTAATTGTGCATGCAAATAGTATTCTAGAAAAATGCTTTGTACAAGATGGACACTCAATAAATATTTATTGAATGGACTACACACACAGTATAATATGCAAAGTATATATATATATATATACACACACACACACACACACACACACGTCTACACATACACAGAGAACACACACACCTATATAATAGTTTTGTTCTCTGAAGTGTGTTTATACAAATAATAGCATTCTATATGGATTTTTTAAATTTATTTTCCATTTAACAATAAATTTTGAAAACCATTCTGTGTTAGTATGTAATGATCTTATCTTGTTATTCTTACCTATGCATAGTGTTGCATTTTATAATACTTCTTATTGCTAGACATTTGTTGGCTTTTTTTTTTTTTTTTTTTTTTTGGCCATTACAATCAATTCTGCAGTGGCCGTCCTTGTACACATGGTCTTGTGCAGTAAACTAGTTATTGGCAGTTTACATGTTCTTGCACGTGTATTTCTATAGGTTAGATACTGAGAAGTGTAATCTCTAAAAGAAAGAACATGTGCATGCATTTTCTATAAGAAATTTCCATCTTACTATAAGTTTGTAATTTAAAAGTTATGTGAGGCACACCTGGAATTCTGAGGGCACAAAACCTCTAGCCTAGTACACGTGCAGCATATATATTTATGCGGTCTTACAAAATATATTACCAAACTTTTCTTGAAATTGGGAAGTCTGTTCTTTCACAGCTAATAAAAATTTGTAATGAAAGGAAAATAGAAGAAGTGGGCCAAAGCCACCAGTAAGTTGATATGATGTATATTTTTACTGGACAACATTTTTTTAAAAATTAGGCATGCTGAAACGTCAACAAGGATAGAGATAAAAAGGAAGAATATTTCATGAAGGTACGAAAACAAACAGGATGGTTCATCTTCTGCTTCAAAAATTTACTGCTGTTATCAGACAGAATATTTGGGGATCATAAAGTTTCTTACAATTTATCGCATAAAATGAAGACAGAAAATGAAGATAATGGCAGTTTTAGTCAAAATTTCAAAGTCCTGGATTGCTGCACATCTTTTATCCTGTAACTTATAGGTTCATAACAGAGAGGTATTTTGAATAGTTGTCTTAAGTAAATAATACAACCACATTTATGTGTTATCTTACTAGTCATGAAAAATTATACTATTGTGTAAACTTGACTTATTAAGGTAAGAAAATAAGGAATGCATTTAGAAAACTTTTTAGTAGAAATGGATGAGTGAGAATATATAATGTGCAATGTTCCAAAATCAATGATCCCATATCACTTTTCGTTTCTGAAAGTGGATAAAAGCAAGGTATAAATGCAGAGTAAATGCTGTCCTGGAAGTTATGGGACTGGATGTAGCTTGAACAAACCTTGGCGGGCAGTGGATAGCACAGGAGAGGAGGAGAACCTTGTGCCAGTATGAAGCCTGGAGCCACGGGGTCAGTGTACAAAAGAGGGTTGAAAATTTAAAAACATAGATTTTTAACTTGCTATCTACTGATATGGAAGGGCAATAAAAATAGCAAACTTGCATTATAGAATTATAGTTTAAGAATTAGGGAAGTTAACTTGGGCAAAGTTATTAAGCAACATATGTTATTAAGTTGCTTAAAGTTATTAAGCCCGTATGGTGATCTTTGTTAGCCGTAATACAAATTAAAGTGTCCACATGAGCCTGTGCAAGTCACTTTGCCTTCTCTCTCAAGTTCCTCATTTGTTAAGTGAGGAGAGGGGCACTCTGATCTCTAAGTTATTGTCTAGTTTTTCATTCCATAACTCTATGTTCTTCAGAATCAAAAGGAGACTGATGCTCAACCAACTTTTTCTGCAGCCTGAATGCATTTAACGTTTTTTCCCTTGCCAAGAACAAATGCCTAAATGTGGCTGATATGGGTATCTATAAATACAGTAAATTAGAGCAACTGCTAGGAAGGCAAGTGGAAAGGATATCAAACAACCCCTTTCACAATCATTCCAGGTAACCGAGAATGCTGTTGACATAGTTGATCTTATGCTATGCTCTAGCCTTTTTTCCCTTTCCAAGTATTCATTAAAAACTTAATGTCATGAAATAGGTGGGATAAATCTTAAATGGTTAAAGCCAGTGGAATTTTGACTGCAGTCACAAATGCCCATATCTTATTGCTTGCTAAATTCCATTTTTATCTCTGTAATATATCTGGTTTTCAGTATGTCAGGGAAAATGAACTTTTCCACCACTCTAGCAAACATTCTTTATGTTCATTGAATATATTTTCCCTACAAAATTGACAGTGCCTTGAAAATATATAGAACCTATGATTTTTCCTGTCCCACAAGAGTTCAATGTACATCCCTTAACTCTGAACTCATGCTTTCAGATTCTTTTTGTTGTTGTTGTTAACAATTTTCATATAACTGGGTCTATCAGACATATATTATGCAATTTCCTTTATGAGTTAAATGCTGAAAATGTGTATTTAAAAATATAGTTGTTATAGCATCTTCACTAATGATATCACAAATTAATTACTGATTTTTAAAAGGTATATTTATTAATCCACTTTAAGTTTTGATAGCTTATAATGATGTCTAGAAGACTACGTCCATGTGCGCCCGTGTGTGTGTGTGTGTGTATGTTATAGACTGAAAGAATATATAAACTGAGATTCTGGAGCCAATAAGTCTTATGAATTTTGTAAGAAAAAATAAAAATTAACATAAAAAATAAGAGACTTAATTCTCCCTATTAAAAATAAGAGAGGAAACACCTCCAAACCTCCCTCCCTAGCTTTTCTTTTTAGAGTATTTAGTTTAGAAAATGTTGTTAGTGCTGTCTGCAGTTAATCCTCTTGAAAACTAGATAAGTTTTATTGTCACCTTTATATCCAAGAAAATCTTTCTGAAGAACATGGAAGCCATCTTATTGAAATGTAAATACCAAACGAGATACTACACTTTTTCCCAGTTTCTCTGGGAAAGTAGGAGACTAACTTCAGTAAGTTCCTTGTTCTAACTTGTAAAATTACCTCATGTCATAAATATAGGAGTTTGCTTTTTGTATTTACCTCTGGATAGGGTCAATGAACTAATATAGATGGTCACTCCAATTACCAGGTAAAGTGAGAATGGACCATGTGTATACAATGGTGGCATCAAGTACTCTTGCTTGATGACTAGTTATTGTTTATCTTTTTATGGTAGCTATATTAATTTTATTTTATATTTTAATTTTTTATTTTTTATTTCCATAGGTTTTTGGGGAACAGGTGGTGTTTGGTTACATGAATAAGTTCTTTAGTGGTGATTTCTGAGAGTTTGGTGCACCCATCACCCAAGCAGTGTACACTGTACACAATATGTAGTATTTTATCCCTCACTGCCCCCCACCCTTTCCTTCAAGTCCCCAAAGTCTAATCTTGTGCATTTGTGTCCTCATAGCTTAGCTCCAATATATGAGTGAGAACATACACTGTTTGGTTTTCCATTCCTGAGTTACTTCACTTAGAATAATAGCCTCTAATTCCATCCAGGTTGCTGTGAATGCCATTATTTCATTCCTTTTTATGGCTGAGTATATACCCACCCCGCCACACACAAACTTTCTATATCCACTCATTGACTGATGGGCATTTGGGCTGGTTCTGTATTTTTGCAATTGCAAATTGTGCTGCTATAAACATGCATGTGCAAGTATCATTTTCGTATAATGACTTCTTTTCCCCTGAGTAGATACCTAGTAGTGGGATTGCTGGATCAAATGGTAGATCTACTTTTAGTTCTTTAAGGAATTTCCACAGTTTTCCATAGTGATTGTACTAGTTTACATTCCCACTAACAGTATAAAAGTGTTCCCTTTTCACTGCACCCATGACAACATCTATTATTATTATTATTTTTTTATTATGACCATTCTTTCAGGAGTGAGGTAGTATCACATTATGGTTTTGATTTGCATTTCCCTGATACTTAGTGATGTTGAGGATTTTTCCATATGCTTACTGCCTATTTGTATATCTTCTTTTGAGAATTATCTATTCATGTCCTTAGCTAACTTTTTGATGGGATTGATTGTTTTTTCTTGCTGATTTTTTTGAGCTTTTTGTAGAATCTGGATATTAGTCCTCTGTTGGATGTACAGATTGTGAAAATTTTCTCCCACTCTGTGGGTTGTCTGTTAACTCTGCTGATTATTTCTCTTGCTGTGTAGAAGCTTTTTAGTTTAATTAAGTCCCATTTATTTATCTTTGTTTTTGTTGCATTTGCTTTTTAGATCTTGGTCATCAAGTCTTTGCCTAAGCCAATGTCTTGAAGAGTTTTTCTTCTAGAGTCTTTACAATTTCAAGTCTTAGATTTAAGTCTTTGATCCATCTTGAGTTGATTTTTGTATAGGTGAGAGATGAGGATCCAGTTCCAAAAGCATTTTCTTCTACACTGGCTCCATGTATAGGGCCAGCACCTGTGACTCTTTGTAGGCAGATGGGCTCTGGCTACCAGAACTACTTGGCCTAGAGTCCCAAGAGCTAACTTTGAGAATGTAGATCCTCTCCAGGAGCAGCTATTAATCAATGACTGATGAAGGCAAAGGGTACACACATTCCAGCTTCCTGTACCTCTAATCAAAAATATTCTGAGGTACAAGCTCCACTATTTGTGGAGCTCCCTCACAGAATTAAGTCGGGGTAATTTTGTTCAATATGGCACCCTTGGTTGGCCTCTTACCTTTGGGCATTCCTGGTCCCAGTTCCCTGCGAGCATTTCCTGGGAATATTACTATTGATAATGTTCACAGATTTTCATCTTAGAGTCTACTGAATTCAACCTAAGAAATGCTCTCTACTTTCATCTACTTTCACTTCCAGTTTCAGCAGGGAGACAGATTCACTTTTGCCACACACAGTGCTATCACTAATTGGAGGATTACTGCTCCATCTGGAAACCAGAAGAGAACTGTCATCCCAGGGCTCGGTTTCCATTTCAGGTATGTGCTTAAAAAGAGCATTGTTTTTCTAGAGATGTTAAAAGAAGATGACCTAAGTGGTTAGTGAGTATGAACTCTGACTGAAAATTGACATTGGATGACCCTGAAATAGAAAAAGAACTTTAATAGAAAAATTGTGGAAATTCAGATAAATCCTGTAGTTTAGTTAACAATATTGTGCAACAGTTAATTTTCTGGTTCTGATCATTATACTGTGGTTATGTAAGATGGTGACGTTAGTGGATGTGATGTGAGGGATGTAAGGAAGCTCTGTGTACTAAAATTAGTTTAAAATCAAACGTTTTAAAAATATATTTGTAATCTAGAATGAAGCAGTAGGAAAAACATGTTTTAGAGCCATTTCATAGCTTTCAAAGGAGTGAAAACTTGAAAACAACTGTAGGGCAAACAGTGTTCAGAAAAACACATTCCTGATAGGCCTTTCAGTTATGCAAATGTAAGGCAGAGATTAGCATCAGAAAAGATGTTTGAATGCTGTCTAGAAGAAGTGCAACTGCTCTGAGCAATGATCTAAATGGTTGTAGATGTTTTACCCAGAGTTGCAACTCTGCAGACTATTTTTCCTTTAGAGAAGAGTTTCTTTTTAAACCACTGGTTGAGGCCGCACTGTGCTGGGAGACTGAGATTTCTTTAGCTATAGGTCTGTGTGTGTGGAAACATGCCCACATGCATGCATGTATATGTTTATGTGACTAGTTCAACTAGTTCATTGCAGAAAAATAAAAGGGAGACTGAGAAGACTAAAGGAAAGACATACAAGCTTGTCTACACTTTCCTGGAGAGAAGGTTAACACAAAAGGACTAGAACTGACAAAGTAAAATTAAACCAGGAATATTCCATGCATGGCACAAAGGCTAACTATTGCAGACTTCGAGAAATGTATTGAGGCTGGACTTCTTGGTTCTGATATCTCTATCTTGTTGGGCCTGGATTCAGAATAATAAAACATGCTGAAATCCTCAGTCTTTGATAGAGGTAAACTATCATGGATGACATGGAGACAAGTTGGCATTTGGGGGGAAAAGCCCTACGATGAGGAAAGAAAGCATATTATAAGTGCCAGAGTACCATCATGCAATTTGAGACTTAAAGAGGTGCTAATTGCAGGTGTTCATTATTCCTTTTGTTTTTTATACCTATGTGTTATTTCGAATTTTCATTAAAGTCTCATTAAAGATTACAACCTTACCTCAAACTGTCTTGTAGGAATAGAGGCTACCTGGAAGGGAGATAAAAGCCAGAGTCACCACATTCTGAGGACAGAATACTGGTCATGGTGGTGGCTTACAAGAGGTTAATGGTCTCAAAAGAAAAGGAGGTGATGGGCAGAAGAACTACTGGTGCTCACAGGCAGGAGGAAATGGACAAATGGAGGAAAGATGGTAACAGAGGTCCAGGAAGTTACAAAAGCTGACACCTGAATATTTTTGACACAAAACTCTGAAAAATAAGGGATATTGGAAAGGCTGAAGCATTCTATTATAAGAGATCCCTAGACCTTACTTTTGCATAAACTTATAAACGCTGAAGATATATGTGCACATCATCGGCTTTTATTCAGGCTTCTTTTCATCTCCTGAGACTGCTATCACAGTGGAAAATTTTAGTGCTCATACTGATGACAGCAACTGTTAAAGAAAAACTTATTCTGACTCTTGTAAGGGAGACTTTATTCAGGACTATTGCAATAGGTGTTGAAACTATTGCAACTGGGGAGAGAAATTGGGCTCAGCTCCAAATACAGCAAAGACAGCAGGGGTTTATAGTCAGTAAACAGAATGGGGTTTCAGTTGACAGAACATTTTCAGGAGACATCAAGTGTAGGGGATTCTGGCTGATCTGACTTCATAGGATTCTTGCTAACTGCAGGTCAGTGTGATCAGATACAAAGGGTGGGGGATAAGGAATTCAATTGGATATCAAGTGTGATAAGATAGCGAAAGTGAGAAATCCTCCGAAAACAGACTTACCAGGATTCTTGCAACAAGGTGACTATGCAGGCCCAGAAAGGACAGGGGCCAAGTTTGAAGCCTAGTGGAGAAACTCAAAGTAGCCTTACTAAAGTTTCGTCAAGGAGAGAGTCTTTGTCACCAAATATCTTAGCCCTGTAAAAATTGCCCAGCCTGTCTAAGCCACAGATCAGTTATCTGATACAGAATGCAGGCAATGTTGTTTAGCTTATGAGATTATTTTTAGGATTCAATAACAGTATATGTAAGAACTTCATAAGTGCTCAAATATTTTCTCCCTTTCCCTTTCAATGCAGTCCAAAACTGAATATACGTAGTACTTTTCCTAAGCAACCATCCTTTCTTTTATTTTGATAAGGGCTGCATTGGAGAGGATACTCCTGACTTTGATTTGGAAAATTTGATGTTCATAGTAAACGACTGGATTTAGAATGCTAACCTAATAAGCATTTTTAATTAGTGTTAGACACATAGCAGACATGCAACAGATCCTTACTGATTAAGTTAACAGTAGAATGCTAATTAAAAGCGGGAAGGCTGAGAAAGGTCAAGAGAAAAATCAAAATAAAAGAAGCTAACACCAGTGTCTCTTCGTTAGAGGACCACACTCAGGCTGTTGAATCCTACTTTAGCTGTGTGAATGGAAAGTCAGGAGTATCTCCTCCAGTGCAGTCCTTAACCCATGACTGACAAGTGTGAGAAGGCATTACCTACCCTTTTTCCAGAGCTCCATTACAGGTCAACACTGAATTCACTCTCTACAAAAATTATCTAAATACTGCACCCCTGCTTGTTCTCCATCCCTTCCCAGTCTGTCTCACTCCCCTATTGACTTTACTTGGGCATGCTTCCTAAATATATATATTTTTACACAAATGTTTTGTCTTGGGGTCTATGTCTGAGAAACCAAATGTAATACAACTTCCTAGGAAGTAGTCCTAGAAAGCAGTCCTAGGAAGCAGACCCCCAGAATGGGATTCTGATTTAGATCACTCTCCAGTCAGATGCCAATAGGGACCCCATTTTGTTGGTAAGTAAAGACTGATGACTTGTGGCATGGATTACAATTGTTAAGACTTTAACTTATGGTGAATTGGAATGAGATAGAGGTTAAAGGAGATGTTTAAGAGATATGAGAAAAAAAAATCATTATAAGGACTATGCTGAAAAATTAAAATGGCAAGCTCTATAGATAAAAAGGTGAGAGTCTCCAAGAGTGTTTTTTAGAAGATAAATAATGGAGTTAAGTACGAGAACTTAAGGCTACAGTAATCAAAACAGCATGGTACTGATACTAAACAGATATACAGACCAATGGAACAGAACAGAGACCTCAGAAATAACACCATACATCTACGACCGTCTGATCTTCAACAAACCTGACAAAAACAAGCATGGGGAAATATTCCCTATTTAATAAATGGTGCTGGGAAAACTGGCTAGCCATATGCAGAAAACAGAAACTGGAACCCTTCCTCACAGCTTATATAAAAATTAACTCAGGATGGATTAAAGACTTAAATGTGGGCCAGGGGTGATGGCTCATGCCTGTAATTCCAGCACTTTGGGAGGCTGAGGCAGGCAAATCGTGAGGTCAAGAGATCAAGACTACCCTGACCAACATGACGAAACCATCTCTACCAAAAATACAAAAATTAGCTGGGCGTGGTGGCACATGCCTATAGTGCCAGATACTCAGGAGGCTGAGGCAGGAGAATCAGTTGAAACTGGGAGGCCAAGGTTGCAGTGAGTTGAGATTGCACCACTGCACTCCAGCCTGGTGACAGAGTGAGACTCCATCGCAAAAACAAAACAAAACAAAACAAAAGACTTAAATGTAAAACTCAAAACCATAAAAACTCTAGACAAAAACCTAGGCAATACCATTCAGGACACAGGCATGGGCAAAGACTTCATGACTAAAACACCAAAAACAATTACAACAAAAGCCAAAATTGACAAATGAGATCTAATTAAACTAAAGAGCTTCTGCACAGCAAAAGAAACTAGCATCAGAGTGAACAGGCAACTACAGAATGGGAGAAAATTTTTGCAATCTACACGTCTGACAAAGGTCTAATATCCAGAATTTACAAGGAACTTAAGTTTACAAGAAAAAAACAAACAACCCCATCAAAAAGTGGGCAAAGGATATGAACAGACACTTCTCAAAAGAAGACATTTATGCAGCAAACAAACATATGAAGAAAGCTCAACATCACTGGTCATTAGAGAAATGCAAATCAAAACCACAATGAGATACCATCTCATTGGTGATTTAATAATTGCCAGTCAGAATGGTGATTATTAAAAAGTCAGGAAACAATAGATGCTGGTGAGGCTGTGGAGAAATAGGAACACTTTTACACTGTTGGTGGGAGTGTAAATTAGTTCAACCATTGTGGAAGACAGTGTGGCAATTCCTCAAGGATCTAGAACCAGAAATACCATTTGACCCAACAATCCCATTACTGGGTACATACCCAAAGGATTATAAATCATTCTACTATAAAGACACATGCACACATATGTTTACTGCAGCATTATTCACAATAGCAAAGACTTGGAATCAACCCAAATGCCCATCAGTGATAAACTGGATAAAGAAAATGTGGCACATATACTATGCAGCCATAAAAAAGGATGAGTTTATGTCCTTTGCAGGGACATGGATGTAGCTAGAAACCATCATTCTCAGAAAACTAACACGTGATCAGAAAACCAAAGACCACATGTTCTCACTGATAAGTGGGAGATGAACAATAAGAACACATGGACACAGGGAGGAGAACATCACACACTGGGGCCTGATGAGGAGTGGGGAGCAAGGAGAGGAAGAGCATTAGGACAAATACCTAATGCATGTGGGGCTTAAAACCTAGATGACAGGTTAATAGGTGCAGCAAACCACCACGGCCCATGTACACCTATGTAACAAACCTGCACATTCTGCACATGTATTCTGGAACTTAAAAATAAAAAGTATGAGAGCTTATTATCACAAGTACAAAAATAGCATGTTTCTGGTACCCAAATAGACAGATTAATTTTTTTTTTAGAAAAAGATATGTGTGTTACAATATCATTGCACTTGAGGATATTGACCAGTTTGGTATCGAATTCTGCCATTTTATTCCAGCATTCTTTTTTTTATGACTCTTTATACTAATCACCTAGCCTCCTTTTAATCAGCTTTACCATTCTAATGGTTCCTTCAATAATGACTAAATAATAATTAGAATGTGCTCACTACATATTTGTATTGGAGTCTTGTTTTTAACTTAGAAAATTGTATGTTGACGCTAGGTATATCTGAAGTATAATGAGGAGGGTAGTCTAGAGGGAGCTTAGAAATTAGGAAGTAGAAAATGAGGACAGAGAGTTATGGAGGGTGAGTAGGGAACAGACTATGAAGGGCTTTGCTGGCCTTTGAGAGGAATTACATTTTTACTCTGAGGGATGTGGGAAGCATGAAAAAGTTTTGAGCAAAGGAATATTAATATCTGGCTTGGGTTTTATGGCATAGTCTGTATATGCAACAACCCAAATGCACAAACCATAAAAGAAAAAAAAAGTCATTTAACCTACATAAAAATTAAGATCTTCAGAAAAGCTAAAATGTTATGAATGATAGTTAAAAACTATTAAAAAAAACCTTTGAGAAAATATTTGCATATATCTGACAAAAATTATCACCACTTCAGTAAAATAGCTAATTTTGTTAAAGCATTTTGGTCAGATCCCAAGATTCCAAACATTCAAATCTTATTCTGTCATCTTGTTTCCTTATTCATTTTCAATAATATTGAATTGAGTATTAGCAAACATGATGCAGCACAGGGCTTAAATGTGCTTGCACAGTTTGGTTTACTCATCTGCTTTCCTGTGATCTTCATAAGAAGAGCACTTCCAGGTCCCAGGTTCCAGAATGATGAAACACATGGAGCAGATTTGAATCTGACTAGATTTCTGGAGACCAGCATAGCAGATTGACAGCTTATACACAGATCTGTAAATAGGGAAAATAAATATTTGCCATTTTAAGTATCTGAGATTTTGAAGCTGTTTGTTATACAGCTTAATTGTATCAAGACTCAATTGTATCAGACACATTCTAGGAGCCTCAAAGTTTAAAATAAAAGAGTTATACACTTGTGTCTTCCAAAGCCCCCTCCTTAGTATCAGGAATCTGTCTCACTATTGCAGCCATATGCATGAAAAGAAAGAAGCAACCTCAAAATCTTGGACCTCCTTGGGGGGAAAAATAAGCTTTATTTTTATAATCCAACAAATGTCCTTTAATAATGACATTGGTTCACAACAATTTAGGACTTACTATTTGCGAGGAGCTATTCTCAGCTGCTAACATACTATTTAAGAGAACAGACTCTAAAGCCATGCTATCTAGGATCAAATTTCAGCTCTGTCACTCATTAGCCATATACTATTGGCAAGATAGTTAACTTCTCTATACTTCACCTTTCTCATTGATAAATTGTGGATGATAGATTGTACTTTCTATCTCATGGGATTGTTGTGAATATTAAATGTGATAATATATAGAGGGTACCTAGAACAGTATCTAGCACAGTGTCTATTGTTATTATCATCACATTTATTAATTTGTTTAATAACTGAAACAACCTGAGGAGGTAGTTATGATTATGGTCATTGCAAAAAGCTTCTTTGAACAGAAAGGTAGGATCGTAAATGGGTTAAAAGCAACTCTTCAACCTCTATCACTTATTTGATACTGACATTTTGCAAAATGCTTAACTTCTTTGTGTCCAAGGTTTTTTAATCTATAAAATAAGTGTGACAATAATAATACCCCCCTTTAGGGACAATACAAGGAGGGGTATTATGCTTTTGGGTATTGGAGAGCAGTTTGGGTGAAGAAGCCCTAAATCCTTAATGTGTGTGTATATATATATATGTGTGTGTGTGTGTGTGTGTGTGTGTGTGTGTATACATACATATATATACACAGATATATATACATGTATATACAGATATATATACATGTATACAGATATATATATACACATATATACACATATATACAGACATATATATATATATATACCTCTTGCAGATAAAATTTTAAATGATAAAACATACCAATAAAAAAACAGGCAAATGGCATGGACTGATAGTTGACAAAAAAGAAAAGAAAATGATTTGATCTGTAAACTCTTAAAAATTAAGCTCAATATTAAAAATGCAATTTGAAATGAGACGCCATTTGTTGATCATCAAATTGGAACATAATTTAAAAGTGATTCTGCCTGTGCAGGTGATCTGTGACTGAAACATCTTCTCTAACATTGCTGGCAGGGAAGGAGGTAGGTGGGTTAGGGAGTACAAACTGAGACAACCCTTCAGCCAGGCAAGTTTGTAATATGGATCAATAGATTTAAAGCATAATAGCCAAAAAAGCCCATCAGCAATTCAATGGATACATACATTTTGGTATAGGCATACAAAAGAATAACATTCAACAATAAAAAAAATTATCATATATATATATATACACACACATATACAGCATATATATGTACACACACACATATATCTCAACCCATATAAAGCTCAAAAACATGTTGAGTAAAAGAAGCCAGAAACAGTCATATATCTTGTATGATTCCATTTAAATGTTCAGTGCAGGCAAATAAAAGCTATGGTGACAAAAATGAAAACAGTATTTTTTTTTTCTGGCAGGTTTAGCAGGAAGAGGGAGAATTGGCTGGAAAAAAAGGAAATATTCTAGGGTGATGAAATATTCTATATTTTGGTATATGTACTATTAATGTCCCCATTTTACAAATGAGGAAACTAGTGGTAGTTGCATGGATATATTTCTCAAACCTTTTTTTTTATTGTACTCTTAATATTTTGGCATTTTATTGCATGTAAATTTAGCTCAAATTTAACAGAAGGGGGCAGGGATCTTGGATGCATACAGCTTGCCTTAGTAATTTCAGTATGTACTAGTAGTATATCTAAGGTAAAAGATATATATATACACACACACACATACACACACCATACATACACACTAACAATTATTGAGTTAAATAAGCTGACATTTCTGTCTTCATCTGTTTGGGTTGCTATAACAAGATATCATAACCTAGGTAGCTTATAACCAACAGAAATTTAATTTTTGCAGTTTTGGATCCTAAGAAGTCCATGATCAAGGCACTGGCAGATTTGGTGCCTGGTGAGTGCCTGTTTCTAATAAATGGAAACTTCTCACTGTGTCCTTGCATGGTAGAAGGGGCAAGGCAGCTTTCTGAGGACTCATTTATAAGTAGACTAATCTCATTCATAATGGCTCTGCCTCCCAAAGGCCCCATCCCCTAAGACCATCACCTTGGTGACTAGATTTTCATATATGAATTGGGGATGGAGGCACAAACATTCAGATCATAGCAATTTCTAACAGTACATGACATGGTACTCACTCAAGCCAGGAAACGGGAATACCCTTTTCTCATTTCTAGACATGTTTCAAAATATCCTAAAACAGATTAGCTCACATGAAAAAATAATGGCTTAAAAATTTTTGGTTTGCTTCTCACTAATTGCTTTAGAATATATCTGACACTTCTCCAACAGTTTTTTTTCTCTTCTAAAGCACTGTAAAGCTCGTTGATAGAATGCAGACCTTCTAGAATATATAAATTCAAATAGCTTAGCATCTCCAAAAGTAAAATGCCCATTGAAACTACTCTATATGATACTATAATGGTTGATGTATGTTCTAAATTAGCCCAAATCTAGACTTATGAGACTGGGCTAGAAATATGAATGACACAAGAGGTTGTAAGAGAACTAAAAATTATCTCATGAACTTCAAGATCATCCCCTGGGTCCCAGAATTAACAATGAGAATACAGAGAATGCTTCTGAGAAAACTGAAAGTAACTACTTCATTTTGTGACCTGCCTTCTGTATGCATCTGATAATTTTGGTTTCCAAAAAGATTGTTACTAAGTAGTATAAATCATGTACATTGGGCAGAATGTGTGCTGAGATACCTTCTAGGCACCTGAGCTGCCAAGAGCTTACCACACGTGGAGCTGCTTCCTGCTTGGATGTCATACCTGGAAGCTGTGATAACAATGGCAGCCTATGGGTCAGTTCTACAGCTGATGAAAATATGAAGAGGTGATGGTCATTTTTCTGGAAGAGTTTCTGGACTTCTCAGGCAGTCACTTCTGTATTGTCCAAGAACCTCCTCTGAAGGAATGGAATAAACTGGGTCTGATGGTTAATTTTAGGTGTCAACTTGACTGGATAAAGGAATACCTAGAGACTTGGTAAAGTATTACTTCTGGGTGTGTCTGTAAGGGTGTTTCTAGAGGAGATTCGTGTGTGAGTCAGTGAACTGAGTGGGTAAGATCCCTCTCTAAATGTGGGTGGACACCATCCAATCAGCTGAAGGCCTGGATAGAACCAAAAAAACAAAAAACAAAAAACAAAAACAAACAAACAAAAAAAAAAAAACAAGAGAAAATAATTTCCTCCTCTCTCTTTCCTAGACCTGGGACACACTTCGGCCCTTGGACATCAGAACTTCAGGCTTTTTGGCCTTAGGATTCCAGGACTTACACCAGCAACTCCCTGGGTTCTCAGAGGTATTTGGCCTTGGCCTGAAAGTTACACATTAGCTTTCCTGGTTCCAAAGACTTCGGACTTGGACTGAGCCATGCTTCCAGCATTCCAGGGTCTCCAGCTTAGAGATGGCCTACCACAGGACTTCTCAGCTTCCACAATCATTGTGTGAGCCAATTCTCCTAACAAATTCCCTCTCATCCATCCATCTATCATCTATCTTATCTATGTATCTATCTATCCAACCATCCATCCATCTTATTGGTTCTATCTTTCTGGAGAACCCTAATATACTAGGTAAATTTGAAAAACATAAAAGATTTTACTGTCCAGTTGATTTAATATATTTTTTACTTTAGTCTTCTGTTACAATAAAACATGCTTAATTACATTATCATCCACCAGGTGAGAAGCTTTAAAGACCTTATTGTTGAAAAAATAAGATAAAAAGCATTCACAAACTACCTTCACAAGAATATATAAATACAAATACAAATATATGAGTTCATTTATTTTACACATATATTTTGTGTATTTATTAACCAAAAATAAGGCACCTCTTTCAAGCTCTTGGCATGATTAACAATGTGGCTATTAATTTTGAAAATATGACGTGCTTAACAATAGTAGTAATTTTCAATTTATATGTATAGAAGTATTTTCCAAAGAGAAGATACCAGCTTTGAATAGATAATAAAACTATTAAAAAAAGCTTGTATTAAAACATTTTAATCATGTCATAATGTCTTTTAGTGCTTAACTTTTAATGCTTTTCTTCAGTGGTTTTCCCAACTTATAAAAATTTAGTTTTATATAAATTTTTTAATTTGATCTTATTAGGAAAAAATCAAACATACTCTAACGTATATGTATTTTATATATATAGTACATAAAATATATGTGTGTGTGTGTGTGTGTATATATATATATATACACACACACATATATATGTTATATTCTTAAAACTCAGAAGGCGTTGGTTTAGTGCCTAGGATCTGTTTTGACTTTAGACCTTGATTCCTCTTAATGATAGTATATTAAGTATTACTAGTAAGATAGCAAAAATAATCCCAAACAAGTACGACTTAAATTTCCTCTATTATGCTTACAAATTATATTTATAGTCCTTGAATAGTTGGTTTGTTTATTTTAGAAAATTTACTTTTAAAAATATAATGAAAATTCCTGTTTTTATCTTTTTAGGAGAAAATAATTCCCCTTTTCTCTACTGAATGAAAATTCATGCAGAACATTAAGCACACACAGATAAACACACACGAGTATATAAAACTTGTAAAGTCAAAGATAAGAATGTCTGTCTCCACGTGCTATCCTTGGATGGGGGCCCCTTCTCCTGGTAGCTCCTAAGATATTTCCACAGCCTCTTAGGGCTTTTACAGGACTGTTTGAAAACTACTCTCATAGATAGATATGGTTGTTCAGTTTTCATTCATTTCTAGTATCAGCAAATACAGATGGTCCTTATCAACTTACATTATTTAAAGCATAAAACATACATTGAAATATACTTCCTGTTCTTTGCAATTAGTTATTTAGAAACACAAATGTCACTTGAATTCAGATTTGCGGCCAGAGAGAATAATAAACTTTTCAGAAATAATTTCTAAAACATTCAAAATCTTTAAGGATGTTGGTTCATTTCTATGAAATACAGCTGGAAATACAATTCTATTGTTCTGTTTTGGCTTGCATGGTGCCTACAGCTCCTCATAGCTCTGTGTGTGTTGGTGATTATGTGAAATAGCACAGCACAGCATGAGTTCTGTAGTCCTCACTTCTGCCAACCTCCTGCATTTACTTCATAGTTGCTCACCTCTCAGGATCAAGCTGACTGGTCACACCTTATATATCTGCAGTCTCAAAGGCAAATAGCCACCAATGAGCATGATCTGTATGAGCCAGAAAAGTATGTGTCTTTTCAACAGAGTTGACACTGGCCCTTCCTTGTTTGTCGTTTGGTGGATGGCCCAGCTAGAATCTTTTGAATGATCTCTCTAGTGACAAGATATCTGAATTCCTGCAATTCTGAAAAAAAGTTAAATTCAATTTTCCTCTGTTAGATCAACAAGTATAGCACGGAAATTTCCAATAGCATATTACTTTTGTAATTATCTTTTTACTGGTTTTCTAGAATAAAAATCTATAAAACTTTGTACCTTGTGGAGTCTACAAGTCTATTTCTCCTCTCATTTACCATTTTTAAGAAACCATGAACACAGGGTCAGGGCCAACCTGTTGAGTCAATCCATAACAATAAACACCCTGACCATCCACCATAGACCTTCTCAGAAGGGAGAAAGTTGATAAACAACTCTTGGCTGAAGATAAGTGAAGAGGCTGACTAGCAATGGCCACTAGCCTACTTCTCTTGCATTCTTTATCGAAATGTCACTATTCTATAACTAATGTTATAAGTCTTATCAGAAAAGGAGGTTAAATTATATCAAAACTATTTTGCCATCTATCAAGGTATGTTTTTGTCCTTTTAAGTACTAAGATGAAAATGTATGCCATACCTTTCCAGTGACTGACTCATTCTTGAATTCCTAAAATAAACCCTTGTTAGTGATGTATTTTACTTTTGTTATAGTCCTAGATTAGATTTCTTAAAACTTGATTTTGTACTCTTTAAGTACGCATACTCTGTTTCCCAGATTTTATTATTGGAATTATGCTAATTTATACAGTTAATTGAAAAGGCTTCCTTGATTCTCTTTTTTCTAGAAAACTACATAGTGAAGGAATTATTGACACCTTGAAGTTTTCATTGGATTCACCTGTAATTATGACCAAATTGGTTTGGGGGTATATTCACTAGTTTGCCAATTTATATTCTAGATAGCAGTTAGCTGGGATTTCTAATTTTTCTTCAGTGAATTTATATCTATTTATTCTAGATTTTCAAATAGAAGAACAGAAAGTAGCAAACACTAATATATCTGAGTGTTTCTCTCTTTTTTTAGTTCATAATGTATGGATTTTTCTTTTCTTTCTTTTTTCTTTCACTTCTTTAGGCCTCCCTGGGATTTATCTATGTTATGAACCATAACATAGCACGAAATAATGGCTTTAGCAAGATGCTGATTATGCTCTATTCTGTTTCATAATTTCAGCTTTTATGTCTGTAGCTACCTCCTATTTTCCAAATATGGATTTTTTTCCTGTTTTCTGGTTTCTTGAAGTGAATTGTTAGGTTATTTGTTTCATATTGTTTTATCATTAAGCATTTGGAAATTTGAATTTATTTTAGTGAAGTTCAGTTCACTTTCAGTTTATGTATTTTCAAGCTCATTGCTTTCTAGGTAATTTATAACTATCATTTTGATTTATTCAATGATTTTAGAATTTAGAAGAATCAATAGTCTAAGTCATTTATGTTTGTATTTATTATTTTGTTTTTAAATTCCAGTTTTATTGCATTTTTTCAGGGATGTAGAGATGAATGTGGAAAATCACTTCAGAAATATATATGAACGTAGATATGGAGTAGAAGCTATCATCTAATTAAAATAATGTAAAGGGGGTAAATGCTGAATAATTTTATTTGTAATAGTAAGATGAATTCATCAGATGAAGCACTGTCATTACAAACTCAAACATGATATTGCAAGTATTTATTCTGTGATTTAATAGAAAAATGTTGACATGTTTTCATGGAAGAAAATAAAAACTTACACAAAAGTAGTGTCATAGGACACTTGAAAAGGACAAATGAAAAGGACAAATAATGTCGTTGATGTGCCAAGAATGATGATATAAACCCTATTACAAGGCAAAAGATGTGCTACTTAATATTATGTCCAACCTGCTATGATTTCACCACGCAGAACTTACTGAAATGTTACCTTTTCCGTCATGGGATCCATTGTTAAATTCAACAGTTAGCACTAACACCTTAAACGAGTGTAGCCAAAGGCCATCACTTAGTGCATCTGAGCATTTTAATGTAGAGAATCATGAAAAGAACTGAGGTTTTCAGGTTTCAGAATATACGTAACAATTTGACTGCATAGGTTAGTTCTAATTATATTCTAATGAGGCTAAATATAAGGATTCAGTTTTTATTATAGTAAATGACTTATAGATTATATTTTTCCTTCATTACCTCTTAATTTAATTATGTTATCACAATTGTCAGTTCTAAAACAGTAAAAGGATATTTCTCATTAGAAGATGTATTGGTCAATTTGGTCAGAAATCCTTCACTCAATTTCACTTACAGATGTGATGTGCACATCTTCAGACCAATCCATTTGTCTGTCACAATACGGCACGGGAGCTAAAAAAGGCTCTGGTTGGCTGATCAAATGCAACTTCCCATTTCAAGGGTTTATAATTTCATTATAAAAATTAACTTCTGTCTGACTCTAGCTAGAGGCTCTCAAAATTTGGAAGACATTATTTCTGGATATCTCTAATTTCAAATACACTAATTTTATAGAATTTCGTACTGACCAACTTGAGCATAATAGTTCATATAATTTTAAAGCTTACTCCAATTAATATTCTTTCTGAATCATTTTGCATAAGCATCCTCCCAGTGATGTGAAACAATGTTGCCCAGTTCAAATAAGCATTAAGTGTTGAGGTAATGTAAAAGAAACAAGGATGAAGTCTGAGAAATTCTAAGGAACAAGACAATTTTGTGATCTGGTAATGAAAAGAGCAAAGAGAAAAAGAGATCTTCAAGGAAGATAAGTAATACAAATTCACAGCTTATACTTACATAGACACCAGTATAATGTAGGTATGAATACCACTTAAAATTTTTAATCACCAAATACTCAGTTAAATACTTTGGGCAGAGAAGTATTTATGTCCACTCTAAGCTGATTATGATAGTCCTGTTATTTTTGACTAGGGATTGATTTAGTCATGCACATACGATAAAACTCTGACCAATGAGATGTGAGGCTATCCGTTGGAGAGATTCTGAGAGGGTTCTGCTCACTCTTTAAAGGAGAAATAAAGTACATTAGAATTATTTTTACTTGTAAGATTTCCACCTGCTGGTGACGACTGGAATTGCAGCATTAATGTTGAAACCCTGACGGGAGCCTCTTACGCTAACATGCAAAGGACTGCAGAGAAGAAAATGGAAACAGACAAAAGAATCATGACATCCCTGAGCTATTGAGTTAAACATACCTAGACCCGCTGTCCTATGTGAACCTAGAAGGGTGGCTGTTACGTGAGATAAAAATTGTCCTTAAGCCAATTAAATTTTTCCTTCCAATGTTTTTGTTTGTTTGTTTTGTTTTTCGGTAGAAGAATGTGAGGTGGAATTATCACACATTGTTTCAGAGCCTCAGAACCTTGGGAGCTGTTTCGCTGGGTCTCAGCGTCCCTCATGAGGTTGCGGTCAAGCTGTCAGGGCTTCAGTCTCTAAAGACTTAAGTGGGGCTGGAGGTCCTGCTTCCACACTCACTCACATAGCTTTACTAGGAGGCTTCAGTTCCTCACCATTTGGATGTCTCCGTAGACTGCTAGTGATGCGACCTCCCTCAAGCAAACGATCCAAGAGAAAGAGGGAGCGTGCTTGTGTTAGAGGGAGCATGTACTCAACATGGAAGATGCAGTCGTTTTAGAAGGTAATCTTGGAAGTGACATACCATCACTTTTGCTGTATTCTATTTGTTAGAAACCAGTTGCTAAATCTAGCATATACTCAAGGGGGAAAGAAATTAACCCCCACTCTGAAGGGAGGAGTATTAAAAAATGTTGTGGACATATGTTTTAGAACCATCTGAGCTTTATTTTCAATATGAAGAGATTTGAAAATATTTAAATGCTTGTAGGAAGCACCCAACAGAGATAACGTGGAGGACGTGTTTGTTATTGGCATCTATTTTCTCAACGTGTTAGGGAGCGAAATCATTTATGGAAGGTATTTTGATAGGTGGTAGGTTTAGAGGTGCAAGAAACTGGAAATATATAGCATTTAGGGTACCAACTCTAGAGATGTAGATAAAAATGTGTTAAAATCTATAAAAGAATTCTATATTATTTAGATAATGTAATGTAGCTCTATATAAATACCTTGGTGAAATGTATATGTTTCTATGAAAATAAAGCTTACCATAGCTGTCTCTAGAGAAATTAGAAATCTTAATTTTAACTGGAACATATTAAGAGAAATGGAGATTCTTTTTAAAAGTTTTCCAGGAATAAATTTTCTCTCTCTCTCTCTCTCTCTCTCACACACACATATACACACAGAGCACTGCATACAAATGGTTTAACTGAACAATTTTTCCAAAAATTTATGAAACCATAAAATTTATCTTATATACAAATTATTTCAGAGCTTACAAAAATGAAAAAAAAAATAACTGATTTTATGGAATTATTTCCCTTTCACAAATAAAATAATTGAATTATTCAATAAATAGAAACAGATATTTAAACTTTGTGACTTCTCTGAGGCTTTCATTTGTTCATCTTCCCCAGGAAGGGGTTCCCAAGCTATTTGATTACAGGCCATTTTGTTTGGGAGGCATTGATTATTTCCTAGCATAGTGGGAGAAACATTGCTATTTCAGATGAGTCCTTAAGAGTACATAAGAGTATTCAAGTATACTATTAAAATAATACAGCTAACAGAAGTAATTATTTTCTAGAAAGGCAAAAACGGCTTAGTATTGGGAAATATATTAATATTATTTAACGCACCAATTGATCAAAGATGGTAGTGGGAGAGTATTGGTGGTCTTGATAGATGTCAGAAAGCAGTGTGATATAATTCAACACCATCGCTGTCAAGAACTGCCTTAGCATAACAAAATTATTAATTTCAAAGCAATAGCCTACTTTATAATTAATGGTTAAAAATAACCAGAAGACACATGAAAGTGAGAAGCAAAACAATTATAAATGGAAGAATAACCCATTTTCCAATGACTGCCCCATTCTCAAAAGACCCATGTTTTAGAATCTGATCTGGCCCAAATTAAAGAAAATTTGTGATTTCACTCTTTTGGCAGTACATTGCATTGCTAATAGTGGAGAAACTGGAAGATGATCCTTTAGTTAAATTAACTTCTTGGTGCATAGTTTTTGGTACACACAAAACTATGCAAGCAGCCCAACCTTTTTGACCAAGCAAACATGCATTTGAAGTCTTTCCTGCTTTGGAAGGGTGGCAATATATGTAGCAGTTCTGGGTACACATGAGTGAAGAGTAAAAAAGACTGTGGGACAAGTGCTTCATAAAGTAGATAAGAGGAACAGCACCTTGGTAATAAGACAGCAAGACAACCTGGGAGATAACTCTATGTGAGCATTACAGAGCCAGATCCATGTTTACTTTAAATTCCCTCCCTTCTGGAATCGGTGTCTAATACACCCCAGCATTCTAACATTACCAGTTTGGGATATAGAAGATGGAGGATAGTCACAAAAGCAAAGTCTATGATGATGTATTTAGATTATATCAGGTCTAATTTAGAATGAGTAATTTAGAAATGAGATGAGATCCCCATGAGAATGTAGGATCCAGAATCCTCAGAAACACTGCAGGAGGAGCTGATATTCTCACATAATTTGGAATGGAAGCCTTAGCTATTTAATTTGGAAATTAAAGAAAATGGTCACCGGAAGATGTAGGGTTTCACAAAGATACCCACTATCACTGAGATTATTTAACTTTGCTATTATATTTTTATTCAATGCAATCATACAAGGAAAAGGAATACAACATGTAAATATTACAAGAGATACTGCAAAAATGTTATTATTTACCAAAGATTGGATTCCATACCTGGAAAACTGAGAAAATTTGGTAAGATGGTTTGGCTTATATTTAAGATACCACTGTTTTCTTCTGCTAGCAATAACCAGTTTTGAAATCTGATGATAAAAGGACACCATTTACTATAGCAACCAGAATATGTTCGCTATATTTAGCAAAAAAAATCTGGGATATCCACTTACATTTGAATTTCAGATACAAAATGAATAATGTGTTTACAGTAAGTATGCCCCATGTAATATTTGAGACATACTTATACTATAAAATTATTCTTTGTGTATCTGAAAATCAAATATAATGGCATTCTGAATTTGATCTAGCCAGCCTAGATCAGAAACATCAAGTGTCATTTGAAAAAGCAGGGTGCAGGTTAGAGAGCTGATCATACTTCTCCTGTGTAGGTATATTCACTAGCTTCAACACTCAACATTGATTTTTATTATAGTCAGTATTTTAAACCTTTAAAGTCCTTTCAAAGTTGAAACTCAACTATGGAATGTACCTTTCAGTAATTAAAATGTTTTAATTGTATGTGAAAAAAATTGGCTCCCATATTTTTGGCCCAGTGAGGCCTTTTCACATCTGGTTAGATTTTCCAGGCTTTCTATTTCAAATGACCGGCAGTTATCTTCATCCTCAGGAATGGCCTCCTTCCTCCCCTACCTCAAACAAATGTCCACCTGCTTCATTCCCACAGCCTTGGCTGCCATGTGCCCACTCTTCAGCAAAGCCCGTCTGCTGCTCACATCAGCAGAACATTCTGCTCTCCCATATGGACTTGGAGGGCCCTCGGGGGTGCTTAGGCCACACTTTGGAGAAATCCATTGCAGTGCATTAAACATTGACCACGGCACAACAAAAGGAACCAGCTGTCATGCTGGAATATCCCAGAATCTGAGTTAGCAAAGTTTTTTTAAAAAAGGGCCATTGTTAGTGGCTGATGAGCCACGTTTCCCTGAAGGGTGCAGTGTTCTTGGGAGGCAGCCATTCCAGGATTTCAAAGATTAAGTTATAACTGAACAATGTATGAGGATGTATAAAAAGTAATTTGCCATTTTATAATTACTTTTAATTAACCATTTTATAATTACTTCCTCCATGGTAATGCCTCTGGGCCTGATTGTGAAAACAATTATAGGCTGGGAATTTGCATACCAGTAATAAGCCTTAACATAAATGCCATAAATGTAGCTATTTCTTGATACTTATTTGGCATATCATGAGATCACAGCTCTAGCTATATATTATTCACCCCCAGCCTTCTTCCAAACTGGAAGGAAAAATAAAAAGAGAATAAGTTTATTTAAAAAAATGTTTGAAATAATTACAGATTATTTTATTCCATAGTCACTTACATGTCCCAAGGTTACCTACTTATTAAAACAAAAAGTAAAATATTTTCTTCTTGGCCTTCAAAGTGTTCTCCATATCCCACACTTACTCAGTTACACCTGTCTCTCACCAATGTCAATGAGATGTCATCACACACACACACACAAAATGACTATATTTAAAAACCACAGTATGCTCTTTTGTTGTCTTTTGTAACTGATGATTAATAACACAATATTGTCAATTATATCCATTGCACTGCTTGAAATAAAAATAATGAATTTTTAAATGTCAGAACAGAGACTAGTAGAATCACCCAAGGATTCACAATAAGCCATGTTTAAAGGGAAAAAAAAAGCAGAATGTCTTTTATTGCTTTGAATCTGGCTTTTTCTTTCTCATTAGCTTCAGCATGGATTATTATCCAAAACCTCCTTTCACACCTGAGTTAGGAAAATTAACTGAAGGGTGGGTGACCTTTGTCTCTATGTGTTGGCCACCAACTAGCACATTATGGTTTCTTGGAAGAGACTAATGGGAAAATTATTAATAACTAAAGGAAGTTAATTTTTCTCTATTAGCCAGACACTGATGTAGCAGCCCTGACCTAATGCCAAAATAAATATAACAGGAAAGAGTCAGGTGCTTTGATCAAGCCAGCCCGTCCTTCAAGGTGTCATCTCTAGTCTAGTCCTTACGCCATTACACTTTGCTCTTACCAAGTGTCAATAAAGGAGGAGTCATTGCATACAAAATGCCTGGATTCTTAAATCATTCTCAAAGCCATTACTCGTATATTACTCAATGTTCTGATTATAAATTCCTCCAGGGCTGAAGGAAATAAAAACTGTGACTCTCATTGTGACAGAAAAAGAATACTTTATCATTTGTGCTTTCCTTATTTTTCTCAGGTTATAAGAAGCCCAGAGCTCAATGTTTTTCAGCAAGCAGAACTTTTTATTGGGTAGAAAGTCCGCCTCTCTTTTTTAACTTTGGATTTTGCCTTTTAGTTGTGCTCATAGGTGTTGGTCTCTCACCATATCTAAGTAATGGGTATCCCTTTTGGAATGAGTAGGTAAGATCACTTAAGTACAAACTTAAATATAATTATTTCATGTGATGTTTCACACCTTTCCAACCTCACCTGAGCTCCAGTAAGCCACTGGGATAACCCTCTGTTTGCTTGCCTGCCTTCTGATTTTCCTCATGGAAATCCCTTCAGCATGCATACCCTCAATCGTACCCTGCATTTATCCTTCCCGTAAGCTTTGCAGCTCAGCACTTGTCTTTTCTTCAGCCATTGAGCTTTCTAGCCCCAACCGATTTTCTGAACACTAAAGTTCTTGGTACAGACACTACTAGGCTCTTTGATTATTTTTTCTTTTGAGTCAGTATTAGGCTTTGTCTCTTTAGAGTGATATTAAGCTTTATGAGATCAATATCCAAGTTCTTGCATGTAAGTCGAGGCTTGAGAAATTTTTGTTGTTGACAAATGTTAGTCATTTTAAAAATGCAACTACTTTCTTTAGCTTAAGTATTACTAGTAACACATTATGGCTAGGCTAACCATACAAAACGAATTCAGTCAAACTACATTTAGTGTGTTTTTGTTTGTTTGTTTTAGATTCCATTAACCAGTTGTTTGACCAAAGCACCTAATTCTTCTTCTTGTATTTGTTTGGCTTTAGGTGAAGTCTGCTGCCTGTGTTTCTAACAATTAGAGAACAATGTTATTCTCATATTTATTGATAATCTCCTCAGCCTCTCCCAAGGACCTGTAATGTGCTAGCCAGTGTACAAAATATAAATATAAGATTCACACACTCTTCAGTTAATTTCTCAAATAAAGTTGAGAAAGTAACTATCGTCTGCTAAGCCACAGTGAGGCTCATGAGCAAGGGAAATTTAAACTCAAAGCAATTAAAAGCATTCTGTATTTCTTTATTCTTTTTCCCTTTTTAACTCTTCTTTTTTCATTGTGAATGCTTTAAATATTTTACTGGTATTTAATCTGACCCTTTTAAAAAATTCATTGTTTTTATTTCAAGCAGCACACTTGCTCTGGTTGATAATATTGTGATATTGCATCAACTGCTACAAAAGGATGCAAAACAGCACATCAAAAAAGTAGTACTCAAAATATACGTATAGAAGCCACAACATAAATGCTTATAGATTATTAAGTAATCCTGAATTCTTACTGGTTGTAATGTAAATTGAAGTATTGTTAAATTCTGTGATCATCTGGGACAAATAGGTTAATATCAAAAAACATAAATAATTCTGTCAGAACTATTAGGTGGCTATCATAGATAAATAGTTGAAAAAGAAAAGATCTATTGGGTTATTTGAAAAATAAACAAAAAACCCACAAACAAAACAGAAGAAAGAAAAAGAAAAATTATCATGCAACAAAATAGCCTATTTAGCTTGTCCCTAGGAGCTTCAAGAAAAAGTGAGAATTTGAAAACCAATTTTTCTTCAACTATAAGATGCATGGAAATGACTTGTAGATTATTATATGGGGTATGCAAATCAAATTCAAAAGCTATAAATCAGTTAGCTGGGACTTGGAAAGTACTGAACAGTCAAGAAAGATGGAAATGCTAGAGGAGTGATCTCTCTATGCAAACTTGAGTGGTTGCAGTTTTCTACAAGTTAGGATACCCCTGTTCAAGATTAATTAGTATTGAATTTTCCACGCTGCAGGAAAGAAAGCAAAGCCCTTCTGGGAAGCACTTGCATTAGAGCAGTAGTGAAACTTACCAAAAATGTGAAAGTAAGAAGTATGTGATTCTGTCAAAGGATTGACATTATATAGAAAAAAACCCTGCAAAATATACATACAAACAATGCTTTTGTTTTGCAAATTGTCTATTTTGAAACTTCCGTTGTAAGTGGTCTTTGTTTTACTATTATTTGCATGTAGATTTTTTCCTATTATAAAATGTGCTCATTATATTAAAGAAACTATAAAAATATATAAACCTAGACTTTTAAAAATATATAAAACCGTTTATAATTTCATGTCTCAGAAAAATAATTATAATCTTTTGTCATACAACCTCCACTAATTATTTTTCTATTCACAAAATAAACAGAGAATTTTTAAACTAAATTATTTTGTACATGATGCTTTGTTATTTCACATTTTCTCATATAATAGAATGTTGTTAATACCTTTAAATACTCGTTGTGATAGGCAGAATAATGTTTCCTCTCCCCAGAACATTCCCATCCTACTCTCTGAAAACTTTGGATATGTTAGGTTACATGGTAAAAAGGAATTGAGGTTGCAAATGAGATTGAAGTTGCTTATCTCAAGTTGACCTTGAGATGAGGAGATTATCCTGGGTTATGCATTTGGACCCCGTGTAATCACAGGGATACTTAGAAGTAGAAGAAGACGGCAGGGCGCCATGGCTCACGCCTGTAATCCCAGCACTTTGGGAGGCTGAGGCGGGAGGATCACGAGGTCAAGAGATCGAGACTATCCTGGCTAACACGGTGAAACCCCATCTCTACTAAAAATACAAAAAAAAATTAGCCAGGCATGGTGGCGGGCACCTGTAGTCCCAGCTACTCGGGAGGCTGAGGCAGGAAAATGGCGTGAACCCAGGAGGCGGAGCTTACAGTGAGCCAAGATCGCGCCGCTGCACTCAGCCTGGGCGACAGAGCGAGACTCCATCTCAAAAAAAAAAAAAAAAAAAAAAAAAAGCAGTAGAAGAAGACATAAGAGAAAAAAACCAGAGAGATGACAGCATGAGAAAGACTACACCAGCCCCTTCTAGTTTGATGATAACAAGAAAAAGCCACATGCCAAGGAACGCAGACAGCCTTTAAAAGCTGGAAGAGGTAAGGACACAGATTCTCTCCCAGAGCCTCCAGAAGGAACACAGTACTGCCGACATACTGAGTTTTGCTCAGTGAGGCCTTTATTGGACTTCTGACCTCCAGAACTATCAGATAATAAATTTGTGTTATTTTAAGGGACTACATTTGTGGTAATTTTTTCATACAGCAATATTTTCATAGGAGCAATACAAAAGAAATATATTCATATATATGGATGCCCATTATTTGAACACCTCATACTATTTTATTTTTGGATGAATCATAATTTATATAATCAATCCAGCAGTTGACAGGCTTTTTCTTAAAAGGCCAGATAGTAAATATTTTTGGTTCTGCTTTATATGTCCTCTCCATTAACTACTCAACTCTACCATTTTAGTACAAAAGTAGCCATAGACAATATGTAAAGAAATGGAGTTTGCTGTGTTCCAATGAAATGTATTTATAAAATAGGCTGAAATTTGCTGACCCTTGAAATAATCCCCTATTCATAGACATTTAATTGTTTCCAAGTATGTGATTTGCTTTTGTAATTTTCTGATTAATACATGTCAAAAGAAAAATAGCATAAATTGGCTTTTCTAACTCTGACATATTTTCTTAAACATTCTAATCCTTCAAATTTGTTTTTAAATTTTGAACCAATTAAAAACACCTATTTACCTTGTCTTCAAATGCAAAAGTTTGAATGTAAAATGTTCAATGTTGGATTTTACTTAACTAAGTATAGTTCCATTCTTAAAGGAAAAAAATAAATGGATCTTTAATACAAAAAAATAAATTTCCAGGCCTCAAGAGATGACCAAAATGGCATTGATCCATATAGTCCTTTTTATTTACATGGGAATTTGAAAATGTGTATTATATCTGGTAATAGGCAGCTGAGGCAGACAAAAAAAAAATACAGGGCATAAATTCCAAAACAAACTTCTCACTGTCCCCATCTCCCATAGTTTCCTAGGTCAGGTCATGCCTTAATGGTAAACAGCAAGCAATAGAGAAAAATCTGAGATTTTGACTTTTCCAGTGAACAAAAGCATAGCTGTATTTCTGAGGATTTTCAGGATTACAAGTCCAAAAAAAGAGAGAATGATATTTCTAAATTAACCATAAGGATTCAGATAAGCTAAGATTTTTTTTCAGGGGGGAGTGGTAAATGTGGGCATAAATACAAATAAAACAAACAATCCTCTGATTACATGATTCACAAAGCCCACAGGAAGTGAAGAACTGCTGATCAGTGGGTTTGATAAATGTGTCTCATCCTCCCTCCAACATGTATTGGCATCACAGAGACTAGCGGACGCTCATCTCCTGACTAATGTACTGACCCAAACTGAAGGAAAGACGCAGGTGGCAGAGAGAATCAGAGCAATGGATATTGTATTATTCACATCTGTGATTTCCCAAAGAAGAATTCAAGACTTGCTGTGTGCTTCAAAAGCAGATATTTCATTTTAACTGTTGTAAATTCATCACCCTACATTTTCTTTGAAAGTTTTCTTGTTCCTGGTGCTGATTAAATCAGAGTGCATTATGTGCTTTTCTCTCATGCCTTCCTATGTTGTATACAGGCACTCTAATCTTATCTTCTCCTTCCACACTCTTTTCCAAATTTTCTCTAAAATTTGATAACCGGACTCAGAGAAACAAACAACAAAAACTAAGATGTACTCTAGACCTTTTGGAGCTCCTAGATATGAAAACCAAGACATAGAGTAGAACCTACCAGACAAATGTTTTTACTTTAGTTATGTTTTACTAAGTGATTTCAGTGTATTTCAGTTAGCCTTAATAAAAATGGGACTCAAAGAAAAAAGAAAAATTTTGGCTTCTGGGTAAATAAATATTGGCCACTCATAGATATCATCCTCCTTCTCTAAATACACAGAAATTCTGGTGAAAATATGCATTTTAAGAAGAATAAGTAGAAATAAAATGAGAAATCCACAGTGCTGAGAAGAAGCTGAACTACCGGGTCATAAGGCAAGGACAAGACCTGGATTTTAATGTCCATGCAGAGTAGGAGTCAGTACCCAGTCCGTGGCTCTGGACAGACATTCTCACTAGGATCCTCAAGAAGCCAAGGTCTGGAAGCACCCTATTTGCTTGAAAAATGAAACCTGCATATCTCTCCTACCAGTCCTTATTTCTTTTTCTTTTCTTTTTTAAATTAAATGTATGTTTATTTATTTTTTTAGTTGATAAATTAAAAATCATATATATTTTTGGTGTATAGTGTGATGTTTTGATGTATATATACATTATGGAATGATTCCAGTTCCTGTTTCTTGACAGATGCCTGCTCCTTTGCTCTGGGCTGCTGGTGGAAGCTGGCTCAACAGTGGAAAATCAGAATTCATACCCAGTGCTGTTGATGAATTCATCTTTTCCATCCTATGAGTCAACTCCAAACCAAGGCACTCACATACAAACAGGCTCAGAGCTGGGAACTGTGTAGAAGATGGATTGACACAAGCACAGAATGGCCTCTAAAGTGAGGTTTACACAGCCCAGGAAATGTGTCAATTAAAAATCTCATGAAAGTTAAATCCTGTGTAAAATTAGCATGTGGACATTACACGTTAGCACATTACAGAGCATCTGAGGAGAATTCAATGCCAAGAAAGTCAGTTTACAGAACACAAAACTGAGAGAATTCATATCAGAGGAATTAAATCTACTGATAAAATCTGAGCTGCATTATAATGTAAAATCATTTAAAATGTTCAGAGAAATTAAGGAAATAATAAACTCCATACAATCAAGAATGAGAGGATTACATATCATGAAAGTATATATGTATACTTACATACTTGCAAGGTTTTTTTGTATACAGACCTCTTAGTATTCTTACACTTTTCATCTCTTGTCTAGAGATGATGTTAACGGTTTAAATTTCTATTATAAATACCTCATTTAGTTTTTGTTTTATTGCATCATGTAAAACTTCTGGGTATAATTTGACTAATATGAATATTTATGAGGATACTTGTCTTTTTATCATTTTAATGAAAGGTTTTCAAGATTATAAAGTTGAGTTTGATGCTATACCCTGTATTTTGTATTTTTCAGAACAATGTTCTTTGAAAAAAATTCTTTTTTATGTTGGAAAAGCATACTTATTTCTGATTTAACATGATATTCTTTAATAATATCAAATGCTCTTTTAAACAATAAATCAAATCTTCATTTTAATTAATATTAAGAAATTTTAAATATTAAAGTACACTTACATTTCTAGTATAGTTCCTAATTAGTCATGTGTGTGTGTTTTATGATACTTGGAGATGTCTGAAGCCCTAGAAAGTTTTCTTCTATTATGTTATTAATAACTGCTCTTGTTTGTTTTGGTGCCTTCTTTAAAATTAGCAAATATTTATAAGCAAGTTTGTGTTCTTTTTTCTATACGATCTCCTGATCTCTAATAAGGTTTATGCATTGTTTGCTCTGTATTCTGGGAGATAGTATTAAATTTTCCCTAGATGTCATGATTCCATGTTCCACAGCATCAACTTTTCTATTTAATTCTTTATATATGGATTTAAATTGTGCCATTGGTGTTTTATTTTTCTAGCAATATTTTCTTTTCTTACCATCTCTCATTTTATCTATTGTCTTCTTCTCTCAATTGCCTTTTTATCTCAGGCGATTCTCTTAATATGGCTTCTAGTTTCTATTTTAAAACGTGCTCTTTTCTTTTATTTTATTGACCTAACAGTGCCTGAAATGTTGTCCTGAAACTGTAATTGCTGTTTTTCAGAAGTGAATTCTTCCTCTAGTCTTGCAACTATTATTCCCTTTCCATGATTTTGTTCGTTTTTCTCAAGTCAGTTGTTTTCCTCTTTCTTATTTTTAAAACGATTACTTATCACCAATAAGGCAGGATCATGTGTTTGTCAACCAAAAATAATTTGAAACTTTCTTTACCTTAATGGCTGTTTCATTGTGTTAAGGCAATCTTAACCTCAGATTTAGTGCTAGACAGACTGATTCCTCTTCCATTTCTGAATGTTACCACGATCTAAGATATTTTTCTTTGTTGTTATGCTTTACATTATCCTATCCTCACTTCCTGGCTAAAAGATTCTCTGTAGTGGTAAGTCACTGAAAATAATAATAATAACAGAATTGCATGGTTATGCTTCTTTCAAAGCTCTTCATTCCAACTGTAGAGCTTTCCATGTAGGTACTTTATCTTGAAGGAAGAAAACATAAGCCTTCAGAAGATAGGCTAGCATACAACCACAGGTGAACTAAAGCCAGTTATTCGATTATACAAAAAAATATGTGACTAAAGGTATTTTGTGTATCAAACATGATAAAGGTTCTAGAAATTATGAAGTTGAGTAAAAAAATTGGGGGAGCAATGAAACTGGCAGAAGATATCTGGAATCTCACATTATCCTTAAGGTTATACACAGCCTGAGAATAACAAATTGTGATACCACTCTATCAAAAAGCCATGAGATTGCTTTAGATTCTAAAAAATTATGAAAACAGAATAGGGGAACGGGTCTGTGAGAAATAGACCATGAGCATTTCCTGTTAGAAATTTAAGATATACTTCCCGTTAAAATGAGAGATGCATTTTTTTCTTAGATAGTACTCAAATAAATTTATGAATAATGGAACTAAGTGAATTATTGATAAAAAAGATATCAAGGTGATAGATATGGATTAGACAGATGAACTATTGATGCTAAAGGATAAATGGGGTTTCAAGGAGGCATCTAGGCTTTAGAGATGCCATTCATAATTATTTTATTTTATTTTCTCAGAGGAAAGACGCATTTAATATGCCAGATTTCTCTAACAGGAATTCATATGAATAAAACAGGAATATTTGAGACCCAACATATCTTCCCACAGCCTATGTAACTATGTGACTCTCCTTTCCCGCATGTGGCAGAAAACATGTTAACTCTGGAGAGGATGACCGGGGAAAAACTTGGAGTTAGCCAAGAGTGGAGATTAAACATCTTCCTGAAGAGAGGGGAATTAAGTAAATGTATACATACCAAAGATACAGAATCCCGTCTCCTTTCTCTGGTCAGCTCACAAATGCTGTGGACCAACGTCATGGGCCTCCAAGTTTGACTCTGGAGAATCACTCTATAAAAATCTGGTTAGCGTAGGAGAAAACACCTATACATACTGACATTTGGACGTGCTATAATGCAGCTCCCCGCCTTATGCACAGATCGCAACGTCCGCAAGTCAATGATGCACACAGAGATTCTAATCAGCGTTTTGGTTTCTTGGTCTTAAATATAAAAGAAAATTGAGGGATTGTCAGATATTGAGGAAAGCAATTACAGTGAAATTAAATACCCAAACAAATTAGAAAAAAAAAAAATTGTCCTCAGAGAAAAAATATTGGGATCGGAAGAAGCTGTGCTTATGCTTTGAAACACACCCAAACCCCCATGTACACAGATTGTGTTCTAAAAAAAGTTCAAGTGATTCTTTACTAGAGAACTAGGCAGTTTAGGTGCTAAATTTAGTCATGTGGATTATAGACAGACTACAGAAAAATGAAGCTTTATACCTTAGTCTACTTCAGTGGTTTTATTTTTGGTTTTTTGGGGTGTTTTTCTTTTTTTTTTTAGACGAAATCTCGCTCTGTCAACAGGCTGGAGTGCAGTGGTGCAATATCAGCTCACTGCAACCTCTGCCTCACGGGTTCAAGCAATTCTCTTGCCTCAGTCTCCTGAGTAGCTGGGACTAGAGGCACCCACCACCACGCCCAGCTAATTTTTGTATTTTTAGTGGAGACGGGGTTTCACCATGTTGGCCAGGATGGTCTCCATCTCTTGACCTCATGATCTGCCTGCCTTGGCCTCCCAAAATGCTGGTATTATAGGCTTGAGCCAATGCGCCAGGCCTACTTCAGTGGTTTTAAGCCAAAATCAAAATTCCCTCATAGGCTTTTTAGAACACATATTTCTGGGTGCTACTCTAGTTTTTGATTCAATAGGTCTGGGATGAGTCAGATAATTTGCCTTTCTAAAAAGCTCCTAGGCGATTTTGACCATGAGAGTCCAGGAAGCCACACATTGAGAATCTGTGGTCTAGTTCTGGCATCTCTTTTCATCCAAATATTTCCAGAAAGCTATCTTAAGGAAATAATTGGACAAGTGTTTGTGGGGAATTTTTTCAGACAACGAATATTAAGGGAAAAAACACTTTGCAAATATTGTATCTGAATTAAAAACTTATATATATATATAAAAATGTATATATATATAAAATGGGAAGAATCTAGAAGATTATACACCCGAATATTAGGATCAAATGATATAGATTTGTACTTTTGTTTATTTTTGATTTGGTGGCTTCAAAATGTCATACATTGAACATGAATTACTTGTGTAACAATTTGAATACATCCTATTTTTAAAAGCTATGGCTCAACTTTTAACCTTATTCTAAACACATTTGGAAATGAAATGTCTACTTAAGTCCACCTTATCCACATATCACCAATAAATGAGTGCATGCATATAATCTTATGCATGTATACATATATGTATTCAAACACACTCTCTCATTCATACACATGTTAAAATTAGCTATGAACTTGGATACCAGTTGAAATTTAAAATACTCAGAGGTTGGAAAGAAAGGGAGAAACCTCCAAAAAAGTACTTAGACAGTTCTTTTTGAAGAATTTTACATTGAATTTTAACATCATGATCAGTGCAGACTTCCATTCTAATTGAATGATGCCAGAAGGCTAAATTCTGGATCTTGCCTGCTTTATGCCTCATAATTTTAACTAACCACATGGTTCTCCACCAAGCTTTGTAAAATAATACTCTTTTTTCTTTTTTCCCTCTGTGAAATAGATTTCTACATATAGTGCATATAGCTTCCTATCTTTTTTTTTTTTTTAACAAAAGCATCACACGCTCCACAGTTTTGCTTTTGTTGTTGAAGAGAGAGGAAGAGATATGTTGACTATAAATAAAATTTGACCTAGGGAACTCTGTTTGGCTACCTTTGAGGAAAAGTAAACAATAACAATAAACAAAAGAAAAGTCAGATCCTGCCCTTTGTTTCCTTTCTCCTCTAGGACTAGGGCAGGAATTATTGTACACACCTAATCACATCTTGAGCAGTTAGTCAATATGAGCCAAAGGCAAGAGAGGTAATATATATCAAATGTTTGCAGTGCAACATTATTTCAATGGGTTATTAGTTTTCTATTTCCATGTAAAGCTATGATAATGTTAACTGACAAGAGATATGTAGATGAACTTTACAATATTGTAGAATTGCCACAGATTGTCATCTTCAACTTGTGGAACTCAGATACCTAGGAAGGTTCAAAAATTCAAGTGTACTTAAGGTCTTGTCTATAGAATGAATAATGTCTTGTACAGACACAACCACACACACACACTTTTTTGTCAAATGAGTATAGACATAATTGTGAGAAATAAAATACAAAGTGTTCTAAAAGTGAATTTGTAGTTGCTTTTTCCCATAATGTATTTCCACACTCACTGAATATTTAACATTCAACAATTGATAAGTAATATGCTTGCCATTTTTTAACTTGAAAGGAGTTATTTTCACTCTTTAGCAAGTTAAAATACCATCAATATAAGTTTTGGACTTTGTTCAGTGAGAGATACAGTAAAGTGACAGGAAAGGATGGACACAGGAATATAGAAAATAAAGAGCATAGAAAAATGGGATGAGATTGCCTGAATTTATATACAGATTTCATCTGCAAGCTATCAGATATTGGGACTGTTACTCTCTGCTCCTCAATTGGCTCCTTTGTAAAATATGTGAAAATAATGTACAGTACCTACCTCTTGGGTTTGTTATGAGAATAAAATGAGTGCTTACATGTAAAAAGCTTAGAGCAAGGTCTAATACCTAATTAAGCAGATTCGATTATTATTTAGCAAATGTTTCCTCTTTCCCTCAAACCATGCAAAGAACGTATATCTGCCCCATTGATGCTGATATTGGCTACGTGACTTGTTTTTGACCAATACAATGTGGGTGAAAGTAGCAGTGTGCCTGTTCTTAAGGACCACTGCCTATTTCCACTTGACCCTTTTGTACTTCTAGTTCACCCAGGTGAGAAAGAAATGCCATAGAGTATGACTGTCCTTTTTTCCTGGCCCCAGGATGTGTTGCAGAGTTTCCCTAGTCAAATCTGCCTTTTCATGCAAAGTTAATAATAGTCATTAGGCCACTCCACAAATATTTTGTTCATGTTGCTTCTAAGCACATTGCAGGCTTACACTTTTTCTACCTAATATAATTCAGTCATAGCCTGGTAAGCTGCCTTTGGTCAACATAAGCAAAATCAAGATATGTTATTTCCAAGTAGAAGCTTCAAGAATGTAACAGAACACTCTATTACATTCTCTTTTTCTTCTCCCATGGTGACCCACCATTGCTCCATACAGCATCTCTAAATTAATTAGGTCTCAGAGTGAGGATAGCAATGAAACAGATCAGAAACTTCAGATAATGTATAATCAACATATAGCATGAGTTTAAGATAAATGTTTTCATAAGCCATGGAGATTCTGGAGTTGTTTGTTACCCAAGTATAACAGCCTATAGTGACTGCTAAAAGAAAATTGGCATAGGAATGATGTCAGCAGATGGTGAAATATAAAATCCCCAGGCACGACTATCTCCACAAAAATACTACTAGAAACTATTCAAAGATGAGATTATCACCATAAATTCACCAGAAATTAGAGGACAAGTGGAGAAACCTTCTAGGCTTTCATAGTCAAGAGAAACTGCGACCAGTAGGAACAATTATTTTAGACTGTGCCAGCCCCTTCCCAAAGCCAGCATAGTATCACTCACTGAGAATTTCCCTAGACACACAGATTCCAAAATGGAAGGAAGAAATTGGAGGTAAACATTCAATCTCCCCACTGGTCTAGGAATCTTCACGGGAAGCCCACTATTGTCCCATTTTACGTGAATGATTGGGTATGTCAGGAGCCCTGAAACACTTGGGGTGAATTGGGAACCAAGAGAGGAGGTGTTGATTGCAGGGAGTGGCACTCAGTTTATGGCAGCTACTCTGCACTCCGATCAGTGGGGATACTTTGCTAAGGAGACTGGCTGGCACCTTAGTACTGCATGGGAGCAGAATCTGTGGGAAGGCCTGAATCCCTGGGTATATTTCCCACAAAGCCCAGTTTTCCATGTCCAGCCTTTCCCACAGCAAGTAACAATGAAAAGGTCAGTGATTCAGTTCCAGTGCTTGCTTGAGTCTATCCCAGATTAGAAAACAATCACAGAGCAGTGACTCATTTCTGGTGCAGTGTTTTATTTTCAGTGCTCCATACAAGTCCTCCCTAGAATGAGAAGCAACAACAGACCAGCAATTAAGTTCTGATATTAGATAGTAAAAGTATAACACCACCTGCAAAGAACACCTGCAAAAGCTGGAAAAGGTGGCAATGTTCTCAAATATGCAGCCATCAATGTAAAGACACAAAGACTGTGAAACCTTGGGGAAATATGACATCACCAAAAGAAAATAACAAGTCTATGGCAATGGTCCCAGAAGATTGAAGACCTATGAAATGCTTGACCAAGAATTCCAAATAATTCTCTTAAAGAAGTTGCGGAATCACGAGAAAATATGAATACTAAATTAAATAAAATTTGGAAAACAATACAGGAACAAAATGAAAAACTTGACAAAAAATAGAAACTATTAAAAAACCAAATGGAAATCCAAGAAATAAATAATACAATAACTGAACTGAAAGACTTATTAGAAAGCTTCAACAAGATTTGATCAAACAGAGGAAAGGACCAGCAAGCTTGAAAACAGAACATATGAAATTATCCAATCAGAGGAACAAAAAGAAAAAATAATAATAATTAAAAAGAGTGAAAAAGGCCTGAGAGAATTATGGGACATATCAAGTGAACTAACATTCACATGATAGAAATTCCTGAGAAAGATGAGAGGGGATAAAAAGGCCTAGAAAGCATATTTAAGAAAATAATGGTTAATTCTTTTTAATTTGGAGAAAGATGACAACATCCAGATATAGGAAGGTCAGAGCTGATCAATCAAATTCAACTCAAATTAAATTTCCCTAAGTCACATAATAATTAAATTATCAAAAATCAAAAGCAAAGAAATAATTCAAAGCAACAAGAAAATAAAACATATTACAGTCAATGGACCCCTAATATAGCTTTCAGTGGATTTGTCAGCAGAAACTCTACAGGTCAGTAGAGAGTGGAATGATATATTCAAAGCAAGGAAAGGAAAAACAATTGGAAGCCAAGGATACCATACCCAGAAAAACTATCCTTCAAACCCAAAGGAGTGATAAAGACTCCCAGACAAACAAAAGCTGAGAGTATTGATCAACGCTGTACCTGTCTCACAAGAAATGCTACAAGTGGTTCTTCAATCCAAAATAAAAGAACATTAGTGTGTAAAAAGAAAGCATCTGACGGTATGAAGCTCACTGGTAAAAGTAAGAATAGGTACAAATTCAGAATACTCTAACGCTGTAACTGTGGTATGTAAATGTGCTTTTATCTTAAGTATGAAGGCTAAAAGACAAAATGCTAAAGACAGTAACTACAATAACTAGTTGAGGGATAGGCAATATAAAAAGTTGTACATGAAAACATCAAAAAGTCAAACTCTGGTGGGAAAACGGTGTTAATGTGTAGAGTATAATTTTCTTATTTTCATTTTCTTTGCAATCAAAGTTAAGTTGTTATCAATTTAAATAACCTATTATAACAAGAAGGTTTTTTTGTAAGCTTCATGGTAGATACATGAAAAATAACTACCACAGAATTAAAACATACTGCTAGAGAAAATCATTTAACCACAAAGGAAGACAGGAAGAAAGTAAGACAGTAAGAGAAAAACAGGAAGAAAGGATCTACAAAACAACCTGAAAACAAAGATGGAGGCATCATACTACCTGACTTCAAATTATACTATAAAGCTATAATACCCAAAACAGCATGTTACTGTCATAAAAGCAGATACATAGACCAATGGAACAGAATAGAGAGCACAGAAATAAATCCATGCATTTATAGCTAACTGATTTTTGTCAAAGATATTAAGAACATATATTTTGGAAAAGACAGTCTCTTCAATAATTGATGCTGGGGAAACTAGATATCCACATGAAGAAAAATGAAACTAGACCCTATCTCTCACCTTATACAAAAAATCAACTCAAAATGAATAACAGACTTAAATCTAAGACCCAAACTATAAAACTACTAGAAGAAAGCAGAGAAGAAACACTTCATGATATTTGCTGAGGCAAGGAATTTTGGGGTAGGATCTCAAAAAAACAGGCAATAAAACAAAATATGGACAAATGAGATTGCATCAAGCTAGACAGCTTTTACTCAACAAAGAAAACATCAACAGAGTAAAAAGACAACCCACAGAATGGAAGAAAATATTTCTGAATTATGCATTCAACCTGGGGTTAATATTCGGAATATACAGAAAAATCAATATAATAGTATAAAAACAAAACAATTTTGAAAAAATGGGCAAAAAACCTGAATAGACATTTCTGTAAAGGAGACATACAAATGGCCTATAGGTATACAAAAACTGCTCAACATCACTAATAATCAGGAAAATTCACAATGAGGTAATACTTTACTCCAATTAGAATGGCTGTAACAAAAAACACAAAAAAATAACAAATGCTGGAAAATGTGTGGAGAAAGGGGAACTTTTATACACTCTTGGTGGGAATGCAAATTAGTACAGCCATTATGGAAAACAATATAGAAATTAGTCAAAAAACTAAAAATAGAACTATCATATGATCCAACAATTCCACTACTACATATATATCCAAAGGAATTTAAATCAGTATATTGAAATGATATCAGTTGTTGCAGGAAGTCAGGGACCCCAAACGGAGGGACCGGCTGAAGCCATGGCAGAAGAACATAAATTGTGAAGATTTCACGGACATTTATTAGTTCCCCAAATTAATACTTTTGTAATTTCTTACGCCTGTCTTTACTGCAATCTCTGAACATAAATTGTGAAGATTTAATGGACATTTATCACTTCCCCGAATCAATACTCTTGTGATTTCCTATGCCTGTCTTTACTTTAATCTCTTAATCCTGTCATTTTCGTAAGCTGAGGATGAATGTCGCCTCAGGACCCTGTGATTACTGCGTTAACTGCACAAATTGTTTGTAGAGCATGTATGTTTGAACAATATGAAATCTGGGCACCTTGAAAAAAGAACAGGATAACAGCGATATTCACGGAACAAGGGAGATAACCTTAAAGTCTGGCTGCTTGTGGGCTGGGCGGAACAGAGTCATATTTCTCTTCTTGCAAAAGCAAATAGGGGAAATATCACTGAAATCTTTTTCTCGGTAAGGAACATCCCTGAGAAAGAGAATGCGTTCCTAAGGGGAGGCCTCTGAAATAGCCACTTTGGGAACATCTGTCTTTTATGATTGTAGACAAGGGATGAAATAAGCCCCAGTCTCCCGTAGTGCTCCTAGGCTTATTAGGAGGAGGAAATTCCCGCCTAATAAATTTTGGTCAGAATGGTTGTCTGCTCTCAAACTCTGTGTCCTGATAAGATGTTATCAATGACAATGGGTGCCTGAAACTTCATTAGCAATTTTAATTTTGTCCCAGTCCTGTGATCTTGCCCTGCCTCCGTTTGCCTTGTGATATTTTATTACCTTGTGAAGCATGTGATCTCTGTGACCCACACCCTATTCGTACACTCCCTCCCCTTTTGGAAATCACTAATAAAAACTTGCTGGTTTTGTGGCTTGGGGGGCATCAGGGAACCTGCCTACATGTGATGTCTCCTCCGGACACCCAGCTTTAAAATTTCTCTCTTTTGTACTCTTTGCCTTTATTTATCAGACCGGCCGACACTTGGGGAAAACAGAAAACGACCCACGTGAAATATCAGGGGTTGAATTTCCCCTGATAATCTGTGCTCTCATGTCTATTGCAGCACCATTAACGTTAGCCAAGTAATAGAATCAACCTAAATGTTCAACAGATAAATAGATAAAGAAAACGTGGTGTGTATATATGCACATAGACACACTCACAGTGGAATACTATTCAGCTATAAGCTATAAAAAAGAATAAAATCTTGTCACTTTAGCAACATGGATGAACCTGGGGGTCATAATATGAAGTAAAATAAACCAGGCACAGAAAGATAAATACTGCATGATCTTTTTAGTATGTGGAATCTAAAAAAGTTGATCTCATAGAAGTAGAAAGTAGAATAGTAGCTATCAGATGCTGGGAAGGGGCAGGGGGAGGGAAAAATGGGGAGACATTTGTCAATGGGTACAAAGTCACAATTAGAGAGGAAGAATAAGTTCTGGTGTTCTATTACATACTAAACTTACTATAGCTAATAACAATGTATTGTATATTTCAAGATATCTAGAAAAGAGAATCTTGAAAGTTATCAACACAAATAAATAATAAAAGTTTGAGGTGATGGACATGCTAACTACTTTAATTTGATCATTACACAATGTGTACATGCATTGAAACATCACACTGTACTCCATAAATATGTACAATTATTATGTATCAATTATAAAGAAAAAATAGATACAAACATGGGATTCTGCCATAAAGTTTTAAAAATAATACCTTTGTTTATACATAATTCTCAAAACATGAAACTCACTTTTTAAAAGTGCATATCTCAGTGGTTTTTAGCATATTCACAGTCATGCAACCACCACCAATATCTAATTTTAGAACAGTTTTATTACTGCAAAAAGAACCTTATACCTTTTAGCAATCACAGCCCATTTCCCCTTTAACTCCTAGCAACCACTAATCTACATTTTGTCTCTATAAGTTTGCCCATTCTGGACATTTATAAATGGAATCATAAAACATGTGGTCTTTTATGACTGGTTTATTTCACTTAGCATAATGTTTTTAAGGTACATCAACGTTGTAGCATACATTAGTATTTCATTCTTTTTTGCCAAATACTATTTAATTGAAAGGATTTGCCAATTTTGTTTATCCATTCGTCAGTTGATGTATATTTTGGTTGGTTTTACCTTTTCTTTATTATTAATAACACTGCCATAAACATTTGTGCACAGATTTTACTGTGGATATATATTTTAAATTCACTTAGATATATACCTAGGAGTGGAATTGCTGGGTCATATGATGGCCCAATGTTTACATTTTTGAGGAACTGCCAAACTATATCCAGAGTTGCCGCATTATTTTTTATTTTTACCATAAACATATGAGTTTCAATCTCTTCACATTCTTGCCAACATTTGTAATGCTATATCTTTTTTATTCTAGTCATCTCAGTGGATAGGGAGTAGTATTACATTTTAGTTTTGAAGTTTTGATTGTATTTCTCGCTACAAATCTTGTATCGTTTTCTTTTTTACTGTATTGTGTTGAGAAGCATGGACCTCTTCCAGCACTAGTCTTAGTCTTAGTCTATTTGGAATGTTATGGCAAAATTCCATAAAGTAGGTGGCTTAAACAAAAATATTATTTCTGACAGTTCTAGAGGCTGTGAAGTCCCAGATCAAGATGCTGTCTTAGTCCATTTCTTGTGAGGTTTCTCTTCCTGGCTTGTGGATGACTGCCTTCTCACTGTATCCTCACATGGAGAGAGAGAGAGAGCAAGCTTGCTGGTGTCTCTTCTTACAAGGGCGTTAATCCCCTCATGAGGGCTTCTACTTCATGATCTCATTTACCCCTAATTATTTCCCAAAAGCCCCGTCTCCAAATGCTATCATGAATACCATGATGGAGTGATGGAAATAGGTGCTTTGCAGATGTCATCAGGTTAAGATGAAGTCCTACTGGTTTAGGATAAAGCCTAATCCAAAGACTGATATCTTTATAAGAAGACAGAAATTTGGACACAGACACAGAAACACCAGGAAGGATCCTATGTGAAAATGAAAGCAAAGATTTGAGTAATTTGGGCCAAGTAATATCAAGGATTGCCAGCAATAACCAGAAACCAGGAGAGAGACATAGAACAGATTTTCTTTCTGAGCACTCAAGAAGGAACCAACCCTGCCAACACCTTGGCTTTGGACTTCTGGCCTCCAGAACTGTAAAAGAATAAATGTCTGTTGTTTTATGCCACCAGGTCTGAGGTTGTTACAGTAACCCTAGGGAACTAATACAAAAGTTATACTGCCCAATATCCTCTAGCCTGGACTAAAAGAGACTGACTTTTCAAATGTTAAAATGACCCCTAGCCTGCAATCTTTACAAGCAAGAAGAAGGCTAAGAAATGTCTTTGGCACTCCACAGGTCATTTTCCCCAATGCCCTCTTCAAATGCAGCCAAAATGAACAGGAGTAGGAAGGAACTCTTAAAAGGCTACAGCAGTATTAAGAGGGAAATTCATAGCACTAAATGCCCACATCACAGAGCTAGAAAGGTCTCAAATCGACACTCTAACATCACAATACAGAAAGCTAAAGAGGCAAGAGCAAACTAATCCAAAAGCTAGCAGAAGACAAGAAATAACGAAGATCAGAGAAGAATTGAAGGAGATAGAGACATGAAAACTCCTCCAAAAAATCAATGAATCCAGGAGCTGGCTTTTTGAAAAATTAACAAAATAGATAGCCCACTAGCTAGACTAATAAAGAAGAGAAGAATCAAATAGACACGATAAAAAATGATAAAGGGCATATCACCACTGACCCTACAGAAATACAAACTACTATCAAAGAACACTATAAATACCTCTATACAAATAAACTAGAAAATCTAGAAGAAATTGATAAATTCCTGAACACATATACCCTTCCAAGACTAAACCAGGGAGAAGTCAAATCACTGAATAGACCAATAACAAGTTCTGAAATTGAGGCAGCAATTAAAAGCCTACCAACCAAAAAAAGCCCTGGACCAGATGGGTGAATTCTACCAGAAAGAGAAAGAGGAGCTGGACCAGAGAGATGAATTCTACCAGAGATACAAAGAGGAGCTGGTACCATTTCTTCTGAAACTATTCCAAACAATTGAGAAGGAGGGACTCCTCCCCAACTCATTTTATGAAGCCAGCATCATCCTGGTATCAAAACTAGGAAGAGAAACAACAACAACAAAAAATCTTCAGGCCAATATCCCCGACGAACACCAATGCGAAAATCCTCAATAAAATACTGGCAAACCGAATCCAGCAGCACATCGAAAAACTTATAAACCACTATCAAGTCAGCTTCATCCCTGGCATGCAAGGCTGGTTCAACATATGCAAATCAATAAATGTAATCCATCACATAAACAGAACCAAAGACAAAAACCACATGATTATCTCAATAGATGCAGAAAAGGCCTTCGATAAAATCGAACATCCCATCATGTTAAAACCTCTCAATAAAATAAGTATTGATGGAACGTACCTCAAAATAATAAGAGCTATTTATGACAAACCGACAACCAATATCATACTGAATAGGCAAAAGCACGCCCTTTAAAAACTGGTACAAGATAGGGATGCCCTCTCTCACCATTCCTATTCAACGTAGTATTGGAAGTTCTGGCCAGGGCAATCAGGCAAGAGAAGGAAACAAAGGTATTCAAATAGGAAGAGAGGAAGTCAAATAGTCTCTGTTTGCAGAAAACATGACTTTATATTTAGAAAACCCCATCATCTCAGCCCAAAAACTGTTTGAACTGATAAGCAACTTCAGCAAAGTCTCAGGATACAAAATCAATGTGCAAAAATCACAAGCATTCCTTTATACCAACAATAGGCAAGCAGGGAGCCAAATTGTGAATGAAATCCCATTCACAATTACTACAAAGAGAATAAAATACCTAGGAATACAGCTAACAAGGAATGTGAAGGACTTTTTCAAGGAGAACTACAAAGCACTGATCAAGGAAATAAGAGAGGGCACAAATGAAAAAACTTTCCATCCTCACAGACAGGAAGAATCAATATTGTGAAAATGGCCATACTGCCCAAAGTAATTTATAGATTCAATGTTATTTCCATCGAACTACCATTGACATTCTTCACAGAATGAGAAAAACTATTGTAAATTTCATGTGGAACCAAAGAAGACCCCCCCCCCCATAGCCAAGACAATCCTAAGCAAAAAGAACAAAGCTGGAGGCATCACACTACCTGACTTCAAACTATACTGCAAGGCTACAGTAACCAAAACAGCATGGTACTAGTACCAAAACATATATATAGACCAATGGAGCAGAACAGAGACCTCAGAAATAACACCATACATCTACAACCATCAGATCTTCAACAAACCTGACAAAAACAAGCAATAAGGAAAGGATCTCCTATTCAGTAAATGGTGCTGGGAAAACTGGGTAGCCATATGCAGAAAACTGAAACTGGACCCCTTTCTTGGTCTTACACAAAAATTAACTCAAGATGGATTAAAGACTTAAATGTAAAACCCAAAACCATAAAAACCCTCTAGAAGAAAACCTAGATAATAGAATTCAGGACATAGGCATAGGCAAAGACTTCATGACAAAAATGCCAAAAGCAATTACAACAAAAGCCAAAATTGACAAATGGGATCTAACTAAAGAGCTTCCACATAGCAAAAGAAACTATCATCAGAGTGAACAGTCAGCCTACAGAATGAAAGAAAATGTTTGCCATCTACTGATGTGACAAAGGTCTAATATCCAGAATTTACAAGGAATTTAAACAGACTTAAAAGAAGAAAAACAAACAATCCCATCAAAAAGTGGGCAAAGGTCATGAACAGACACTTCCCAAAAGAAAACATTTACACAGCCAACAAACATATGAAAAAAGCTCAAAATCACTGATCATCAGAGAAATGCAAATCAAAACCACAATGAGATACCATCTCCCACCATTCAGAATGGTGATTATTAAAATATCAGGAAACAATAGATGCTGGCAAGGCTGTGGAGAAATAGGAATGCTTTACACTGTTGGTAGGAATGTGAATTAGTTCAACCATTGTGGAAGACAGTATGGCAATTCCTCAAGGATCTAGAACCAGAAATACCACTTGACCCAGCAATCCCATTACTGGGTATATACCTAAAGGAATATAAATCATTCTACTATAAGGACACATGCACACAATATGTTTATTGCAGCACTGTTTCCAATAGCAAAGACATGGAACCAACCCAAATGCTCATCAATGATAGACTGGATGAAGAAAATGTGATACATATACACCATGGAATACAATGCAGCCATAAAAAAGAAATGAGATCGGTCCTTTGCAGGGACATGGATGAAGCTGGAAGCCATCATCCTCAGCAAACTAACACAGGAACAGAAAACCAGACACTGTAGGTTGTCACTCATAAGTGGGAGTTGAGCATTGAGAACACATGGACACAGAGAGGGAAACAGGACACACTAGGGCCTGTTGGGGGGTGGGAGGTAAGGAGACGGAACTTAGAGGATGGGTCAATAGGTGCACAAAACCACCATGGCACACCTACACCTATGTAAAAAACCTGCATGTTCTGCACATGTATCCATTTTTTTAGAAGAAATAAAGAAAAATAAATAAAATAAAAAGTAAAATCAGTGGCTACTGGGAACAAACTTCCAGGCAGCCACAGCTAGAGAAGAAATCATAGCCTCATTGAGGAATATTGCCCACTCCAGAGTAAGTAAAGTCAGGGCTGGCTTCATGGTTGTGTGATTTGTACAGCTATACACTGCCTCAGGTTCAGAAGGACCCCATACTTGGTTTAATGCTCTGCTAAAATTTTTTGAAAAGGGGGCCTTGCCTTTTTATTTTGCACTGAATTCTGCAGGAGCTGAGTAGAATCCCCTCATAATGTCTTCACAGTGAAATTTCAGAATTTGTTATAAACCAGTGACTACTTAATGGGAGTTTTATAGCTATTGTCCTGTCCCCATTCCTCCACTGAATATTGTCTGTGACAGGAAGATAACTTGTCTTTTTAATTCACTCTTCTCTTGAACAAAAGGAGCGACCTTCAGAACAGATAAGAAGAATGCCAGCCATCACTCAGAGAACCTGGACTTAGAGCTTGCTTCTGAGGTTAACACCCTAGGGAAGGGATAATAGTTCCTGTGGAAGGGATCATGCATTTTCCGTGTACAAAAGAGGGTGGAACAAATATTTGGTGACAAGTAGGATGAGCTTTAGTTGTTGTTTGGCATCCACAATATCTGTTTCTCTGTAGCAGAATTATACTTCCCTACTCTGTGGAACTCAGACACAGGCATGTGACTTGCTTTGTTTAAGGCAATTTGAGCAGTAGTTATGTGTTACACTTTCAACCAGGAACATTAGTATGTATTTCCTCATATTTCTTCATGAATTTGGCCACTATTTCAGATCATGGCTGCCCCAATAGTCAGATATTAGATCATGGACTACAGTGATGCAGACCAGAACATCCGGCTCACTCCCAGTGAACAATGGTTCTAGCGAGAAAGCCATTGACTTCTGATGCTACTGATTTTAGGGTTGCTTATTATTACTGCATAATTTTCCTACCTTGCTAGATCAAGAGTAACCATCTGTAAATGCTCAGTCATCCCAAGAATAAAAATTGATACCCTTTGCAGAGACTACACATCAAACATGGATAGATAACTGCCACACAAATTTCATGGGCATAAACTTGCATGCATGTACATACACACTCATTTGGAATATAAATGAGTGTATTTTGGCTTAGTTATATAATACCCTTCTTAAAACATGATTCGTTGCATGCTAACATGGTTCATTTGAGATTGTACTATTGTTTGGAATGCTGTAGCTATAACAAAATACTGTAGATTGAGTAGCTTATAAACAACAGAAATTTATTTTTACAGTTTTGGAGCCTGTGATGTCTAAGAAAGAAGGTGCTGGCAGATTTGGTGTCTAATGAAGGCCTGTTTCTCATAGATAACACTTTCTAGCTGTGTCCTCACATGGTGGAAAAGGCAAGGCAGCTATTTGGGGCCTGTTTTTAAAGGAGGCTAACCCCTCTATGAAGACTCTGCCCTCATGATCTATTCACCTCCCAAAGGCCCCACCTCTATAAGCCATCAGCTTGGTGATTAGATTTCAATGTATGAATTTGGGGGGTTTGCAAACATTCAGACAATAGCATAGTAGTTATAGACACTCTAACTGGAGGACTATAAAAACATAATATACTCTCATCTGAATGGAATTATATAATTGTGCTTTAATCCTGCCTGAAATTCTTGGGTAAGATTTTGCAAAGAGAAGTGTTAGAGTCTGTTTACACCTTCCTACTATGAAGCTGTGACAGATTGGAGCTGTGACACACACACATATAGATACACACACATACATATAGATGCACATATGCATAAAGAGAAGAGTTTGACAAAAATAGTTCTTGAAAATTAAAATGAGTAGGTCTAACGTCAAGAATGTTACCACCTTATATTTGGAAACATTACAACAAACGACCCTGGTTATATATACAAAGATGAGACAAATAGCTGCTCTCAACATTAAGCAGCTTATTTACTATATATCTCTCAGATTTTCCAAATGGCAGCTATGGTTATCTTAACCATATTCTAACAGCTGTCAAGGATTGGCCCATGATGGTATAAAATATAAACCATCTGCTCCCAGTGGGAAAACTGATTATTCAGGAAGCCTGGTGCTTTCACATTACTTATAGGCCCACATGGTACTTAGTTGTATAGGAACATGGATAAATGGGGCATTCCTTAGGAAAACAAGTGCCATCCAGAAGGGTTTGAAAGAAGCATAAAATTGATCCAAACTTCACACTTCTGGAGCATAAGGATATGCAATTTTTCTCCCTGCAGGAGTTGGTCCACCAGTGGAAACATGCTGAATGAATTATCCCCCTGAGAAAAGCCTCAAGAATGACACAGAAAATTAAGATGCTCTTAATTAAAATGAATGTGTACCAGAATGATAATAATTAAATTTCATCAGTCTGTTTTAAGAGTCAATAATCTAAGTACCATAGATTTCCTGTAAGGTCTTTTTCAAGTGATTTAATCTTTCTGGCCTTCAGTTTCCTCGTAAGCCTAACTACATTACAATATCTTTTCTACCAGACTCATTATATTTTTATAAAATGCATAGGACATAATATTAAACATTTTTACAAAGATGAGACACAAAATGTCAAACGCAATTGTTATTATGGATCCCGATCAACTGCTCAAACACCTTCACTTACGTGGATTGAACTCGTTCTTGGCAACAAGCACTGAACTGAATTAAATAATTTATAACATTTGTCCCATGAAGATGAAGAACATGGCAGAGATTGCTGGTTTCCTACACACATTCATTTTTCTTTCTTTCTTCAGAATAAAAGGCTGAGAAGCTTAACAGAGAGCAGTAGCTGAGAGACTAAGAAGCCAAACAGATCTTTTGGGAACTTGTAGAGAAGGAGAACAAAATAATTGAGCCCTGTGCTGCCAAAGAGCAGAGATTCTCACAAGTATTGGAGGACTTTATTGGGGATTTCTGACAAGGTATACTTTAAGAGTAATGGTAAACAGGATCGTCCCTTCCAGACACTAAAGCCAGGTTAGAATCAGCACAATACCAGTATGGATTGAGGTGATCTCTCATTACACTTAATGCTCACAAAAAGCTAATGCCCTTCTAGAAGAACATAAACTCATTAAGAGGAAGATAACCTCATTATGAGTCTTAAACTATCCTTAAAAATATTAATGTGTAATGTCCAGGACTTCAATTAAAATAATCAAGTATGTAAAAAGAAAAGTGACTGAAAATAAAGGGAAAAAACATATAAAAATAAGCTCACTGAAGCTGTAGATATTGGAGTTATGAAACACTGACTTCAGAGTGTTTGTAATAAATGTTTCCAATAAATTAGATAAAAGATGGTGAATTGTAGCAAAAACTGTAAACTATAAATAGACCTTCTAGAATGCAAAACATGACTAATACTAAAAACTCAATAGAAAGGCTTTAGAAAATTGATTCAACAAACTAAAAATAAAATATTAACATTGAAGCAAAGATAATGATATAATATATGTATATGTATACATATGTGTATATTATATATGTATATATATTATAGCTCCATATTTTATACATATACATGCATATATTATGCATATGCATATGTATATGTTATATATGCATATATATTTGTATATTATACATATATATTGTATCATTATTACATATATGAGTCTCCAGAAGGAAATATAGAAAGATTGTAGCAGAAGTAAAGTAGTAAATTGAGAGACAATAACCAAGAATTTTCCCAAATAGATAAAGGACCTGATGCCGTAGATTCAAGAAGCACTGCAAAGCTCAAGCAGAATGAATACAAACAAAACCAGCATTGGGAAATGGCTGAAACACCAAAATCAAGAGAAAAAAAATCATAAAACCAGCCAGAAGAAAGGACACATTTCTTTTTAAGGAAATAATAATAATACTCTGACAACACAACTAATGAAAGATATAAATAATAGAATGATATCTTCACAGTGCTGGAAAAACAAACAGCAAAAACCACATACAAAAAAACCCCGCCAAACTAGGATTCCATAATTACCAAAGCAATATTCTACAATGAAGGAAAAACAGAAACATTTTATTCAACAAAATCTAAGAACATTAATCATTAGCAGTTATTTACTAAAGGAAACATAAATAAGTAGTTTTTAGGCAAAAGAAAAATTATGCAAGGTGGATGCCTAGAAATGAATACAAAATGAAGAAGGAAAGGAGGAATATAGCAGCAATATCTAAATAAATTTTTACATCATGGAAAATTATTAATCATGTTGATATGGTTTAAAATATTGAGAAAATTAAAATTTAATACAACAGTAGAGCAAAAGACAGGGGGTTGGTAAATGGAATTGAAGTATTCTAAGTTTTTACATTATGTGGGAAGAAGTAAACCTGCATACCTTACGTTAGACTCTAGTGAGTTAAGAATATTGTAATCTATAGTTCAACTAATAAAAAAAGAACAAACTGAGAAAAGAAAATGGAGTAAAACACATTTACTTACTCTGAAAGTAGTCAAGAAAATTAAGAAGAAAAGGCGTAGAACAGGTGAGAAAGTTGAAAATAAATTAGAAACATAAGGGAATTAGATTGGAAGTATGTCAGAAATTACACTGAAGGTAAATTAAATAATCCAGGAAACAGCTAAGAGTCTCCAACAGGAGTTAAATACATACACGGAAAGCAGATACTGTGTGTGAGTTTTCTATTAATGCGTAACAAATTATGATAAACTTTGTAGCTTAGAATAACACCCATTTAGTAGCTCACAGTCCTATGCCAGAAGGCTGTGCAGACTAGGCAGGATTCTTTGATAGGATCTCAGAAGGCTGAAATCAAGGTGTCCATCCAACTTACATTTGTATCTGGGGTTCTGAGAGAAAATTTGCTTCAATGCCTATTAAGATTATTAAGAGTCTGCAACCTCTTGCCACTGAAGAACCGAGGTCTCCATTTCTTACCAGATGTTGCCTCGGATGTCCTTTTAGCTCCCAGAGGATGCTTTTGAATGCTTTCCAGCTGGCCTCTTCTAATATCAGAGCTATTGATGAAATATTTATTTTGCTCTTATCTTTCTCATGCTTTGATCCTGACAGCCCCTCTACTACTCAGCTGTAAATTTTTTAAAGGGATTATGTGGTTAGATTAGCCCACCTGGAAATCACTCTTTTGATTAACCCAAAGTCAACTGCTAAATAACTCTAATTACATCTGTAAAATACCTTTTGCCATATAGCATAACATAATTATGAGAATGATATCGCTTGATATTTGCATTTTCACATTTATTCAAAGGGAGGAAATTATACAAAGGTGAAAGTCAGGTTATCATCTTAGAGTTTTGTTGACCATATTGCATGTAAGAGAGAATCTTTAAATATGTAACTATATAAAACTTGAAAGTAAAAGAGGAAAAAGTATAGTATGCAGGTCCTAATCAAGATACAAACTGTATATCTATATAAATATCAAACCAAAATGCATAATTAAGAAATATTAATAAAAATAAAGAGACACTTCATAAGGACAAAAGGTTAATCTGCTAAGAATGTATAACAATGCTAAATTTCTGGACACTAAAGATTTAGCTATAAACTAAACAATAGAACTAAGAGGAGAAATCAGTAAATCCACAAAGTGGGATATCTTAACAGACTTTTCTCAACAACTAATAGAACAAGTTGGAGGAAATTAAGTACATATACACAAAATTGTAGCGACATTATTAACAGAATTGATCTGATTGATGTATCCAGACTATCGAACCAAATAACTACATAATACATATTTTTTAAGCATATATGAAACATTGTCCAAAACTGACTATATGCTGGGTCTTTTTTTTTTTGTTTTGTTTGTTTTTTTGAGATGGAGTCTCGCTCTGTCCCCCAGCCTGGAGAGCAGTGGCGCGATCTCGGCTCACTGCAAGCCCCGCCTCCGGGGTTCACGCCATTCTCCTGCCTCAGCCTCCCGAGTAGCTCGGACTACAGGCGCCTGCCGCCACACTGCCCGGCTAATTTTTTTGTATTTTTAGTAGAGACAGGGTTTCACCTTGTTAGCCAGGATGTTCTCGATTTCCTGACCTCGTGATCCACCCACCTTGGCCTCCCAAAGTGCTGGGATTACAGGCATAAGCCACCGCGCTAGGCCTATGCTGGGTCTTAAAGCAAGTCTCAACAAATGTCCAAGGACTAAAATAGCAACGAAAGTGATTTTTAACCACAGAATTAAGGTAAAAATTGATGATAAATATATGCCTTCCACACATAAAACTATAACTTATTATTGATAGAAATTAAGAGAACTAAATACATGAAGGTATATAAAATAATCATGGACTAGAAAAACTAATATTATAAAAATATCTATTTAAACATATCTGTAGATATTATATTAATGTAAAAATTACTGTGTTTTTGGTAGAAATTGATGAGTTGATTTTAAAATTTATATGGAAATACAAAGGGGCAGGAATAGGCATGACGACTCTTGAGGAACAAAGTTGGGGGACTTAAGCCAATAGAAGTCAGTAAGTTATTTATTCTGATAAAGTTTTTTATTCATAAAGTTATTTATTCTGATAATAAACTCACCTCATTGGCTCTAATTCTATTTTTTTCACTTTAAATATCTGATAGTTGTCTACCTAATGTTTCATTGATTTTATCTGAAAGAAATATTCTATGTCTTTTCAGTCAACTATGCATTATTATAGCTGATCCCACACTGATCCCACATTACTATAGCTGACGTACACACACACACACATTCCAATATGTATATATTTAATTCAATATATATATATATATTGAATGTCAAGTGCTACGAAGTAAAGTGACAGGGACAGATAAATAAATCAAAATAGCAGAATAGTGAGTCATAAAGTAGATCATTCATAGTATTCATTTATTGTCATTTCATTTGTAAGAAAGGTACTGTAGAACAGTGAAAATAGGACAATCTTTTTATTAAATTGTGCTCCATCTGCTGGATTGGAAAAAAAAAAGGAAAAAGGAAAAAAAGCTAGACCCTTGTCTCATACCATACATGTAATTCAATTTCAGGTTGACTGGGATAAAATTGCAGAAGAAAACAATATGTTTCTAGGAAATAAAAGGAAAATATATTTATACATTTTCGATGAACAAATATTTGTTAACAGCATTAACCATTAAGAAAAAGATTAATCAACTAGGATACATTAAAAATTAAGAGCCCATTAGGAAAATCAAAAGGCAAAACATCAAATGGAAGAAGATATTTGCAATACACATAGTTGACAAAAGCCTCAAACCAGAATCTATAAAGAACTCCTGTAAGTTAACAAGACCAAGAAAAATAACCCAGTAGAAAAAAATGGGCAAAGAGATTTTTATTAGCAATTTTACAAAAGAAGAAATCCAAAAGACTGCTGGAGTGGAAAAGGGTGCTCAACCTTATTAGTTATTTTGAAAATGCAATACGAAAACAATCATGGGATATCACCACCTACTCAAAAGCTACAATTTAAAAATGACGTAATGCCAAGCTTTAGCTAGGTTTTAGGGCAACTGGAGCTTCTCATTACTGCTGATGGGAATGTTTAACGGTACAAGGACTGTGGAAAGCTGTTAATATATGCTTAAGTTCAACAAGCACATAACCTACAACCACGCAAACCCTCTCCTAAGCATATGCTTAAAAAATGCATATTACACAAATCATTAGACATACATAATAATGGCCACACCAGTACTATCTATAATAGCCAAAAAAATCAGAAAAAGTATAATTGTCTGTCAGGAGTCTAGTGGACAAATATTGCTTCACTCAATGCAATACAACATGGCTATGAAATTTAACAAACCATTGCTACATACAACACAACAGCATCTCACAACATACACAACAAAACCTGTCACATGAATTTCAAACAATGCTGAATGACAGAAGCCTGACACAAAGGAATACAGACTTTATGGTTCCTATATAAACTTCATAAGTAGGCAAAAATAATTGGTGGTATTAGTAGCTTAAGGGTTATATCTGGAGAGGAGTGTAAGTTTAGTGGCAGGAGGGGTGTCTCTAGGGTACTGATAAAACCATATTCTTAAAATCTGGGTGGTAGTTAAATATGTGCTCATTTTGTAATAATGCATCTAGCTATATTTATTATTTGTTGCACTGTTTGCATATTATACTTTATTATTAAACATACCAAAGGAATTAAAAATAATGCTTGAGTGGTAATATTATTATATACATATTAGATACTTTTATGAGTATTTTGGTATGGTTTCTGAATGAAGAATTCCTAGCCCCAGAGCATGCTATACTCTAAAACTCAACTGTTTTTGCCATTGTGCTGAATATGAATATAATCTAAAGAGAAAGGAAATATATTTTGTTCAATGCTGCTATTACATATGTAAGCCTCACCCAACTTGGTGAGGTAGGTAGGTAGCTACTGATGAGAAAACTGAGTTGCTAAAAATTTAAACACTTTGCTTAAGATTACATATCTAACATCTGCTAAAGCAGAATTTCAAAACTGGGTCTGGGTCCAAATCATGTTTCTTTCTCCTTGACCAAAATATGCAAGAGATTGTGTCTAAAAAAAAAAAAAAAGAAAGAAATTGGCATAAGACTGTATCATTTTATAAGCAGTGAATTTACACACCTAAACTTCCAAGCCCCAGCTCCAGAAAATGGATCATTTGTGCACATCATCTTTGTGGCAACACAAAAACTGAATATTCTTATATAAATGGAGGAAACAAATAGAACTATTGGAAGAATAGAAGAATTCATAACCTATTCCCAAAGCTGACAGAGGAGGAGCAAACATCCCAAAAATGTTTTTACTAAATCTGGCTCCTAAGGATTTTCAGAGTTCATGAGTTTCCAATAATAAAGTTATCTCAGTGGGTCTGAATTTTTTTTTTTTTTTTCTAGAGATAGAGTCTTGCTCTGTCGCCCAGGCTGGAGTGCAATGGCGCGATCTCAGCTCACTGCCACCTCCGCCTCCCGGGTTCAAATGATTCTCTTGCCTCAGCCTCCCCAGTAGCTGGGATTACAGGCTGCACCACCACCACGCCCGGCTAATTTTTTTTTGTATTTTTAGTAGAGATGGCGATTCACCATGTTGGCCAAGCTGGTCTCAAACTCCTGACCTCATGATCCGCCCGCCTCGGCTTCCCAAAGTGCTGAGATTACAGGCGTGAGCCACCATGCCTGGCAGTGGCTCTGAATTTTATTTCCACCCTAAATGCCTGACATTTGCACCTAATGTTTAATTAAAACAACCAGCAGTCCTCCCAGGTAGCTATGCATTGCTGCAACTGACATATATTTACTACTTCACTCAGCACAAATAGTTTGCTTGCCCATTGTGTGCCAGGTGCTATGCTAAGCCATGCACACAGAACAAAAGATAGGCTCTGTCTTCAAAAAAAGCATTCTGACTAGAAGAGAGATGAAATAAGTCATGAGGCATTTACAGCCCAGAGCGAGCACTTCTATGAAAGCTGTAAGTATAGTAACCAATGCAAGAAAAAAAGGAGTCGGAGAAGCTTAGAAAGAAATATGAGTGTATCAGGAAGGGACTGTGAGTGGAGCCAGGCAAAGGCAGTTTAGGAGAGCTCTCAGAGAGCAATCCCTGGCAGAGAAAGGAGCATGGAATTAAGAAAGTAGAGTTTTCACAAATTTAAGCCTAGTTTAGTAAAATTTGTGTATTGAGTGTAAAAAGGATGTGTGTCAAGAGATGAGTCACAATAAATCAACAGAAGGCATATTACAAATGTCTTTGGGATTCATTTTAAGAAACAGACTCCTCATGAAGATAATGCAAAGTCATTAAAGAATTCTGAGGTTAGATTTTGACTCTTAAAACTATCACTGTGGGTACAATTGGAGTACAGACAGAAATTCGACAAAATTTGAGTCAGGAAGAGAAAACATGCAACAAGGCTTTTGCAGATAACCAGGCAAGACATGAAGGTGATCTGAATTCGCATAGAATTAACATCATGGTATAATGTATAGAATAGGCAGATATTAAAAAGAAACAGACAGAATTTGGTTTGGGATTAAGAAAAAAGGAGAAGTCAAGGGTGACACCCAGCTTTCTCATTGGGTGTGTGGTAGCACCCTCTAGTAAGATGGGGACTAATGGGAGAGAAACACATTTATAAGGAAGATGTTAGGATAAGTTTTGTATCTGTTGAATTGAAGGCACCCTTGGGGCAGTCATGCTAATATTCTAGTAGACAATTGAATACATAGGACTAGAACTCTGAAAAGAAATCTGGCTGGAAGCTGGAACGTGGGGGTCATCAGGTCATAGTGATTATTGAAGCCAGTGGTGAGGACAAGATCACAGGAGAGGAGGGTGACTGTTAATAGGCCAATAGGCATCATTGGTCATTGGGATTTTGGAGAGAGAGGCACTTCCTCTCTCCTATCCCTTCCACATTTTTTCTTCTCTCTTATGTTGGTGCCTATGCCAGAGTAGCCACCAATCAGTTTAAAAACCAACATAATAAGAAGACCTGCCTGAGAGAACAAAGCCAAGACCATTCTACTGACACCTGGGACCCACTATTGCAATGAATGCTGCCAGGTGAGCTTAAGAATCACCTATGTTTTCTACCTTTATCTAGGAAAGCGAAAGAATGAATTCCCTGTGTGAATTTAGCCCTCTGCTGGAATCAAAAAGAATAGATTAAATTTGTTACGTCAGCAAAGATTCCCTTCTCACAGATTTTGCTATGAAAAAATTAGGTCTGCTTAATCATGTCTTATATTTACACAATAATTTATAGTTTTCAAAACATTTTCACACATTGTTTTATTTGAGTCTCATGCAACTGCACAAGGTCTGCTATTATTCCCATTTCATTGATAAGAAAAGGAGAAACGTGGATGTTTCCAGTTTATTACTTACTAATGCTTATAATCCAGTTTTTTTGTTTTGGAGACAGCCTCACTCTGTCAACCAGGCTGGAGTGCAGTGGCAGGTTCACAGCTCACTGCAGCCTTGACCTCCTGGGCTCAAGCAAATCCTCCTGCCTCAGCTTCCCAAAAGCTGCAACTACAGACTTGCACCGCCATGCCTGGCTACCTTTTGAAATTTTTTTTTAGAGATGGGAGTTTCATCATGTTGCCCAGGCTGGTCTTGAACTATAGGGCCCAAGTCATCCCCCTGCCTTGGCTTCCCAAAGTACTGGGATTACAAGCATGAACCACTGTGCCATGCCATAATTCAGTTTTCTGATGCCAGTTATATAAAGTGAAAGTCAAATATCCCGGCTGGACTGATATAACCTAAAAGTTGCCACTTCTTACCATTCCCTGTTTGCTTTGGTCTGCATTCTCATTTTGTTAGAAGAGAGGCAGCAGTGTTATGGTCAAAAGAACACTTGAGATTAGACCTGCATTCCGATTTCAGCTGCATCCAGTCCATTCATTTGTGTGTGCCCTAGCCTTCCCATTTATGAAATGAGAATAGCAGTACTTGTCTCACAGGACTGTCATTGTGTGGAGATGAATAAGACAGCGCAGTGTCAAGTGTCAACTGCAACGTGCCACGCACAGTGGACAGCAATGGTTTGTACACTTCCACATGCATCAGTATTATCCAAGGGAGCTTTTTAAAAATGCTAAAGTCACTTTGGGAGGTCGAGGCAGGTGGATCACCTGAAGTCAGGAGTTCGAGACCAGCCTGGCCAACATGGTGAAACCCCATCTCTACTAAAAATACAGAAAATTAGCCGGGAATGGTGGCGAGTGCCTGTAATCCCAGCTACTTGGGAGGCTGAGGCAGGAGAATCGCTCAAACCCGGGAGGCTAAAGTTGCAGTGAGCTGAGATTGAGCCACTGCATTCCAGCCTGGGTGACAGAGTGAGAATCTGTCTCAAAAAAAAATAAATAAATAAAGCTAAAGTCTGTGTCCCCAGATTCCTGGGAGTGGGTTCAGTACATCTGTATTTCTAAAAATACAATTGAAAAACACTAGTTTAGGTGTCATGAACTTGACAATTACAGTGAGGCAGCAAAGCAAGACTGCTATGAGTGTGTACTCAGGACTCAGATGTCCCCAAGCAAAACCTCAGCTCCACCACTCACTGGCTTTGTGATCTAAGCACAGTGTTTCATCCTGTGATCCTTAGTTGCCACATATTTAAAATGAAATAGCAGATCATTATACTAATTAAAGGCATATAAATCCTTTGCCACAGCACCTTATGCAGAAAAACCTTCAAAATAGTCGCTGTTGCAATAAATATTAATGCATGCCTTCATGTTTCATGAGCTGGGTGAGTCACTGAAGCCCTGATCATGTAGCTTCTGCCTTCAGCATCACAGTCCTGGCTCCTGTGAGGCAGTCAAGTTATTATCTCAGAGTAGAGACTGGAAGCAGTGAGAGCTCAGCCAGCACTAACTCTGAAACTTCCCTTGTTTCCACAAACCTCTTTCCAGGACCCCAGAAAACTGCAAAAAGAGTTTGACTATGAAGCTTAGAGAATTACTGGAGACAGATCTACTGACAATCATAAAAGACAACTTTGAAAAATGTGTTCTGAAATGTCCTGCAGAGAAAAAGCTTAAATCTTGACTTTTGTTTGCCTCTGCCTCCCTGTCCATTTAGGAGGCACAGGGCAAGTAATCTCCCATCTGAGGTGAAGCCACTGGGTAGGAAGAGGTTCTCTCATAAATGTGACCAATTCATTCATGTGAATGTCTGCACTGACTCTTCATTCATACCCAACTGTGAGGTGGGGATAGGATCCCACTTAAAGAGGAGAAAATTTCACCCTGGAGAGTTAGAGACACTGAACCAGGCCAGCATATTTTAAGAAAATCACTCTCCTTAATGATTCTGTCAGTATGATTCAGTGCCTCCCAGGGTTTTATTCTTTCATTTGAGGCAACAGCTGTATAGCATAGTTCCTCACTGCTCAAAGTGTGAGGAGGTACTGTCATCAGTATCACCTAGGAGTTAGAAATGGGCATTGACCTCTCCGTCCAGCCAAATACTTACAGTAGTATCAATTTCACATCACTTTTATTACTTCTTCTAAAGTACTACATTTGAGGGAAAGTTCCTGGCAAACATATTGGTCTTTAAGTCTTCTCAAAGGAAAAGAGAACCCCAAATCAGCCCAGCAAGAGCTCTGACATTAGTGCAGTGATTACGCATACAACACTAGGTCATCAACCTGAGAAGTTTTTTGCCCACCCACTTGAGAGTTTAGTGTTATTAGCTAATTAAAGATAGGATCTGTCCTCTTTTATATATTGTACTTAATGAATTAGATAATCCCAGCATAGTTACCATGGTATACTATTTATAAAGACCTGCCATTTGGTTGTAATTTTTCAACTGATTAGAGCTTAATTTCTCTTGTAAATTGCCTACAAGTAACAAATATACCATAGCGGGATGTCCAGGTTTATGGCAAAGTGAAATTTATCTGGATGGGTTTCTTTCCTTCTAAAGTAAAACACAGAACTGAGGTTTTCATTTCCTTTATATCCAGATTCACAGGAAAAAGGAAGACACAGATGAACTGACTGTAATAGAAATGAAAATACAAAACTGTAATGAAAGAGAAACAGTGGTTTTTCCTTTAAATATATTATGTTCTCTTGTTGCCTTATTTGCATCTTTCTGGAATGACAAGACATTTGTACAAAAATAAAGAGGAGACCTTCTACCTGAGCATATTTGAATCATTTATTTTTTCACTCAAAGCCTTTAAATAAACCAGTTCATATTATGTTCTTCTCTCTCCCTCTGCCTCTACCACCCTCTGTCTCAAATGCATCCACCTCATTACAACAAGCGTCACTCATTTTTAGATTCCAATTTGCCACCATCCCACACAGACCTGCTGTTCCATCTCTTCATGTTAATTCCCATAAATAACTGATATCAAAATGCAGTCCTGGAGATACACTTCAGAAAACTTCTTATGTTGAGAAACTAGAAACTAGAAGGCTACTCAAGGCGTTGGAATTTGCTAGAGATTTGTTTAATCCTTATCTGAGGTTGCAGCAACACATTAATAGCAGAAGGTTAGCACTGTCCATCGTAAAATTGCAGTAATATATAAAGCATAGCAAATGTAGCTTTTAAAAATTTTCAAAAACAACTTCCAAGTAACCCATATGTTCATAGGCTGCTTATATCGATGCAGGATAATTTATGTACCAAACACATATGTGATTCCTAGGACATATTTAGGAGTGTACAGTGTTTTAAAGGTTTTTAAGTTGAGATCATCTATTTGTATATATGACTTGATGATGAGTGTCTATACTATGCACTTAAGTCATCCTATTATCTAAAAGGAATACACTGCAGCTTAACTTTTCCAAAGTGTTCTGTAAACTTGATACCTAACTTCTAAAGTTCATGAAATGTGAATTTAAAAGCAATCTAAGCAATCAGTTAATTTTTTTTCTTAGGAGTGGCCTCTCAGAAAGAATTTTAAGATTCTAAGGTGAAACGGTGGATAGAACGAGTCAGGATTAATTGTCATGGCTATGAAATCCTTATAGAATTGTCAGCTATATCCAAAAGATAGTGAGATTTCACAACTGCATTTTCGGTGCAACTGAAAAGATCAAAGTATGTTCTTATTGTGAGAATCTGTATTTATTTTTCTAGGACTTTTCTTTAACATATTTTATGACACCATGTCTTGGCACCTCCTTCTAATGAGGACAGTTGGATGCTCTAGTAGCTAAATGCCATGAATAGCATCAAGAGGAACAAAATTTAACCTGGATTATTTTCTTATAATTCAGTATTTTTAAAATTGTGTTCCTTAGAATCCCAGATTCTCTAAACAGTGAATGATAAACCATAAAGAAGAAAAGAGAAAGGAGCTGAACCCTTGGAGATTCTGTCTCTTGTCCCTCCTACAGCAGAATCATCTCCATCTCATAAATTTTATGAGTAATAGGTTCTATACCAGATTTCATTTCAAGAAAGGGCTTTGCTATATATAATAGTGCTGAAAACTACTATTCTAATATATTAGAGTAATCAAAGGTGGCTACAGAGCTTAATAATTCTGAGAGATATGATATGACATATAGATCTGGTGGCCAAATACCTCACTTTACAAATTACTGAAGTGCCAATTGTCTGGAAAAGAGATATTTAACTGGATTTCTATCTACACCCTATTCCAGAGGTTGGTAAATTATCTCAGCTTACACCAGTTGTCACAATGGTTCCGCCCAAAAAAGTCTCAATTGAAATTATAAATTATATAGCCACTCCACATTTAGAGGTTCAACATTTAGAAAACAAAGAACGAGTAACTTAATATGCGATGAAATTCTGTACAAGGCAATTCTGAGTTCTAGGCTATGATTCCTCCACATAAAGAAAAAGACAACCTTTTTTTTTTCAACAGGTCTGAGAAGACATCATGGGTGATAATATTGTCTTCCAAATAAGCTTCAGTTTTGTCTGACAATTTGGGAATATTTTCATTTATCCTATAATAGTCATGACTTTCCTAAAATCGTCATCATTTAATAGAACAGATCATTTTACTTTTTCTGTAAAGTTCCAGACAGTAAATATTTCAGAGCGTGCAGGCTTTATCATCTTTGCCACAACTACTCAATTCTGTCATTATAGCAGAAAAGCAGCCATAGACAGTATGGAAATAAATGAATGTGATGATTTCAAGTAAAGCTTTATTTCTAAAAATAAACAGTGAGCCAGATTTGGCATCTGGGCCACAGTTTGTCAGCCCCTGGAATAGAGAGTAAACAGTAATCCAGTTAAATATCTTTCCCCCATACAACTGATGCTTCAGTAATTCATCAAGTGAGGATACGAAAAATAATTCCCTCCATGTGAAGTGTTGTCAAGTCTTCTGCTGAGTTATAATTAAGATGACTTATTAACAGCAGATTCAAAAGGACCTATTGTCCTAGGTATTCCAAATTCGTATTATAGACATTCAAATGAATTGCTGCCTGCATGTATTTTGTCTTGAGCATGGAAAACCTTGACATAACAATCCAACCAGGGCTCTAATCAACCTAATTAAGCAATAACAGCATGGAAACAAGCACACCCTTAGTTAAATTAATATTTCTTTTATAAGAAGTCATGAAAAGAATATGAACAACAGCATCTGAACCATGAAAAATACATTTATTTAATTGCTGAGTAGGAGAGAGTCACCGGGACCTTCCACAAAGTAAAATCTTTTCTATTTAAAAACTAGCTGTGGAACACACCCACTCACAAGTAAGCATCCTGAATGCTTTCCAGAGGCATGCATGTCTGAACAGGGTCACACAGATCTATAAAAGCCATGGCTATAAAAATTAGTGATTTTTCTAAGGAGACAATGTGTCAGCAGAGCTCCAGTGTTTGAAAGACAATTACAAGTTCATAGTCATGAAATCTGGATGCAAATTCTGACTAGCCCCATTCATATGGCTTCGTTTTGAAAAGGTCACTTCACTCTCTGAGTCTTATGTTTCCTGTATGCAAAATGAGCGTTTTGAATTAGATAACATGCCAAGCTTCACCCTACACAGAAGCCACTACAGCAGAGAAACAGGGGGCCTAGTTTCAATCCTTGTTCCACCAGCTTAGTGACCATCAACAAGTCACTTAATTTCTCAAAGCTTTTAAAGTGGACCTAAAAATAATGGTGACTCTTCTGTAGGAATACTGTAGGTAATAATAAGCTAATGTGCAAAAAACTCTTAGTTTTATATGCCTGGTATAAAGTAAATATTAATTGCTTTTGATATTTGGTAGACAGATATTCCAGTAATGAGGTTGAAAGTAACTACTCTTTAACCTCTGCAAAACCAAAAGCTGGATACATAAAACTAGGGCCCAGTATAACAGTTCCTTAAAAAGATGATAGATAGGCTGGGCGCAGTGACTCACGCCTGTAATCCCAGCACTTTGGGAGGCCGAGGCGGGCGGATCACGAGGTCAGGAGATCGAGACCATCCTGGCTAACACGGTGAAACCCCATCTCTACTAAAAATACGAAAAATTAGCTGGGCGTGGTGGCTGGTGCCTGTAGTCCCAGCCACTTGGGAGCTTGAGGCAGGAGAATGGCATGAATCCGGGAGATGGAGCTTGCAGTGAGCCGAGATCAAGCCACTGCACTCCAGCCTGGGCAATAGAGCGAGACTCCATCTCCAAAAAAAAAGATAGATAAATATAAACTATAGACTATACTAGAGATGATTAATAGATAAGCAGAAAGATGGTAGATACATAGATAGCAACATGCGTTCCTCTCTTCTTTGTGGGTCTATGAATAAAATGTGTCAAATAACATTTAATTTAAAAATTCTTCCAGAAGGATAATGAGAAATTTCTAAAAAAAAAAAAAAAAAAAATCCACCCGACCTAATAGTGCGAAAGGAACCTGGTTGGATAGTCTCTTCTCATTTATCTTAAAGACAGTTGAATTTCCTAAAGAAGAAATTTGTTTAAAAATGAAACAAATAAAATATAAAAAATTACAAAATAAGGACAAGAGTCTTCAGATCAAACAGCTTAATGAGTATCAATGCCATAATGGAGAAGTTTGCAGCAGCCAAGGGCAACAGGAAGAGAGACAAAGAAGACAGGCCAAGCCTGAAGAAAGGCAACCTGTGGACAGCTCATACTAAGGAATGACTTGTATCAACCAGGAAGAAACACCATGGTCCACTTGACAAAAGTGGCCTAAAACAAAGGGCCAGATGGTAAATATTTTAGCCTCTATGCACCATATGACCTCTGGTGCAAATACTCTCATATTTTTAGTGTGGAAGCAATCATTAATAGTAAATAAACTAATGGGTATGGCCGTTTTCCAATAAAACTTTATTTACAAATCAGACAGAAGCCACATTTAGCCCCTTGGCTATAATTTGCAGCCCCTACTTTGTATCATATCTCAGTTCTTTGCTTTTATTAATTTCTTAGTAGGTTGGAAAATAGTTTTCAGTAATAGATTCAGGAAGGACATGCGGATGCTACTACTTGAGTCTTTGCCTACCTGAGAATATATTTCTGTGACCTTCACACAAAGATCATAGCTTGGTTAAACATAGAATTATTAGAAGTCAGTTGGATTCTGCCATGCTGTTCCACTGTCTCTTCTAGAGTACTGAATGCCTACAGTTTCCTTCTTTTGAATTGTCTCAAGTCCAGATGATTTCCCACATTACATTTTAACTAGCACATAGTTTTTTAGCAAATGATTTTTCAAAGATGTTTCTTTTAAAAGTTACTGATTTTTTTTAAAATGTAGGAAAAAGTAATCAATACAAGACTGGAGAATCTTCAGCGGCATAACCCCAATGGGCATGCAGCAGATGGATAATCAGTGTACCCCTCCATTTTCTTTGCTTTTCTTACATCGTTTAAGATAGATGCATGGAGAGAGAATGAGAAAGAAGAAAGACTGAAGAGATTTTAGGTACTTTTATTCCTCTGATAGTTTTACATTAGATATATCATCTTCTGGAATCTGAAAATTTGAAAAAGAAATTCTCTAGAGTCTTGTGCTTTTCTTATAACCAGCCTATCTCACCTGAGGGCACTTCACAAATCAGTCACCTATTTAAATGAGTGAATGATTTCACAATCTGGTGCTTTTCCTCTGTTGGCTCAAATGACAGAGAACATTCTGATGGATTCTGATAGAAAATAGTCCCCTGAACACCACAATGAGAAGTTTTTATATTTTGTGTGGTGTATTTTGCGAGATTAAAATCCAGTTATTTGTGAGTGGCTGAAAACTTCAGTCGTAATACAGGGACATATCAAGGAGTTTCCCTGCTCTACTGAAATGTATGTGCTAATTTTGTAGCAATCCAAAGGCAACTGGAGCTTTACCTCTGCCTGGCTGGCAGTGTTACCCTTATTAGGAGTCCATTGTGAAATACTCCCTCACGACGAGCACTTTTCCACCAAATGTAGCCGGGAATTTGAACTACAATTTCACATTCTATGTGTTAGTATACATTCCACTTCAGACCTTGATTGTGTTTTGGGGTGGTGAAGAGACCATTGGTACTCTGGGTCCAATTTCTCACTTTATGCAAGAGGTAGCATGAAATTGATCCTTTTCTCAGGTTATCTTATCTGCAACAGAACATGTATATTTCCCTTTTTTGTATTAATTAGGAATCTCCTTTAATTAGTTTATTTTTTCCATAGGTTATTTCATAATAATTATGACTCAATTTTATGGACACAGAAAATTATTTATAATGGAAGATTAAGCCTTGTGATGACATTAGATCCCTTCCACCATGGAGGGAACAGTAATTTGTCCTGTGGGATACTGATTTGCCTTTCCTGTTGGCAATGTTTCTGCCAAAACTACCACCTATGAGCTGATACAAAATTATCTTCACCTCTTACAATTCTAACAACATTGCCTCCAAACAACAACAAAAAAACACTTATTTTATAATGAAAGAGGAGGTGTATCAGGCTTACCCCTCACAGATGGTATTGGTTTTAGTGCATATTGCATCACCCAAAAATAATTGGCCTTATAGAAGAGTGGATTGGCTCACTGAAGGCCAATTTCTATATCAATAATCGATAGCTGCCGAACAAGTCACTCACAAAATTTTAATTAAAACAATTAATTTTCTCATAATTCAGTACGTTGGATAGGCAGTTCTAATCATTTTGCTTGGGCTCCTCATTTGACTGCAGTAGCTGAATGTTATGTTTAGGGCAGATGGTCCAATTTGACACCTTGCTAGTGTCTGGGGTCTCACCTGGGATTGATGGAATGGTTGGGAAGACTAGGCTTCTGTCTCATTCCAGCCTGTTTTACACAATGGCAGAAACATTCTGAGAGCAAGGCATGAAGGACAAGCAGTGGTCAAGACTCTTCTTGTGTCAATGCTACACATTGACAAAGTAGTCAGATGGCTAAACCCATACCCAATACAAGAAAGGGGGCATTAATATAATAATCTACCACAATTTACCACACTGATCTTTTTGAGATTTTTCCATGCCAAATTCTGTTAAACATGCATATCAGGTGGTAGTTCCTTTTAAGTGGTTGAACAGATGCCCCCCAAATAGGATAGGGAGATGAGGCAAAATGTGCCATGTTGAATGCTGGTTTTGTTTCCCAGTGAAAAATCACCTTTCAAATGTGGTGTATAATAGATAACCTAATCTTTGCAGTACTCTGAAATTGGATGTCAGGTCTTATTGATAGACTTACTAGTGAGAGTTTATGGTAAATTGGTAATTTATAGTTTTTTGAAGTTCCTGAAATTTTAAAAATAATCTTACAGATTCATTTGAATAATGTAAATTTGTTATCTTTATTTTGAAGATATTTTAAAGTGATTTTATAAATTTCTTGTATTTACTGCATGATAGACACATAGAAATGCTACCTGAAAAGTTATCAGGGATTTAACATGAATTTTCAAAGTGAATCCTTAGAACAAGATGAAAATTATTGCTACAAGTGCTTTTTGATAAATGTAATCAATTATCCTGATAATAATTATAGATATAATTCACCATTTATTACCTGTCACCACTGAGCAAATAGCAAAGAAGGAATTAACCTTTGAGCAGAATTAAATGAACATGAAAAAGCTCAATGCTATAGGAGTGAAAATATTTATACAAATGCTAATTGAGCATTTGGCATTTAAGTTACATGGCATAAAATACTGTTTTTCAGGCAAGGAGGAAAAAGTACCAATAAAACCATCCTTACAATCTTTATGTAGGCTAAACATTAAAGGGTTTGACTTTGTAAAAGATTTTTTATTTTTTAATAAGGCTAGGGCTATGAATAAAGTTTATGTCTCAGGACCTGCGTTTATATGTGGCTATAGTTTAAAACTAATTTCATAATAATGGCTGTCAAAGAAACTCAATAGTATGTTCAGCCAAAATAATCAAATTTTTGCTTTTGAGGTATGTTTCAGTAATACCAAAACAACTCTGATTTATTTTTTGAAAATGCCAATCTGATCCTATTAAATTAAAAAAAGTTAAAAATATTTTTTCTAGCCATTTCTATTGGCATTCTACAGAAACACTTAAAGTGAAAATGGTGTTAATGGGACTGACTGATTGGAAATATATAAACAAAATGTAAAAGCCCATATGTAAGCAAAGTAATGTTATTTCATTTTCCTAAATTCGCTTGATATAGGTAATTGGCTTTATAAGAAATATGTTAAGATAGAAGTCAACATTGAAGTCAAAACTGCCGTTTTTACCTATGACAGTTATAGAAAAAGAATATTGGATAAATGCACCAGTGAGCTGTAAATAAATGTCACATGGAAAATGAATAGATCCCATTTTTTGAGGGCTGACCACATACTCAGAACTCTGTGTAGTGCACCATAGACATCATCTCATTTGATCCTCAAATCTATTTTGGACAATGGTTAAAACTACTGCAGAGTTGAGAAACTAAAATCCACAGAAGTTAGGTTGGTTTCTCATGGTCACTGGAAGTAAGAAGCAGAATTCAGACATGGAGCTGGCTGCCTCCCAAACCTTTCTTCACTATGAGAATGTCAGATACCAAATTAGGAAATGAGATTGGATTGGAAGCCTGGAACCAGATTATGGATAGCCTTGAATTCAGGCCAGTGAATTCTTTTTTATTCTGACACAAATTGAAAATTGTTAGAAATGTTGAAGAATGTGATAAATATGAGGTCTTAGGAATATTATCTTAAGAGTGTTGTACAGAATGCAATGGAAGGTAAACAAGGAGCAAAGAGGCCAATTCAACACTGGCCGTTCTCCAGGAGTAAGTTGATTCCTAGACTAGAATTGTACCTCCAGAATTTGGAATATTGTTACAGAGGTAGGTACATTACAAAGAAAAACAGAGAGAAGAATTTGGAAGGCACAGGTGTGTGCTGCAGTTCTACATGTCTCCCAGGTTTCAAGCCACAGTGTAGAGGCTATAAAACAGCAGTCAGAATCTCATTCCCTGTCTTTGGTTTTCCACAGCCCCACATGCCGGTAGGTAGGCTCACCCTTACCCAAGTTGTAGACTTATCTATACGGTGGAGCAGGAGATGCATATACATCTGCAGACCACTGTCTGGTAGAGCTGAGTATTTCAGGTCTTAGAGCCCACACTTCCCCCAAAGTCCTATTTTTTTTTCCAATCAGGACTAGAATGGGGTGCTTTGCTGGCAAGCACTATAAATCCATGGTAACTAAGTGGAGGTCTGAGTGGACTTCCACTTAGTTTTCTCTAATCCTTTCTTCTTCCTGTGAGTCCTTCCTATGGATGAAATTTTAATCCTAAAAATGTTACCATTGTACTGATAACTTACTTCATGAGAATCACTGGTCTTATCAATTTTGGCATACCAGCCACAGGGTCTTCTTGCTCCTAGGCTCCACTTACACTTTGGGGATCCCCATTTGGAGGCTCAGTTCCAATATCTAAACCTGTTTTGACTCTTGGACTTGGGGCTTCCCAAACAAATTACTTACTCAATTGCTTACTCAAATTCAGAGGGCTTAGATTAGGTCCTAAAATAGTATCTCTTTTTCCTGCCCTTATATACTTCATGACATGGCTCAGAGTGGTACCATATAATCATATAATTTATGAGTCATTGTTGAAGGTATTGGATTTTAGGTGTAGGTGAGTTAAAAACATCAAGCAGTCCTTTTGGAAGATGGAGATGAAGAATCTGAACTCTGCAAGAAGTAAAACCTGTAAGTTCAGACCTGAGAGTCATGCTCATCTGAAGTTAGGTCACAGAAATTGTTGGCTAAAATAAAGCACTAGAAAAAAGAGACAGAAGGGAACAATTAAACTTATATGAAAACCTCCAAAGGTGTAAAATTAATTCATTATAAAACAGATAATATGAGTTGACATAAAATTAAAATTGGACTCTGTCATGGAAATTGTGGTGCATGCAAGTTTTATAATTTTTTAAATTGATTTAAATATCAATAGGAACTGAAGAGACGAAGGAGAAAAGGGGCTGGTAAAGGCCAGTAACCTTCAGGAGTGGAGTCAACATAGAATAGTGGAAGAATAGATTATAAAAACTTAATAAAGGAACACATGAAAAGAACATGAAAGCAGAAGATATAGAAAAATCATAAAAATTAGAAAACTGGGAAGAACAATCTGGAGAAACTTCAGAGGAGAAGATTTTACCTACTTTTAGGTAAAATAAAGTTTTGGTTTTCAAGTAAGAGCATCTGTAGTAGTCTTGCCTCAAGAGAGAAAGTGTAGAAGATGCCTCCGCTGAATTTTTTACTTTCTTGAGTCATGTGCAAATACTGAATGTTAATTACATGCAATTAAGAGGGTGAATACATGATTCTCTGGTTGTAGATTCATCAAGCTATTGACTTTTTTTCTTGCTAGTTATCCAGTAGTTTCTCCATGTGAAATCACTTTTCTGTTTGGGTTTGTTTTATATGAGCATCTGGCCTCGAATAATTGTATGGTTTCTTTTTCTACTGATCTGGTATGGACTACATAAGAGCCACAAATATTTCTTTTACCACTCTTTCTGAACAGTTTTGAGATATAGTTCACATATTATACAGTTTACTCATTTATAACGTATAATTTAATGCTTCCTCTTATATCCAGAGTTGCAACAAAAGCAGTTTTAGAATTATTTTTATTAGCCTGAAAAGAAACTCCACCTCATTTGAAGGTGACCCTCTAATCTTCTTCTCTCTCCTCACTCCCAGATCTAGGTGGCCACCAATATGCTTTCTATCTCTATTGATTTTCCTACTCTGGGCTTTTAATATAAATTGAATCATACAATATATGATCCCTTGAGATTGGTTCCTTCCATTTAGCATAGTGTTCACAAGATTCATCAATGTTGTAACATGTATCAGCACATTTCTTCTTATTGGCAAAAAATAGCACATCATATGGATGTAACATATTTGTTTTACCTATTTATCAATGGAAGGACATTTGTATTGCTTCCATGTTTTTACTATCATAAATAATGACACTATAAACATTCACATGCAATTTTTGTGTGGATATATGTGTTTATTACTCTTAGGTATATATTTGGAGGGGAATTACTGTATCTTATGTCACTGCATAAACATTTGAGGAACAGCTAGACTGCTTTCTAAAGCATAGTAGAATAGAATATTAAAAATTAGTTAAGGAACGCATGAAGAAAAAAATGGAAGCAGAAGATGTAGAACATTAATGAAAACTAGAAAAAATGAGAAAAAACAATTTGGAGCAAGAATAGAGAGGAGAACTGGATAAAATGAAGTTTTGGTTTTCAAGTAAGAGTGCACTCACTCTTAAAGTTTTGGTGGCTGCACTATTTTGCATTCCCACCATCAGTGTATAAGAATTCCAACTACTCTACATACTGTCAATACTTGTTTTTATCTGTCTTTTTTGTTATCACCATCCTCGTTGATGTGAAGTGATATATCATTATGGTTTTGATTTGAATTATTTAGATGAGTAATGATGTTGAATATCTTTTCACATGTTTATTAGCCATTTGTATATCTTTAGAGACTGTCTATTCAGATCCTTTGCCCATTTTTCACTTGGTTTATCTTCTTACTAATGAGTTATAGAGTTATTGAATTTTTTATATATTCTTGATACAAGGCCCTTACCAGATACATTATTTGCAAATATCTTCCTATGTTGTGAGTTGTCTTTTCACTTTCTTGAGGGTGCCATTTAAAGCTCAAAAGTTTTAAATTTTGATGATTTCCAGTTTTTCTATTTTTTCTTTTGTTGCTTGTGCTGTAGGTGTCATATCTGAGAAAACTTTGCCTAATCCAATGTCATGCAGATTTACGTCTATGTTTTCTTATAAGAGGTTTACAGTTTTAGCTCTTACATTTACTTATTTTATCCATTTGGAGTTCATTTTTGTATGTGGAATATGGCAGAGACACAATTCATTCTTTTGCATGTGGATATCTAGTTGTCCCAGCATCATTCATTGAAAATACATTTCCCTATTGATGGATTTTGGTGTCTTTGTTAAAGATCAACATACTGTAATCTATAGGTGACTGCTATAATTGTGAGGGTTTGATTTTAGACTCTCAATTTTATTCCACTGATCTATCCATCTAGCTTTATGCCAGTGCCACACCATTTTGTTTACTGTAGTTTTGTGAAAAGTTTTGAAATCAGGAAGTGAGTCTTTCAACTTTGTTCTTATTTATCAAGATTGTTCTGGCTATTCTGGCTCCCTTGAATTTCCATTTGAATTTTGAAATCAAATTGTCACTTTCTACAAAGAATTCAGCTTGGATTTGATAGGGGGCCAGTTCCTAAGGCTGAAAAGTAGACCATTTTTAAACTTCCAATGTACTTATTCAAAAGATTGGCCATGTTAGAAACTTTTCTTCAGTAAGTACAGTATGTGAGTCCAGTCCAGGACCTGAGTAAATTAAACTAGTGGTTTATTTAGCCACACTGTACCTTGTTCAGTTATCTTGACAATTTTCCTACTTTATATTATATCATTACTTAACAAAATTTCCAAAGAGCAATTGTAACAACATATCCCTAATCATGTCAGAAGTGGAAAAGTCATCACAGCTGAAATACCAGTTTTAAACATCATGCTGACTGCAAGCTATTTCCTATTATTAGCACTTCCTTGCTCATTACCCTCATTGCTATAAAGCTTTGACCTCAAAATCTCAAAGTGTCCATTTCCTTCCTTAATGAATGACCTCACTTCATGCATTATGAATTAAATAACATAAGCACAGTTTTCACCTTCCTATACCTGTCTCTGTATTATTCTTCTTCATCTCTATTACTGTAATGAAGGTGTTATTCCTCTGAACACAGGAAGAACTTCTGTGTTCTGCCTCCCTTCTCCATTTGCCTTCTAAAGATTTAAATTCTCAGTCACCGTTTTTTCTCTCATCTGTCTTCTTTTGTCTCTCTTCCACATAATCATTTCCAAGGACACACAAACATACTCCAATTTCTTCCTGCCATATTTAAAAATATACCCCCCTTTGATACCACTTTGTCTTCCAGCTACCATTCCATGTCCCTACTTTATTTTCTACCCAAATTCCTAAGAGGATCTGCTGCATACTTCCTTATTTCTGCTCCACTCTATTATGACTTCTCTTTCCATTACACTGACATTACTCTGAATAAAGATTAGTGAACATGCAGCTGAAAAATTCAATAGCCACACTTCTTTCTTCATCTTGTTTGATATATTGAAAGTATTCCATACAATCAACTACTTTTTTTTTTTGAAATGCTCTTTCCTTTTAGTTTCTAGAAGAACCTCTACTCAAGCTTCATCTACCTCACTTGCTGCTTCTGTGAAGTCTCTTATGCTATTGCTTCTCTTCTATTATGCCTCTAAATGTTGTCATGTTTTTAGAGCTCACTCTTTTCCCTCTTTTCTCTTTATATTCTCTCCTTGAGTGAACCCATTTATCTCAATGGATGTACATTCCACACTGGTGCTGTTTCTCAAGAATATCTGTATTATTCTCAACTGCAGCTTCCTTTGAGAAATATAATGCATTGAATACTTTCCTAGCTTTGAACCTTAATGCCATAATTTTTAGCTGGGAGAATTTTTTCATATTGACCAACTATTCAGTGCCTCACTTTCCCCAATGATAAAATGGTAATAATAGAATTACCTCATAAGAGTACTATGAAAATTAAATGAGTGAAGTTATGAGAACCATACTGTTGGATAGAAAGCTGCCAAAAGAAACTAGCTATTGGCCAGGTGCTGTAGCTCATGCCTGTAATTCCATCACTTTTGAAGACTGAAGTGAGCAGATCCCTTGAACTCAGGAGTTCAAGACCAGCCTGGGCAACATGGCACAATCCTGACTCTTCAAAAAATACAAAAAATTAGCTGCATGTGGTGGCATGCACCTGTATTCTCAGCTACCCAGGAGGCTGAGATTGGAGGATTACCTAAGGCTAGGAGGTTGAGGCTGCAGTGAGCTGTGATAGTGCCACTGCACTCCAGCCTGGGTGACAGAGTGAGATCATGTCTCAAAAGAAATAAATAAGAAGGTAGTTATTATTATAGCTTTTTATTATTATATTATAGCCTTATTATCATTATTATTGTCACTCAATATAAACATACTTTAGCAGAGGAAATGTGAAATTCCAATACTGAGGTAATATTAGAGACAGAAGCTAAGGCAGTAAAGTGGGGAGGAATAGATGAGACTTTCTGAAAGACAGGCTACCAGAGATGTTGCTGAGCTACTGGAGTTTCTGTTGAGAAAGGTGATGAAGGTCACTCCAGCTCTCCAGGCTTCCCAGCTGCTGAAAGGGTCTTCTGGGCTTCTTTGCCTTCATAGATTTATATAGCCCCCTCACCTTAGATAACCTGAGTATGTCTCTTCCTTGCAATCTAAAAGAGCCTAACATTGCCCAGCTTTTTCAATAATTGTTAAATTATTTAGAGTACATTCCCAGGAGTATAATGACTGGGTCAAAAAGAATAAGCTTTTTTATGTTTCCGGACTGAATATTTATGTATATTTTCTATAAGTACTGAACCAATTCACATTGCTGCCAGCAAAGTGTATGTATCTGCAACCTTACCCACATTGGGTATCAGCAAAGATAAAATATTTATTATATGTTAATTTTGCCTGATAAGGAAGCTATAAACTATATTCTCTATTGAGGTTAACAGTGGCAGAGCAAAAGGGAAGTACCCTATCTCAGCCCTTAGGGTTGTCCTGCCAGAACCCTTTGTAGAGATTTTGATACCCTTTCATACAAATGATTTAGAAAATCAATTTAATGCAAAAGTCCTGAGTTTTAACAGTGTGAATAAACATGCATGGTAAAACGAGTAAGTGTGCTAATATTTACTGGATAATTTACATATGTGTGTGACAACCTTTTGCTGAATTTACAAACTTACCCTGAAATGATACAAAGGGTTTTATTTTATATATGGTTTTATTAATAGAACTGAGTTACTAATGTTTTAGTAGAAAGAATATATTCTTAACTTCAGACAGACTTCAAGTGAAGCTTCATTATTTTCCTGTAGTTTGACTTTGAACAGTTTTCTAACATTAAAAGTAGAATAATAACGGCTATTTCTACAATGTAATGCGGCAATTAAATAAAATAATATATATGCAAGCGTTTGATACATTCTTGTTCACTGATGGTTTTAGAGATTTTCTGCCTTGGTGAACTACCTCTTTTCAAAAATCGCTGTTAGTCATTTGCTCATATGCATATCCTGGCTTTGTCTCCAGGTAGGTGAGAAAATAAGGAACATAAACTTTACTTATTTCAAGTTGGCAAAGTAAAACACTACTGTCCTTATATTTACATATAGAGGGTTGTCAGCTATACAATTTGTCAGCAAACTTCCTGTGATCCAGTATCTTAGGTTAAATGTATTTATTCAACTGAAACAGATTTATAGACCATGAAAAATCCATCAATGATAATTTTTTTAGACAGAGGAAAATGCCAACGTGGGTGTCTTGGCAATAGTACTTTCAAAACAGCCTAAGTGAAAAATAAGAAAAGTGACTAGAAAATAATTAAATATGTCTTTCTCCCTCACTCCATTCAATACATTCCAATCCATTGCAGATCGTATTGACTTCAAAACATTTTTCCTGCCTTTTCAAGCCTAATGGTCTCCTTCTCCTTTGAACATTCCCATTCTTATTATATGTATCATTCATGAAGTTTTGATGAAAAACTAATTTGGACCAGTTTTCTAAATCTATGCTTCATTTCTCCAAATTATGTTGCCTGGAGGAGAGGAATCACTCATTTTCATATTTTGAACTCCCTGCAGCAACTACCATAGTGACCTATGTTCATAGTAAGAACGCAAGTTTTATTGATCACTATGATTACAACTCAAACCGAACATTTCATGAATATTTCTTACAACTGGACAATGCTATTTCTATAATTAGTTTTAATTGTTAAACTTGGAGTCCAAGCAAAGATGAATATTGAAGAAATAGTAATCATGGGTTATTCATATAGGCAATATAATACAGGTATTAAAAATTAGGTTTCTAAAATGTGTAATGACATGAGAAAGGCTTGCAACATAATGCTGAAATAGACAAATACATCAAAACTTATATTCATTATGCACCCCAATTAGTTTCAGGAAAAATACATAAAAATAAGTTAAGGACTTCTAATTCAGGCTATGACAAACTAGCTTATAGCAGAACTTCCCACCAAAATAAACAAAAATCTGGTGTAAAAAAAAAAATCTATGTGAAGGCATTGGACAGCTACCACAGCAGCCAAGATTTGAGGATCCAAGATGCTGAGGAGGAAAGAAAAAACACTTTGATGTGAGCCTGACCTTTCATGATGCTTTTTACTTCAAAGTCTTTGCTTATTCTTAAGAATAGCAGGGTCAAGTATTCATAGTGCTGAGCCAAAAGCAGCAGTTAAAAGACAAAAAGGCACACCAAAATTCATCAGTTGTTCACATCTGGAAAGACAAATAGAGCCCAGAGTTACCACAATAGCCAGACTGAGAGGGTCAACATCTGAGAAAGAAGAAAGTAGAGCGAAAATATAACATTTTGTACCATTTTACAGCTTCGAGGTATTTGCTGAATTGTAAGCTACGCAAGTGCCCAAAATTAAATCAACAGAAAGTAGCAACTACCAAGTTAAAAATAAAAGAAAAGCTTCGGGAAGAGTCACAGTGATGTTGTGACAAAAACTGGAGTTCACCAGCACTTTGAGAGGCTGACGGGGGTGGATCACCTGGGGTCCAGAGTTCCTGAGCAGCCTGGCCAACATGTTGAAACCATGTCTCTACAAAAAATACAAAAATTAGCTGGGTGTGGTGGTGCCTACCTGTAGTCCCAGCTACTCTGGAGGCTGAGACAGGAGAATTGCTTGAGCCTGGGAGGTGGAGACTGCAGTGAGCTGAGATCACGCCACTGCACTTCAGCCTGGGGGACAAAGGGAGGCTCAGTCTTGGGGAGAGAGAGAAAAGAAAATGGAGACCATGTTTGCCAATGAGGAGGAAAACTTGTTAAAACCCCAAGATCTCAGTTGAAACTGCAAAAGCATAAACCAGTTTGAAAGAGTTCAGTCCTAGAAAGGATGAAAGTGATCTATCCTTACTTCCTAAACTGACCACCAAAACCAAAAATAAGTCAGCTTTGGAGGAGATATCCGCTGCATTCACAAAAGTTTGTTACAACGAAGTCCAACATTGAATTAAACACAAAAACACACACAGGAAATCCAAGATAAAAGGAGAGAAAAAGATAACAGAAACAGACCAACAAGATATCCAGATATAAGAATTGTTAGGCTCAGAACTTTTGATTATCACCTCCAAAGTATAGTATCTATTTTTGATTACTTTTGTTCAAAAATATAGAAGAGAAAAATGGAGAATTTCTTCCATAGAAATGGAATCAAGGAAACATTTATATAAAAATTTTACAGAAATAAAACCCTCAAGTTAAAACTTAATAATTATATTTAACCACAAGTAAGAGAAAGCAGAGAGAATTAGGAAACTGGGATCCAGGTAAGAAGAAATTGTGTAAGCTGAAGAATGGATACAAAAAATGATAGGTAATATATTTAAAAATAAGAGATATGGGAGGTATAGACAACTCTAACATATGTGTAATTAGAGTTCCAGAAGGGAAGAAGAGAGAAAAGAGGAGAAAAATATTACTTTCAAAACTTTGAAGTTTATATGCAAATGTACACTTTCGCCAACAAGTTAGTAGAGTTCTAATTGCTTCACACCCTTGTCAACACTTTGTATTTGTCAGTGTTTTCCATTTTACCCATTCTGGTGGACATATAATGGTATCTTATTCTGGCTTAAATTTGCATACGTAATACTGTTGAACATAATTTGATATAATTTAACACCACTCCTGTCAAGAACTTCCCTAACATTATAAAATAATCTCAAAGCAATAGCTTACATTATAATTAATGATTAAAAATCGCTAGAAAACGCGTGAAAACCAGCTCTGGAAAATGCTGACATTTATAGGTCCAATAGAGGAGAAACTAAAGCAAAAGAGATTTCACAAAACAGCATGTGAGGTAGAAGGAACTTGAGGGAGGGTTAGGGATTCTAGCATCTAAAAGAAAAGAGCATTTCAAGAAGCAGAAAATGGTGAACTGTTTTGAATGCTTCTGAGAGTTCAAATAAAATGAAGAAGGAAGAATGATCACTGGATTTTTCAACAGATGCTCAAGGAATCTAGCATATTAGAGGGAGGGTATGCAGTGTAATGGAGAGAAGTCATACTAGTGTTAAGTGGAGATAACAAAATGAAAATAGTGTGTTCAGGATCTCTACCTAAAAATTAGTCTTAAAAAAAAAGTGGGGCTGTGGCTGGCAAGATGGCCGAATAGGAAGAGCTCTGGTCTGCAGCTCCCAGTGAGATCAACACAGAAGGTGGGTGATTTCCGCATTTCCAACTGAGGTATCTGGCTCATTTCACTGGGACTGATTAGATGGTGAGTGCAGCCCATGGAGGGCAAGCTGAAGCAGGGTAGGGCATTGGTCACCCGGGAAGCGCGAGGGGTTGGGGAACTCCCTCCCCAGCCAAGAGAAGCCATGAGGGATTGTGTTTTGAGGAACAGTGCATTCCCGCCCAGATGCTACACTTTTCCCAGGATGCTTGCAACCCATAGACCAGGAGATTCCCTCAGGTGCCTATACCACCAGGGCCCTGGGTTTCAAGCAAAAAACTGGGTGGCCATTTGGGAAGACACTGAGCTAGCTGCTGTAGGTTTTTTTTGTTGTTGTTTTTCTATACCCCAGTGGCACCTGGAAAGCGAGTTAGAAAGAATCGTTCACTCCCCTGGAAAGGGGTCTGAAGCCAGGGAGCCAAATGGTCTAGCTCAGTGGATCCTACTCCCATGGAGCCCAGCAAGCTAAGATCCACTAGCTTGAAATTCTCACTGCCAGCACAGTAGTCTGAAGTTGACCTGGGACACTCCAGCTGGGTGAGGGGAGGGGCATCCACCATTACTGAGGCTTGAGTAGGCTGTTTTCCCCTCACAGTGTAAACAAACCCTCAGGAAGTTCCAACTGGGCAGAGCCCGCCACAGGTCAGCAAAGCCGCTGTAGCCAGACTGCTTCTCTAGATTCCTCCTCTCTGGGCAGGTCATCTCTGAAAGAAAGGCAGCAGCCCCAGTCAGGGGCTTAGAGATAAAACTCCCATCTCCCTGGGACAGAGCACCTGGGGGAATGGGCGGCTGTGGGTGCAGCTTCAGCAGACTTAAATGTTCCTGCCTGCCGGCTCTGAAGAGAGTGGTGGATCTCCTAGCACAGCACTCGAGCTCTGCTAAAAGACAGACTGCCTCCTCAAGTGGGTCACTGACTTTCATGCCTCCTGACTGGGAGACACCTCCCAGCAGGGGTCGACAGACACCTCATACAGAAGAGCTCCGGCTGGCATCTGGTGGGTGCCCTTCTGGGACACAGCTTCTAGAGGGAGGAACAGGCAGCAATCTTTGCTGTTCTGCAGCCTCCACTGGTGATACCCAAGCACACAGGGTCTGGAGCAGACCTCCAGCAAACTCCAGCAGACCTGCAGCAGAGGAGCCTGACTGTTAGAAAAAAAAAAAACTAAGGAACAGAAAGGAATAGGATCAACATCAACAAAAAGGACATCCAAAAAAAAAAAATTCTTAAGTTCACCAACATCAAAGACCAAAGGTAGATAAATCCACAAAGATAAGGAAAAATCAGCACAAAAAAGCTAAAAATTCCAAAAACCAGAATGCCTCTTCTCCTCCACAGGATAACAACTCCTCACCAGCAGGGAACAAAACTAGATGGAGAATCCGTTTGACGAATTGATGGAAGTAGGCTTCAGAAGTGGGTAATAACAAACTCCTCCGAGCTAAAGGAGCATATTGTAACCCAATGGGAGGAAACTAAGAACCTTGAAAAAAGGTTAGACAAATTGCTAACTAGGATAGCCAGTTTAGAAAAGAACATAAATGACCTGATGGACCTGAAAAACACAGCATGAGAACTTCTTGAAGCACAAAAAATATCAATAGCCAAATCAATCAAGTGGAAGAAAGGATATCAGAGATTGAAGATCAACTTAATGAAATAAAGCGTGAAGACAAGATTAGAGAAAGAAGAATGAAAAGGAATGAACAAAGCCTCCAAGAAATATGGAACTACGTGAAAAGACCAAATCTACATTTGATTGGTATACCTGAAAGTGATGGGGAGAATGGAACTAAGTTGGAAAACACTCTTCAGAATATTATCCAGGAGAACTTCCCCAACCTCACAAGAGAGGCCAACATTCAAATTCAGGAAATACAGAGGACACCAAAAAGATACTCCTTGAGAAGAGCAATCCCAAGACACATAATCGTCAGATTCACCAAGGTTGAAAAGAAGGAAAAAATGTTAAGGGCAGCCAGAGAGAAAGACTGGGTTATCCACAAAGGGAAGCCTATCAGACTAACAGCGGATCTCTCTGCAGAAACTCTGCAAGCCAGAAGAGAGTGGGGGCCAATATTCAACATTCTTAAAGAAAACAATTTTCAACCCAGAATTTCATATCCAGCTAAACTAAGCTTCATAAGCGAAGGAGAAATAAAATCATTTACAGACATGCAAATGTTGAGAGATTTTGTCACCACCAGGCCTGCCTTACAAAAGCTCCCAAAAGAAACACTAAATATGGAAAAGAAAAACCAGTATCACCCACTGCAAAAACATACCAAATTGTAACATAACACATAACAATATTAACCTTAAATGTAAATGGGCTAAATGCCCCATTTAAAAGACACAGACTGGCAAATTGGATAGAGTCAAGACCCGTTGGTGTGCTGTATTAAGGAGATCCATCTCACATGGAAAGACACACATAGGCTCAAAATAAAGGGATGGAGGAATATTTACCAGGAAAATGTAAAGCAAAAAAAAAAGCAGGGTTTACAATCCTAATCTCTGATAAAACAGACTTTAAACCAACAAAGATCTAAAAACACAAAGAAGGGCATTACATAATGGTAAAGGGATCAATGAAACAAGAAGAGCTAATTATCCTGAATACATGTGCACCCAATACAGGAGCACCCAGATTCATAAAGCAAGCTCTTAGAGACCTGCAAAGAGACTTAGACTCCCACACAATAATAGTGGGAAAATTTATCAACCCATTGTCAATATTAGACAGATCAATCAGACAGAAAATTAACAAGGATATTCAGGACTTGAACTCAGCTCTGGACCAAGCAGACCTAATAGACATCTACAGGACTCTCCACACAAAATCAACAGAATATACATTCTTCTCAGCACAGCATTGCCTACCAATCAAAAAAAGTCCAGGACTAGACGGATTCACAGCCAAATTCTACCATAGGCACAAAGAGGAGCTGGTACCATTCCTTCTGAAACTATTCCAAACAATAGAAAAAGAGAGAATCCTCCCTAACTCATTTAATGAGCCCAGCATCATCCTGACACCAAAACCTGGCAGAGACACAACAAAAAGAGAAAATTTCAGGCCAATGTCCCTGCTGAATATCGATGTGAAAATCCTCAACAGAATACTGGCAAACCGAATCCAGCAGCACATCAAAAAGCTTATCTACCATGGTCAAGTCGGCTTCATCCCTGGGATGCAAGGCTGGCTCAACATATGCAAATCAATAAACATAATCCGTCACATAAACAGAACCAATGACAAAAACCATATGATTATTTCCATAGATGCAGAAAAGGCCTTAGATAAAATTCAACACAATATCAAGCTAAAAACTCTCAATGAACTAGGTATTAATGGAATGTACCTCAAAAATAATAAGAGCTATTTATGACAAACCCACAGGCAATATCATAATGAATGGGCAAAGGCTGGAAGCATTCCCTTTGAAAATTGGCACAAGACAAGGATGCCCTCTCTCACCACTCCTTTTCGACATGGTATTGGAAGTTCTGGCCAGGGCAATCAGGCAAGAGAAATAAATAAAGGGTATTCAAATAGGAAGAGAGGAATTCAAACTGTCTCTGTTTGCAGATGACATGATTGCATATTTAGAAAGCCCCATTGTCTCAGCCCAAAATCTCCTTAAGCTGATAAGCGACTTCAGCAAACTCTAAGGATACAAAATTAATGTGCAAGAATTACAAGCATCCCTATACACCAATAACAGACAGAGAGCCAAATCATGAGTGAACTCCCATTCACAATTGCTACGAAGAGAATAAAATACCTAGTAATACAACTTACAAGGGATGTGAAGGACCTCTTCAAAGAGAATTACAAATCATTAATCAAGGAAATGAGAGAGGACACAAACAAATGGAAAAACATTCCATGCTCATAGATAGGAAGACTCAATATCGTGAAAATGGCCATACTGCCCAAAGTAATTTATAGATTCAATGCTATCCCCATCAAGCTACAATTGACTTTCTTCACAGAATTAGAAAAAAACTACTTTAAATTCCATATGGAATGAAAAAAGGAGCTCATATAGCCAAGACAATCCTAAGGAAAAAGAATAAAGCTGGAGGCATGACGCGACCTGACTTCAAACTATACTACAAACCTACAGTAACCAAAACAGCATGGTACTGGTACCAAAACATACATATAGACCAATGGAACAGAACAGAGGCCTCAGAAATAATGCCACACATCTACAAGCATCTGATCTTCGACAAACCTGAAAAAAACAAGCAATGGGGAAAGGATTCCTTACTTAATAAGTGGTATTGGGAAAACTGGCTAGCCATATGCAGAAAACTGAAACTGGACCCCTTCCTTACACCTTATACAAAAATTAACTCAGGATGGATTGAATACTTAAATTTAAGACCTAAAACCATAAAAACCCTAGAAGAAAACCTAGACAATACCATTCAGGACATAGGCATGGGCAAAGACTTCATGACTAAAACACCAAAAGCAATGGCAATAAAAGCCAAAATAGACAAATAGAATATAAGTATATTAAGAGCTTCTGCACAGGAAAAGAAACTATTATCAGAGGAAACAGGCAACCTGCAGAATGGGAGAAAATTTTTGCAATCTATCCATCTGATAAAGGGCTAACATCCAGAATCTACAAGGAACTTAAATTTACAAGAAAAAAACAAACAACCCCATCAAAAAGTGGGTGAAGGATATGAACAGACACTTCTCAAAAGAAGACATTTATGTGGCCAACAAGCATATGAAAAGAAGCTCATCATCACTGGTCATTAGAGAAATGCAAATCAAAACCACAATGTGATACCATCTCACACCAATTAGAATGGTGATCATTAAAAAGTCAGGAAACAACAGATGCTGGAGAGGATGTGGAGAAATAGGAATGCTTTTACACTGTTGGTGGGAGTGTAAATTAGTTCAACCATTATGGAAGACAGTGTGGCAATTCCTCAAGGATCTAAAACCAGAAATACCATTTGACCCAGCAATCCCATTACTCAGTATATACCCAAAGGACTGTAAGCATTCTACTATAAAGACACATGGACACATATGTTTATTGCAGCACTATTCACAATAGTAAAGACTTGGAACTAACCCGATTGCCCATCAATGATAGACTGGATAAAGAAAATGTGGCACATATACACCATGGAATACTATGCAGCCATAAAAAGCATGTGTTCAAGTCTTTGGCAGAGACATGGATGAAGCTGCAAACCATCATTCTCAGCAAACTAACACACGAACAGAAAACCAAACACTGCATGTTCTCACTCATAAGTGAGAGTTGAACAATGAGAACACATGGACACAGGGAGGGGAACATCACACACCATGGCCTGTTGGTGGGTGGGGGTCTAGGGGAGGGATAGCTTTAGGAGAAATACCTAATGTAGATGACAGTTTATGGGTGCACCAAACCACCATGGCACATGTATACCTATGTAACAAACCTGCACTTTCTGCATGTGTATCCCAGAACTTAAAGTATAACAATAAAAAAAAAAGTGGGGACTTAGAATGTTAGCTGGATGAAATGGCATCAAAGGAAGGTAATATTTTAAATATGAGAAGTATAAAGAGACAAAATTAGCTGCAACAATCTTAAAGAAGAAAAATAAAGTTGAAGGACTTATACTGCTAGGTTAACAAGACTTACAAAGTTACAATAACTAATAGAATGTAAAATTGGCTCAAAAATGACCAAAAAGTCCAATTTAATAGAATATATAATTTATTATAAAAAGAAATTAAATGTTTACTTTTGTATCACAGCAGACACAACATTAATTTTCATTTAGATTTAAAAGAAAAATGAAAAAATAATAATGCTTCTGGAAGATAAAACAGAAAAACGTTTTTATTATCTGAGGAGGGTAGATAAAATGTCTTACAAAGGACACAAAAGAAACTATAAATATGTGAAAAAAATGAAATTAATTTCTAACATTAAGAATTTCTATTTGTCACTTTGTACCACTAAAAAATTAAAAGAGCAAGCCATAGAATGGAAGACAATATTTGCTACACATATAGCCATTGAAGGATTTTTATTCAGCATATGAAAAATTCAGAGAAATCAATGATATAAAGACATCCATCATAGGTAGAAAACTGAGCAAAACCCTGAAGAATACTTTACAAAAACAGAATATCCAAATGGACAAGAGACATATCAAAAAGTGTTAGACAGTAGTAGACATGCAAATTAAACTATATATCCACCAGAATGTTTAAAATGGAAAACACTGATACACATGTTGGCAAGAATGTGGAGTCTGAAACTCTACTGCTCTGATAGTGGAAGTGTAAACTAGTGCAATGGGGAAAGGATTCCCTATTTAATAAATGGTGCTGGGAAAACTGGCTAGCCATATGTAGAAAGCTGAAACTGGATCCCTTCCTTACACCTTATACAAAAATCAATTCAAGATGGATTAAAGACTTAAACGTTAGACCTAAAACCATAAAAACCCTAGAAGAAAACCTAGGCATTACCATTCAGGACATAGGCATGGGCAAGGACTTCATGTCTAAAACTCCAAAAGCAATGGCAACAAAAGCCAAAATTGACAAATGGGATCTCATTAAACTAAAGAGCTTCTGCATAGCAAAAGAAACTACCATCAGAGTGAACAGGCAACCTACAAAATGGGAGAAAATTTTCGCAACCTACTCATCTGACAAAGGACTAATATCCAGAATCTACAATGAACTCAAACAAATTTACAAGAAAAAAACAAACAACTCCATCAAAAAGTGGGCGAAGGACATGAACAGACACTTCTCAAAAGAAGACATTTATGCAGCCAAAAGACACATGAAAAAATGCTCACCATCACTGGCCATCAGAGAAATGCAAATCAAAACCACAATGAGATACCATCTCACACCAGTTAGAATGGTAATCATTAAAAAGTCAGGAAACAACAGGTGCTGGAGAGGATGTGGAGAAATAGGAACACTTTTACACTGTTGGTGGGACTGGAAACTAGTTCAACCATTGTGGAAGTCAGTGTGGCTATTCCTCAGGGATCTAGAACTAGAAATACCATTTGACCCAGCCATCCCATTACTGGGTATATACCCAAAGGACTATATATCATGCTGCTATAAAGACACATGCACACATATGTTTATTGCGGCATTATTCACAATAGCAAAGACTTGGAACCAACCCAAATGTCCAACAATGATAAACTGGATTAAGAAAATCTGGCACATACACACCATGGAATACTATGCAGCCTTAAAAAATGGTGAGTTCATATCCTTTGTAGGGACATGGATGAAGCTGGAAACCATCATTCTCAGCAAACTATCGCAAGGACAAAAAACCAAGCACTGCATGTTCTCACTCATAGGTGGGAATTGAACAATGAGAACACATGGACACAGGAAGGGGAACATCACACTCTGGGGACTGTTGTGGGGTGGGGGGAGGGAGGAGGTATAGCATTGGGAGATATATCTAATGCTAGATGACGAGTTAGTGGGTGCAGCGCATCAGCATGGCACATGTATACATATGTAACTAACCTGCACATTGTGCACATGTACCCTAAAACTTAAAGTATAATAATAATAAAAAATAAAAAAAAAGAAAAGTGGCTATAGGTATCTACAAAGTTGAACGTATAGATACACTGTGGCCCAGAAAGTCCACTTAAACATATATGCAATAGAAACATGCACACACATACACATATTAAAAGAAATGTAAAAGATAAATTATAACAGTATTATTCATAATAGCTAAAAAAATTTAAAAGTTTATCAATAATAGGATAAGTACATTATAGTATAGTCCTACAATGAAATACCACACAGTAATGAAAGTTGTTATCAAACTACTTCTATGCACAACAGAATGGATAACCTCACAAATACAATGTTGAATAAAATATGTTGGACATCAAAGGGTACATTTATATAAAGATTGCATTTATATAACCTTGAAAACAGAAAAACAAATCTATATTATTAAAAGTCATGTTAATAGTCACTGTGGTACACAGAACATTGCCTCCCTAAAGATGTCCCCATCCTAATCCTCAGAACTGTGAATAAGTTACCTTATATAGCAAAAGGAATGACAGATGTGATGAAGGTAAGGACATTGAGATGGGTAGACTATCCTGGTTCATCTGGGTGGGCCCAATATAATTATAAAAGTCCTTGTAAGAGGAAAACAGGAAGAATAAAAGAAAAAGGTGTTGAATGAAAATGACATAACAATGTTGAATGTCATTTGAGTTAGAAGTTAGAAAAAATGTTAAGTGACAATGAAACCAGAAGTTGGTGTGATGAGTTTTGAAGATAGAAGAAGGGGACACAGGCCACGGAATGCAGGTGGACTCTAGAAGCTACAAAATGTAAGGAAACAGATTTTCCTCTGAAGCCTCCAGAAGGAATAGAGCTCTAACAAACTTCTGAACCCAGAACTGTAAGAGAAAATAAATGAAACCACTAAGTTTGTGGTAATTTGTTACAGTAGCAACTGAAAAGTAGGAGAATGAGGCAGAGATTGGGAGAAGGAATAGAGAGATTTCTTGGTTGCTGGTACTGCTCAGTCGCTTGATCTGCGTAACGGTTACATCAGGAAGGTCTTTGTGGAAATTCATCAAGCTCTGCACTTTTGAGTGATGCACTTCTCTTCAATATAAACAATTTTTAAAATATTTAATTAAAGTGATCATGGTAAAATGATAACTGTTGTTGATTGTCTGTGGGTTTCTAATTTCTTGTTCCTTCAGGGTTGTCTACGATGAGCATCTATGTTCTTGGAAAGCCAGCAAAAAGTTCAAAACTTTAAAATAAATAAGTCCCAGTGTGAGATAGTTGTTTAGGTGCTGTCACAGGTTTGGTGGGAGAGTCACACAGATGAAAAACACAAACTTTGAATTTGTAAAACTAAATGCTCTGCCAGAAAATAGATATGTAAACAAATTTGATTTTTAAAGATCAAAAAGGGAGTAAAGAAAAGGTAAAGCTTAACTAGGGATACTAGAATATATTTCTTGGAAGTTGATGTTGATGAACAAGATGAGAGAAGATGGGTCCTTCAAGCCAGCATGGTGTTTTAAAATGTATATCATTTAGTCTTTATAAAACCTAATGAGTACTGGGTCTATATTCCAGCTGATTCAGAAAACATCACTAAAGTAATGGCAGATATGAAACTCCAAATAATTAGCCTTTCAGATCCAAGACTCTTCCTGAGCAATTGGCTAAGCAGCTGATTTAGGTCTTGGGGAACTTGGTAGCAAAAGCTGCTACTTATTCTAGGAATTATAATCATATGTTGTGTTTTGCTCAGCTTTAGTTTTCACTGCTGCTGTTTGCAATGGAGTCAATGCACTACTGAAAAGACTAAAACAGTGGTCATGTAAAGAATTGCCTTCATTAAAGATGTAGCTGTTTAGCCTGACACAGTTCACAAAGTCACTTTCTTCATGTTGCTTTACATCCAACCTATACTCTTATCAGCTTTATAGCTCATCCAATCAATCCCCCCTCACTGGGAGACATGACATTCTAGGAATAAGCCTTCCTAGCAACATGGGACTAAATTTCTGAACATAACAGGAGGCAAAAGCCTGGGTGCGGTGGCTCACGCCCATAATCCCAGCATTTTGAGAGGCTGAGGTGGGTGGATCACCTGAGGTCAGTCAGGAGTTGGAGATCCACCTGACCAACATAGTGAAACACCATCTCTACTGAAAATACAAAATTAGCTGGGCGTGGTGGTGCATGCCTGTAATCTCAGCTACTTGGGAGGCTGAGGCAGGAGAATTGCTTGAACCCAGGAGGCGGAAGTTGCAGTGAGCAAAGATCACACCACTGCACTCCAGCCTGAGCAATAAGAGTGAAACTCTGTCTCAAAACCAAACAAAAAGAGGGAGGCAAAACTACTGAGTTTTTCTATGATGACTTCCTCAAACAATCTTGATGACAAAGGGGAAATGTGAAAACAAACAAAATGTAAAAGCTGTTGAAACCCCAAAAAACATTTTAATCCTTGAGAGAGAGATGACTATGATGAGTCATGTAGCATATAATTGAAACTTTTGCTTCTTAGATTATAGGTTAGCTCTCTTCCTCACTGTTATTGTTCTGTAAATGATTAGGAGAGACCAGAGACCAGGCCTCCTCCCCTTCTCTTTTTTGAGACAGAGTACTGGAGTCTCGCTGTGTCACCCAGGCTGGAGTGCAGTGGCATGCCTCCTCCCCTTTTAATCACTGACCTTTGTTGTAGATTAACCATGTCTTTTATTGTCCTGTGTTTAGATCAGCTGGAGCAAAGATACCATGACTGTTAAATATTCAGTGTGGAGTGTTAAATATATTTTCCTAAAAGAAAAAGGATAATTCAACTAGTCAGATTGTTGTAACAATGCAGTAAGCCTTGTATAGAAAGATATTGAAATTCTGTTAAAGCTTACCCAAACCTTGTCTAATAAAATGAGTCCAAACTTCTACCCTTTGGAACATTGATGTCCATTCTTTGGAATTTTTGTTTCCCAGGCAGCTGTCTTCGAGTTTTGTGCTCGAATAGACTCTGTATTCAACCATTAAAACAAACAAACAAACAAACAAATCTATGAAACACATGTTGTTATCAGCCGAAATTTGAAAATGAGTAAACTGAGCCTTTAAGAGGTTAAGCACAAGGCCCTCTTGCACTAAGTCATAAAAAATAAGCTATGGCTACTCAACCTAGAATCTGAGTGCAGCAGACCTCTGTGTTAACATGCATGTCTTATGAGGTTACATGAGTTAATAAATGTGAAACTATGAGAAATATATTCAAAAAGGATAAAACACTAAAAAGATCAATGTAAAAAAGTTTTGAAATATTGGGTTTTTTTTTCCTTTGTTTTCCTTTGCTTCCTTGTACATGACCCTTCCCCGGTCGATCAGAGAAATGCACCTGGCCTCAAGAATTTCATAAAAGAAAAAAAGAATAGTCAATATTGAGTGTTGTTATTTTTGTTGGAATGTGTGTTTTATTTTTTGTTTTTTTTAGCATCCAAAATAGGCTCTTAATGCCCACAGTGAAGAAAACTTGTTTTAAAATTCTGAAATATTTTATTTCTAAAAGGCAGTTCTGTGGAATTTTCTTAAGAAGGGAATTTTTTTTTAGAAAAATATTTTAAAATAAAAAGTCCTGAAGGAGGCATCGTGTGGTGTTTATTACCATGACAATTTATGTTACAGACTAGAAGGCTGTGTAGTGACCTGACCTGAGATTACGGAAGGAGAGTGAGTGGAGTTTGACCTTTGGAGGGAATAGAACAGCACGACAAGAGTCTGCACTACAGGAGAACAGGGTGAATGCCACTCAGGATTAAGAAAATATAAATTTTTTTTCTTGTAAATTTATTTGAGTTCTTTGTAGATTCTGGATATTAGCTCTTTGTCAGATGAGTAAATTGCAAAAATTTTCTCCCATTCTGTAGGTTGCCTGTTCACTCTGATGGTAGTTTCTTTTGCTGTGCAGAAGCTCTTTAGTTTAATTAGATCCCATTTGTCAACTTTGGCTTTTGTTGCCATTGCTTTTGGTGTTTTAGACATGAAGTCCTTGCCCATGCCTATGGCCTGAATGGTATTGCCTAGGTTTTCTTCTAGGGTTTTTATGGTTTTACGTCTAACATGTAAGTCTTTAATCCATCTTGAATTAATTTTTGTATAAGGTGTAAGGAAGGGATCCAGTTTCAGCTTTCTACATATGGCTAGCCAGTTTTCCCAGCACCATTTATTAAATAGGGAATCCTTTCCCCATTGCTTGTTTTTCTCAGGTTTGTCAAAGATCAGATAGTTGTAGATATGTGACATTATTTCTGAGGGCTCTGTTCTGTTCCATAGGTCTATATCTCTGTTTTGGTACCAGTACCATGCTGTTTTGGTTACTGTAGCCTTGTAGTATAGTTTGAAGTCAGGTAGCATGATGCCTCCAGCTTTGTTCTTTTGGCTTAGGATTGACTTGGCAGTGCGGGCTCTTTTTTGGTTCCATATGAACTTTAAAGTAGTTTTTTTCCAATTCTGTGAAGAAAGTCATTGGTAGCTTGATGGGGATGGCATTGAATCTATAAATTACCTTGGGCAGTATGACCATTTTCATGATATTGATTGTTCCTATCCATGAGCATGGAATGTTCTTCCATTTGTTTGTGTCCTCTTTTATTTCATTGAGCAGTGGTTTGTAGTTCTCCTTGAAGAGGTCCTTCACGTCCCTTGTAAGTTGGATTCCTAGGTATTTTATTCTCTTTGAAGCAATTGTGAATGGGAGTTCACTCATGATTTGGCTCTCTGTAACCTCATCAAAAAGTGGGCGAAGTATGTGAACTGACACTTCTTAAAAGAAGACATTTATGCAGCCAAAAGATACATGAAAAAATGCTCATTATCACTGGCCATCAGAGAAATGCAAATCAAAACCACAGTGAGATACCATCTCACATCAGTTAGAATGGCAATCATTAAAAAGTCAGGAAATAACAGGTTCTGGAGAGGATGTGGAGAAATAGGAACACTTTTACACTGTTGGTGGGACTGGAAACTAGTTCAACCATTGTGGAAATCAGTGTGGCAATTCCTTGAGGATCTAGAACTAGAAATACCATTTGACCCAGCCATCCCATTACAGGGTATATACCCAAAGGATTATAAATCATGCTGCTATAAAGACACATGCACACGTATGTTTATTGCGGCACTATTCACAGTAGCAAAGACTTGGAACCAAGCCAAATGTCCATCAATGATAGACTGGATTAAGAAAATGTGGCACATCTACACCATGGAATACTATGCAGCCATAAAAAATGATGAGTTCATGTCCTTTGTAGGGACATGGATGAAGCTGGAAACCATCATTCTCAGCAAACTATCGCAAGGACAAAAAACCTAACACCACATGTTATCACTCATAGGTGGGAATTGAACAATAAGAACAGTTGGACACAGGAAGGGGAACATCACACACCGGGGCCTGTTGTGGGGTGGGGGGTGGGGGGAGGGGGGAGGGATATCATTAGGAGATATACCTAATGTAAATGATGAGTTAATGGGTGCAGCACACCAACATGGCACATGTATACATATGTAACAAACCTGCATGTTGTGCACATATACCCTAGAACTTAAAGTATAATAAAAAAAAAAAAGAAAGAAAATATAAATGGAATCATTGTGTAGAGACAGCCAAGTATCCTGGTGGAGACTGTCACCAGCCAGGGAGCTTCTTCGATCTAGTGTCAAGACCAGTATGCCACTGCATTCCTTTAAGTGGAGGTTGCTTTTGACTGAATAGCCAGTGAGCAGTCTTCATTGTTTTTGAGAGGGTCACCCATACACAGCTTCCTACATACCTACCTCTCATGAGTCTTCCAGCAGAGCTGATAGTCATCCATGACCTGAGAGTAAATGAGTTGCATTAGAACTGCCCTTCATGGGAACCTCACATACTTTTTGAGACTTGAGACACTCTAACAGGAAGTAGAATCCTTGAACTAGAATAGGGTAGTGGTAAAAAAAAAAAAAATAGCCATAACTCCTATATGTGGGTGAAGCTCAACAGTTCTATTAAAACCAACATCATTTGAGAAGTATTGTTCAGCAAGCTGTAAAGACCATTTAAATAAAAATAAATGAATAGGATTAATTTACAGTAAAGAGAATGCTTTTCTCTAAAGGCCAACAAATAAACTTCTAACAAAGCTAATGATAAGTGAAGAGAAAAAGCCTGAGTCTGTAATAAGAGTGAGGAAGGAAATGTAACCCCAGATACAAGATTCTTTAAATTATTAGAATTTATGATGTCAACTCTAGTCTAAAATATACTAAAATATCAATGGAAGGCATGATTTTCTAGGGGAAAAATATCAAAACAAAATGTTAAAAAGAAAAAATTACAAAGCTGCTCATAATAAAAATAATAACCTAGCTCTAAATAATGAAAAATGCCTTCAAAGAGAGTTATTTACAACATTATAAAGAAAGATAGTTCCTACAATATTTAACTTGTCTCCAGACATAGAGAAAAAATATAATTTAAAAATTTTAATTATGAATTATGTTTTAAAAACAGGCAAATACAGAAAAATGTTAGTCTATATTTACACACAGTAACAGATGTCAACATTTAACCACATCCTTACCAACACTTAATATTCTCAGAATTTTATAATTTTTCCAGTTTGCTTAGTGTAAAATAGTATTTAACTGTTCTTTGAAGTTGCAGGACTCTGATTTTTACTACATTTGAGCAACTTCTTAAATGGTTATTACGTTTAGGTTTCCTCTGCTCTGTTTGCCTCTATATATTATTTGTTCTTAGTTCTACTTATTATCTTCCTGTTGTTTGTAGAACACAAATTCTGAGTACTATCTTTTGACAAAGACATTTGTATTAATTATCTTCCCTCTCTTTTGTCTTTAGACTTTACTTAGGGTATTTTTTTAAATAAAAGTTTTAATTTTCTTATAGTCCAACCTCTCAATGTTTTCCTATATAAAATGTACTTTTTAGTTGGTTTTGTTTGAGAAAAGAATTCGTAATCCAAAGTTGTATATATTTTCCTATCATATGATAGGAAATATCATATGATATTAAAGTTTTGCCTCTTTATAGTTACATTTTTAAACCACATGAAATGTATTTCTATGTGTGACTTGAGATAGAAATATGTTTTTTCTCTATGCCTAATAAATTATCACGGAAATATTTATTGAAGAGTTTAAACTTTCCCCTACTCATTCCTAGAATTACCTTTTTCCTTTATCAACTCTCTGCATATGACCAGGTCCTTTTCTGGGCTTTTATTTGTACTTACTAATTATACTGTCCTAATAATTATAACTTTTATAATGTCCTAATAATTACAGGACAAATTTTTTCTTGTCTACCCTCTAAATCTCTAATCTCATGTCCTTCCATTCTTTTTATTTCTATGTTAAAATTTCTGAGTTGATTTAATTATTTTATCTCATTTCTTGTATTTTCTTTTTGTTCATTCTATTTGCTGGGGGATTTTATCAATTTTATTTTCTAAGGCCTCTATTACATTTATTTCTTCTGTTATAATTTTTAATATTTAAGAGTGTTCACTTGCTATGGTAATGTTCCTTGTGTAGCACCCTGTTCTTATTTAGGAATCCAGGGAATTCTTTATCTGTGATCATATTATTAAATTTTTTTAAGTGATTTCTTCTGTTTCTAGCTTACCACTATTTTTTCTTTTCTTTTTCTTTGATATGTTTGCCTCCTTTGGCCTTTTATGTAGAAGGTTCTCCTCAAGTATCTGGCCTTATAAAGTCGATTCTATCTCAGTGCTCTGACAGAATGTGTTGACTGGTGGGTGACAACTGTAGTGTAACATGTGGTAAGCTGGCTTTTGAATGAGAAACCCTGCAATAGTACTAATCTGATGTCTGTAGTTTGGCTAGAATAAAATCCTAATCTTGCAGTGTAAGGCTATTCCTTTAGGCATTTACTGCTGCTACTAAAATGTCTCTCCATATACTTTGTATTATTCTCCTGTGGGTAACATGTTTTGGGGGGTAGATTTAATATTTTCTTTTTATCCTTTTTATTTATATTTCCACTTCTAGGTATTTAGTTGTAGATTTACCTTTATTTATTCTATGTATTATTCTGATGGCACTTTCAATAAGAGGGCTCATGCCTTTCTTCATTTAGAATCTCCATTTCTGAGTTCAAATTTCCCTGAGGAAAAAAACCAAATAGGTTCCTGACCAGCCACTCAGTCTACTCCCTTGTGCCATGTGTCCATGGAAATTCAATTAGTTGGAAAAGAGAAGACAGCATTAAACATGCTTACCTAATCTTACCCTTTCAGAAGAGGCCATGAGTTGGAAACTACCCAGAGATAGAGGTTATGGGACTCAGAAACCACAGAAAATAAACACAAATAAACTAAAAATAATTCACCGAGTTAGAAATTCATATTCTGAAATCCATGAAATCCTTTAGGCTTTAGAAAGGATCCACAAGCCCCCTGAAATTATATGCAGAATTTTCTATGCCTGGACATATATTAATTTCTGAAATGGTTCATGACCCTCTGAAATGTAAGGAACCACTATTTTAGATTTATATTTTTATATATATGAAAAAATATTTATTAAACAATGTCAGCAAATAACAAAAGAGTATGTAGAGTTTCATCTGTCCTGTGTATGTATAAAATATTGTGTATATTTTTAGATACTTCTGGGATTACAGGGAATTTTTTAATAAATCATTTTGCCATTAACTTATACTAAACTTGTACAATAGTTCTGTGTCAAAAAGAAGTAAATAAAAAGGTAATGTGAAGGCAAATAATGATAAAAATAATTTTGTGCCTTTCAAAATAATGAGGGGAGATATTTAAGATATAGCCATACATTGTCTTCAAAATCTAACTCCATAAATCAGACCAATAAACAACCTTAAAGAGATATTGCATTAAATGGATTAATGCATTCAGTGTACTGTCATCTTCCTTTGGCTCTAAAAGAAGTCATGTACAACAACCATACATTTATTAAGGAGATCAGTGATGTCAACTAGATTTTCAAACGGTCCATGCTAGGCTAGCAGAGCATTGTTGAGATAAAGCAGCTTTTCAGGATTCATTTTCATGAGCATAAAAGGGGTATCAGGTGTCACAATCCCCATCTCCAGTGGATTTGCTCCTTACAAACCACAAACAAGCGGTCTCCACAATTAAATTTATAAATACTTAACCATGCACTTGCCTAAGTGAGTACAAATAAAGGAGAAAATCTACTATGATGAAGCTACTGTCATTTCTTTTGTGGTCTAGCCAAGGGACTAACAGAATGGAACATAACATTCTCCCAGATGTACTTTGCTTTCCTTCTGATTGATTTTTCACTATTACTAACTTATCTCTTTATATGATTAGGACATGAACAATAGGCTGCTTAGAAGAACTCTTAATAGCACAAATTAACCTTGCCTTTGTTAATTTATTTGATGAAACTTCTCTTCATTAAGGTAATTCCTTACACACAAGTTTTGAGATTTATCATGCTGTGGTAGGGTGGGGTATTAAACTCACCAGCTTCTATCTCTTTCCTACCCACTCCCACTCCTACTTCATTCTTGAAGTACTTTAAAGAATGAAAGTACTTAGAGCACTTTCATTCTTTAAGACATAGAACAAAAAAGCCTCTTTTTTATTATAGTTGTCTTCACACCTTTAAAATATGAGTTACTCCCTCCAGTGGCTTCCCATACTTCAATATGTATTACATTATATTTTATTTTAGCATGTATATTATACTCTCACATGCTCCGTAACATTCAGCCAATGACAGACAGCATATATAACTGTGATCATATAAGATTATAATAATATATTTTTAGTGCACCTTTTCTGTTTAGACATGTTTAGATACACAAATACTTACCATTTTGTTACAATCAACTAGAGTATTTAGTACAGTAATATGCTATAAAAGTTTGTAGCCTAGGAGCCATAAGATATACCATATAGCCTAGGGGTGTAGTAGACCATATCATCTACATGTATGTGAGTACATTCTGTGATATTTACATAATGATGAAATTGCCCAACAATGCATTTCTTAGAAAGTATCTGCATTAAGTGACACATGACTTTTTTATATTTATTGATTTACAGTCCTATTTCCTGTGAATTTCTTGCAAGCAAGACCATGCAATTCTTATTTGAGGTCCTGCTGTCGTCAAATAGCTCAATAGATGTTTATTAGTAAAATGAAGGAATACGAAGACGACATAAAATCCCAGAAGAGCTAAACCTCAGAACTCTAAACCTATATCTTGGTTCTCTTTGCTTTTTAAGGTAGAATGTATATACCAAGACTTAAATAGTAGTCATAGTCTAGGAAGCTTTCTTGGGGAAGCAGTAAGAAATAGTTCACCTCATTGGGTGATAGTCCTGGTCAGCTGCAAAGTGAAGAGAATGGCATCTATATTCTCCTGTAAGGATAGAATTCCTTCTCTTCCTTCTATTTCTGCATAGACATGAAGGGGGACAAATTTTCCTATCCTAATTGAGTATTAAATTTATTTTTAATTTTCTCATTTTATTCATCAGTTTTTTGCCTTTTTCCCTTTTGCTTTCCTTTTTCCTCCTCTTTTTCTATTTTGTCTTCCATAATGCAACTTCTAGGGAAGAAAAGAAGAATGCTTTGCAAAGTGGGTGGGGAAAGACAGGGCCTAAAGTAGATAATTCATATTTCTTTTTTCATTACTCTATAGGCCTCACTCCAAAATTACGATAAATTTTCATCTTCAAAAGTATCATCTGGAAATGTAAGAAATATTGAAGACAAGAATAATATATGGTTTGACTTCAAATTTGTCTGTTTTTGTCTTAAAGACAAGAACAACATATGGTTTGACTTCAAATTTGTCTGTTTTTGTCTTAAAGACAAGAACAATATATGGTTTGACTTCAAATTTGTCTGTTTTTATCTTAAAGACAAGAACAATATATAGTTTGACTTCAAATTTGTCTGTTGTAGAAAAAGAAAATTGACTATTTCATGCTTATTAGGAGAAATAGAGGTATACCAGTTCAACAGTATAGATTTTTTAAAGATTTTTCTTTTACTAGTAATAGATTACCAAAAGCATTTATCCTGTAGACATTACAAGAAGACCACTAGTTGCTATTATGCTGAAGGCCCATCCTCTTCTCACTGTTCAAATCAGGGATGGTACTGGGGCTCTGTGCTAGGGTCCTGGTTCCCACACACCCTATAAAATCTCCTCCCTTTGAGCATACATGTGTCTAAGATGGAAGAACACGTTTTGATTAGGTTGTGTTATGTTAGACCCTATGTTAGCCAACTAGAGAGAGGCTCCCTGGCTGATTTTGACTAAATAAGCTGCCATAGTGTGAGTGGGCCATGAAACTAAGACCCAAGGGTGTCTTATAGGAGCTGAGAATAATCCCTGGCTGACAGCCAGCAAGAAAACACAGGTCTCAGTCCTACAATCAGTGTATTAGTCCGTTTTCACACTGCTATGAAGAAATAACCGAGACTGGGTAATTAATAAAGAGGTTTAATTGACTCGCATTTCCACATTGCTGGGGAGGCCTCAGGAAACTTACACTCATGGAGGAAGGCAGAGGAGAAGCAGGCACCTTCTTCAAATAACAGCAGGATGGAGTGCATGCTGAGTGAAGGGGGAAGCCCCTTATGAAACCATCAGATCTCATGAGCACTCACTTACTAGCAGGAGAACAGCATAAGGGAAACTGCCCCATGATTCAATTATCTCCACTTGTTATACCCTCAACACATGGGGATTATGGGCATTACAATTCAAGATAAGATTTGGGTGGGGACACAGATCCTAACCATATCAACCACAAATAACTGAATTCTTTCCACAACTTGAATGAGATCGGAAGAGGACTCCAAGCCTCAGATGAAATGGTAGACTAGCCAACATCTGGATTTCAACTTTATGAGATCCTGAACAAGAGACCTAGCTAACCCATGGCAAGACTTGTGATCTACAGAAATTTTGAGATACAGTACTAAATTTGTGCTTTTTGAAGTTACTCAGTCTGTGGTAATGTGTTAAGCAGCAATAGAAAAGTAATGCAAACCCAGCTGAGGTCCTCCCATCACTGTAGCTACACTTCTCTTTCTGAGTTGGCAGAGGCTGAGTCAGCCCTTGGTGTCCTGCAGTCTGGTGCCAACTGTCATGTGTGCAGAACCACTTCTCCCAGGAATCCAGTTTGTGGAAGATGCACTTTCCTAGTTTCCAGTGATGTTGCAAGTCCTTCTGCTTCTCTTTTTTTTTCCATTTTATTTTTCTAAATGAGGATCTGAGAGATAGAGGCCTATGACCGAGCTTATGCTGTCATTTTACTTGAAGTCTTGAATTTGCTTTTGAAAAGAAATTACATTAGTTTTAAATTAGACAATGAGCTGACTTTCAAGAGGGGAAAGAAGCTTCTTTTAGAGAATATGCAACTGTCATATATTGCAAGTATCATAATTGGAGATAATAGTATAATGAACAATTTATCATTTAAATCATGATTCTTTTTATATGAAATAGGGAAGCATAAATTAAGACTGTACTAGGAAAATCAGAATGTATGGTTTTCCCTGCTATTAGCCAATTGCAATCTTTTAAGAACTAAGATCATGACATTTTAAAATATTTTTAAAAGGTAGTTGATTTTACTCATAATATTTTATCTATAAATATTTTAAGTAAAGAAAGAGTATAAACACAAGAATAAAAAATATTAATAGAAGACATATAATGTGGAAGAGAATGTCCAAAAGTACGTTCCTGGAGCCCTGCTCATGGTTAGTTAAAATATGTTTATACACAAAACACAAAACAACATTATATAGTCAAATAAATTTGAGACATGTTGGCTTAAACAAAGTTAAAAAATGTCTTCAGGATTTCTCAGAGCCTTGTTATACATTGAGAAATATTTGTGTTAAGAAATTTCTAGGAGATAGCATAAACAGCACTTCTCAGACTTACATATTCACAAAGCATGAGCTGAAACTAAACAACAGCAGTTTCCAAAGCAGGTGGGAACCAATTTTAACCATGTTTCAATTAATGCCTATGTGAGATCATATTTAATGCCATTTTTGAGTAAAATAGGTGCTTGAAAGTTCTCCTATCTTTCCATTCTTTTCCAGAAATTAATGAATTATTCAAAATAATTTTCAAATCATAGACAATTTTCAGACACCATCTCCTCAACGGGACTTATATGTTAACCATGTCATATTTATAGTTTCCTTGTATTTTGTTTTTTTCTGTGTGTAACTTCTAACATCAGCCAAATAACATTTAACCTAAGGTATATTTAAATCCATGTAATAACTGAGGAATATAGAGTAAAGAAAGATACGACTTGAAAATTGAGTCATTATAAAATTGATGACGAAACATAATACCCTCCAGTCTTTAAAAAACATTAACAAATAAATCAGAACTGTAATAGGCACCATTCCTTTTTAGTTTTAATTTTTAAAGGTATTATTTAATATAAATCTACAAAATGCACAGATATGAATAATACAATTATATCAACAGTTATGACAGTACTGATTAGATGCTGAATATTGTTCTAAATTATTTATACCTACAACGACTCTAGAAGCAGTAACTATTCTGATACCTGTTTTTTTTAACTTTTATTTTAGGTTTATGGGTACATGTGAAGGTTTTTGTGTAGGTAAACTCGTGTCATGAGGGCTTTTTGTATAGATTCTTTCATCACCCATGTATTAAGCCTAATACCCAATAATTTCTGCTCTTTTCCCTCCTCCCACTCTCTACCCTAATGTAGACCCCAATGTCCATTGTTCTCTTTTTTTTGTTTTCATGTGTTCTTATTATTCAGCTCTCACTTATGAGAACATACAATATTTGGTTTTCTGTTCCTGTATTAGTTTGCTAAGGATAATAGCCTCCAGTTCCATCCATGTTCTTGCAAAAGACGTGATCTCATTTTTTATGGCTGCATAGTATTCCATGGTGTGTATGTACCACATTTTCTTTATCCAATCTGTCACTGATGGGCATTTAGGTTGATTCCATGTCTTTGCTATTGTGAATAGTGCTGCAATGAACATTTGTGTGCATGTGTCTTTATGGTAGAATAATTTATATTCCACTCAGTATATACCCGGTAATGATATTGCTGGGTCAAATAGTAGTTCTGCTTTTAGCTCTGTGAGGAATCACCATACTGCTTTCTACAATGGTTGAATTAATTTATACTCCCACCAACAGTGTATAAGTGTTCCCTTTTTCTCCACAACCTTGCCAGTAACTGTTATTTTTTGACATTTTTATAGTAGCCATTCTGGCTGGTGTGAGATACAATTTCATTGTGTATTTGATTTGCATTTTTCTAACTATCAGTGGTATTGAGCTTTTTTTCATATGTTTGTTGGTTGCATGTATGTCTTCTTTTGAGAAATGTCTGTTCATGTCCTTTGCCCACTTTTAATGGGGTTGTTTGTTTTTCTCTTGTAAATTTGTTTAAGTTTCGTATAGATGCTGGATATTACACCATTGTAAGATGCATCATTTGCAAAAATTTTCTCCCATTCTGTAGGTTGTCTGTTTATTCTGTTGATAGTTTTTTTGCTGTGCAGAAACTCATAAGTTTAATTAGATCCCATTTGTCAATTTTTGCTTTTGTTGCAATTGCTTTTGGTGTCTTTGTCATGAAATCTTTGCTCGTTCCTATCTCTAGGATGCTATTGCCTAGGTTGTCATCCAAGATTTTTATAGTTTTGAGTTTTACATTTAAGTATTTAATCCACCTTGAGTTGATTTTGTATATGGTGTAAGGAAAGGGTCCAGCTTCGATCTTCTGCATATGGCTAGCCAGTTACCCAGCAGAACTTATTGAATAAGGAGTCTTTTCTCCATGACTTGTTTTTGTAAGCTTTGTCAAAGATCAGATGGCCATAGGTGTGCAGCCTTATTTTGGAGCACTCTATTCTGTTTCCTTGATCAATAAGGTACCATTTCTATTGAAACTGTCTTCTGGTTTCTTGTGAATGTCATAGAGGTTTGGGAGACCATCCTATCCAAATTAGATCCCTTATCTCAAGTTTGCTTTACTTTTTCCTCAAGATAATTTTCTTTATAACATTTGTTCACCTTGATTTGTAATTTATTTGTTAGTTAATATGCCTTCTTCTATTAACCTTTAAGGTTCAGGAAGGCAAAAAACAGGTATATTTTCTTCACTGCAGAATTCCCATGGTCTGATATACCTTCAGGCACAAAATCATCATTAAATGTATTTTTTGAAGATTCAAATTAAGTAAATAGTTTATTAGAAAAGCATTGAGAATTAGTTGTAAATTTCATCCTAATCTAGTATAGGGTAGTAGATTCACTTGTCACTAAGGGGCTATCCCTCTGCTAAAAACTAAACCAGAAACTCCATATTAAAAATAAAGACATACACTCATACACACACACACACACACACACACACACACACACATATCATGACATACAGCCTAACTTGAACCAAATAGAGCTAAATTTCTAGGCTTCCAAAATGAAATAAGGTGGCTAAGGAGAAACTGTCAACGTGGCAGCCTACAAAGATTTGGTTCTAGATTTCAACGTTGTAGAAAAGGAGCTAGTATTCTAGCATCCGCATAGGCCAAAGAAATAATCGAAACCTACATAAAGCAGGAAAACTATTACCCCTTAAAGAGAGCTTCACTGAAATGTCCACTCATTTATGTTAAACAGAAGAACTGCATCCATTATCTCCGGGAAGCAGCAAAAATGTTTGCTACATCTCATTAGGGATGTTTGGATGAGAAAAAAACTCCGCACCAATAAATCAAAATTCCAAGCCCTCGAAACCTACAGATATGGGTCCAAGTGTATAATACCAGCCTGGTACAGAAACTGCAAGCTGAGCACCTGACATGAAGACAATTTCAGGATTACTGACACAAGGAGATGCCCAACAAATGCAAATGCAGACCTGCTCTGTAGGGCCACTTTCACAAAGCTGCAGTCAGATGGGGATAGTGCCTCATTAATAGCTCCTTGTAAGAACTGGAAGAACTTTGTTGAGAATAGACTCTAGAAAGGTAAAAGCAGAAGCAGTGAAGGTAGGAGACTACAGCAGTAGACTAGAAAAGATTCATCACAACGGTGACTTCAACCAAGTGGAAAAGGTGAAAACTGGTGGAATCTGAACAAATTGCAAAGTTTGATCAGACAGGGTTTGCTGATAAATAGAAAGTGGTATATGAAAGATGTCTGTGTGATGTCAGTGAACAAAGCACAAGTTACCAAGAAGAAATAATAATCCTGAAATTGATCAGACCCAATAGCAACATATCCAACTATATAAAACAAAAAATGAGAAAACTACTAGGAAAGATTGACAAACTTACAATAATAAAGGGTAATTTTAACACATCTATCTTAGGCATTAATATAATTAGCAGGAACAAATTACTAAGCCTTAAAAAATATGAAATTAGAATATATAAGCCTAACCTAGTAGGCATAAATTGAAGTCTACATCCAGCAAATATACAAAGCACTCTTTTTTAAGCACCCATAGAACATGAAAAAAATTGACATACCATAACGGTAGTTTCAAGAGATGATGATATTTTCTTACCACAGTGCAATTCATTTTTAAATCACTCACAGAAAAGTTAAAATGATAGTGTACTCATATATTTGCTTTGTTTATCTGATCCTGAGAATAATAAATGCTAATTTAATTAATTAAATTTTTCAGACCGTCACTGTGGATTTTAGCCAACATATCTTGTCATCGACTTGCTATTTCTCCAAGACACCTCAAATAAAAGATTGGTGCAAGTGCCAATTCCATGGTTCAAAAAAAATTCAAAAACAGTGATATTCTGCAAGCAAAGCAAGTTCATAATATATTTTAAAATTCCATGTATACATTTGATCCTCTTCCTTACAGATGTTTAAACTGTTGTCTCTAATTATCAAATTCCAAGGTTACACCTCACCATAACAGCCCTCTTCCCTCAGAAACCTACACATAGTTCCTAACACAATACAGCACTGAACCATTTATTGATCTGAGAAATTCAGAAGAGAGTGGATGGTTTATATCTAGAATTTGTGAGAAGAGAGAACTTTCTGATACTTACTTTGAAAAAAAAAGTGAAATATACTTTTTTAGATTCTGTTTTGATGGTAGAGACTTCATTCTTCAAAGTTCCCCCACAGTGATATATGACACAAGAGTCTTTGTGGAGATGTTAGGGTCCTATCATGTGTGGGCACATATGACCTGAGCTATGGAGCCTTCTGACTTCTGATGCCCGCTAGGCAGCACAGCAGATCTTTGTTATCCTCATCACCACTTTTGCCTCATTTAAAAAAATTTCTAGATAAGCTGTTCATGTCTTCACAATATCTAAATAATTTTCCCCTCTTCTCACCTTACTTGTCTGAAATGGTCCACGAGAGACTAGTTAAAAATAACCTTTTTAGCAGTAAACAGGCATTCTTCTTAAAATAGGAACAAAATAATCCTCATAGGAAAAAAAAAAAACACCTCATACTCAGAAACAAAAGATAAAAGCAGGAGGATTTGAAAACTCATCTTTTAAGAAACTTAAAAAATGATTTTGAAGTTTTAAAACATTTCTAATCATAATTATTTTGTTACTTCAGGAAATATTGGGAAAAACAGTAAACTTAGAGTAGTTTTTTACAATATAATTATGCTGAGAAATTTTGAAATTATTAAAGTTGCTCAAGATACTTGATGGAAAATAATACATTAATACAAACTAAATGACTGAGACATTTCTATTTTAGAAATCTATTATGTGGCATCATAACCCTAGTTCAATGCTTCACTGTCTTCAATACGACAATAGATTTGATACTAAAGACTTCAAGGGTATCACTTTTTTGCTATTGTTTTGCCTCATTTGTAAAACCACTACAATGGTAGTACAATTAATGGTACAATGGTACAATTAAGAAGAGTTAAAAATTCAAAAATTCTAGTGATTTTTTAAAAATCCATAATGTTTAATTTGAGTAATTTCTGTACTTGCTATATCAGTTACAGCCCAGGAAGAAAAAAAATCATACACTTAAAAGGATAATGAAAGATAATATAATGAAGAAGATATTTCTGAAGTATGGACAACTCCCCTGTTAATGAACTAACCCTAAGGAGTGATGAGGCACTACCTGAGGTTTAGCCACAGAATACTGCTGTTACTGTCTCTAGGCCAGAAGTGAATGGTGTTATCAGAGACAGAAAGCTTCAGTCTTAAAAAAGAGGCTGCCCAGTCGGGCACTGTGGCTCACACCTGTAATCCCAGCACTTTGGGAGGCCAACGCAGGTGGATCACCTGAGGTCAGGAGTTCGAGACCAGCCTGGGCAACATGGTGAAACCCCGTTTCTACTAAAAATACAAAAATTAGCTGGGCATGGTGGTATGCCACTCTAATCCCAGCTACTCAAGAGGCTGAGGCAGGAGAATTGCTTGAACCTGGGAGGTGGAGGTTGCAGTGAGCCGAGATAGCGCCATTGCACTCTAGCCTGGGCAACTAGAGCAAAACTCCACCCAAAATGAAATAAGGTGGTTAAGGAGAAAGCCCCCAACCACCACCAAAAAAAGGGGAGGGGGCTGCCCTATGAACCTGCTATCATAAAGCACTGGACATCAAACAGATGTTTCTGGATCAGCACCACTGTCACGTGAAAAGTAATTGGAAATGCAAATTCCTAAACTCTACTCCACATCTACTGAGTCAGAAACTCCGGGAGTGGCACCAAGAAATCTGGGTTTTATCAGACCCTCCAGGTAAATCAGATGTGCACTTAAGTTTAAGAACCACTGTGTAAGAAGAAGAACACAACCAGAACCATGGTGAAGCAGAAAGGGAGAATAATAAATGCTTTAAAATATTTTTCCTCCACACATCCTCTCATCTGCTAGTGCCTCATCTTGGCAAAACTAACTGAAAGTCATAGGCAAGGGAGCCCAGGTGATGTCATTCATATGCAGCTTCCCAGGGCACAGAGCAAGGCAGAAAAATGCAGAGTTTGAAAAGGGTAGGAGAGCGACTAGGGAATAATCAGTAGACCCGTCACTCAAAGTAACGTGCCTTTAAAACTATATTATTTTTGTTAGTCAAAATTAATGTTTTCATTAACACCCTAAAATTTTGAAATTCTGGGTGAGTGAATAAGAGGATTTAAGTTTTCTCAAGGTTTCTCTGGCTGGGCGCAGTGGCTCAAGCTTGTAATCCCAGCACTTTGGGAGGCTGAGGTTCGTGAATCACCTGAGGTCTGGTGTTTGTGACCAGCTTGGTCAACATGGTGAAACCCTGTCTCTACTAAAAATACAAAAATTAGTCAGGGATGGTGGCACTCACCTGTAATCCCAGCTACTCTGGAGGCTGAGGCAGGAGAACCACTTGAACCTGGGAGGCGGAGGTTGCAGTGCCAAGAATGCACCATTGCACCCCAGCCTGGAAGACTAGGGCAAAATTCCATCTCACCAAAAAAAAAAAAAAAAAAAAAGATTTATTTAACACATAACGATTGTTGAGAGCATAGTATATCATCTATACCTGGAGCTTTATTTATTGTTATTACATTTGGGTTAATAATTACAAAAGTGCTTTAAGTGTCCATTTTAGAAATGAAAAAACTAAGATTCAGAGAGGTTAAATAATGCTTGAAGTTCCTTAGCTAGTAAGTGGCAGAAATTTAAAACCAGACTTTTTTGTGTCAAAGCCCATGCTCCGTCTATGATAAGATAGTGCTACTTACATAAAACTAATCAAGCTATGCCATGCATAATCCACTGAAGTTCTTATGATCAAGGACTAAATTGACTATGCCACATGTAAGGTGATCCCTAATTTTCCTAGCAGAGGCCTAATTTATGCATGTTGTCCTGGAATGTCCAGTGTTTGACAATAAACTATATGTTCACTCTCTCAACATGGTAAATAGAGGTGGTGTCTTTTAAAAATGCAATTCTGAATGTGTAGAGAAAATCCAGTTGGATCTCTAGGAGGAGAGATGCTTCTTATTGCATTTGTCAATTCTAATAGAAGACACAAATTAGACTTCAGTCTTCAAAGGCATTGACTTCCTAAAAAATGTTTTAGAGGGAGGAATTCTCCATGTTCTGGGGCCACATCTTGGTAAGGTTATGGAAATTTAAGGTGGAATTCACTAAAAAATAAAAATAAAAAATAAAAAATCCCCTGTCATCATTACTTAGTATAGAACATTTATTACCATCCCCTGGTGCAGACAATCCATGTGGATGGTATACGGCACATATAATTAAAAGTCTCTGCTTGGAAGTGCTCCGTGATTAATGCCTCAGGTAGGCATTTTGATTCCTATACTAATAGAACCTGACTGGCTCTGAAACGCCGGTGTTGTTCAGGTATCTCAGGAGTAATAAAAGGTTGCTTTTGGCTTATTGCACAATTCCTTGAGTCATTAATTATAGCTGCCCAAAGTGGAAAGTTTATAATTAAACATATAATTTACTCTTCTACTTTTGGATGAAGTAAATTAAGGCAATTAGATTTCTTTTGATTAAGCATATGGAGCCATTTACAAAGTGCACAGGTGTGTACAAGCAGAAGGTAGACTACAAAAACATCTATGTTTCAAGTGTATTTTGTCACTTTGTTGTCACTCTCTGGCTGAAGTAATTATGTTAATCCATTTGAAGTGGATTTCTTTAGTTTTTCTGGTATGCTGCTGCTCTGTTTACTCCTTGGCATCCTTAGCTACTTAAATAACAGCAAGTAATGATCAGCTGCAAGTGTCAGCTAATCACAAAGATAATTTTGGCTAGGAATATCCACACAATATTATTTTGGTGAATATCTTCTCTGTCATTCAACCTCCACATACATCCCATAATGCGTGTGCTATTTGAAAAACGACTATTGCAAAACAAGTTTTTTTTCTCAATTTATTGCATCATTATTCTTTTTCAATGTTTGCCATCTTCCAAAAAATATATCTATATTCCCACTGTTTGTGTTATGAACATCACAGTTCAAATGCAAAGTATTTTCTTTTTTCTTCAGAATGTGTTTTTCTGGGGAGGAATTTCACTGTGTCCCACTAGAGAAACAATTTGCATGTCAAAGATAACTGAGTGTCAACAGAATTATGACAAAAGGCCTCTACAAAAGCTTAAGTATTTCAACCATGATTTGTATAATTAGTAACTATGACTCTTACTGACTGTGCTTGTACCTTCCAAATGTATGCACATACTGTTATAAGTAAAATAAGCATTATTTTATTTTAAAACTACTGAATTTGTAAGACTTTTTCTTTTCGTATTTTCTATATCAATAGCTAACTGTGTAATTACTACTTACATGTAGTCTACATTTTAAAAAATTCAGTTGTCAAACTGAATGAAAGTGACTTCATTTCTCTATGATGCTCACCTTTAGCTGTCTTCCTTTCATTATGTGTATCTGCCAGATACAACCAGTGACTATAAGCATTACATAAAAGGACAACTATCTGTCATGGAAAGACTCCAAGGTGGCCCCCATGATCTCTATATCTTGATATTCATACTCTTATTTGATCCTTTTACCTTATGTGATCCTTTCTACTTGAATAAAGGCAAGCCCTGTGAATTGCCTTTAATCGATAAAATATGGCAAAGACGATAAGATGTCATTTCTATAATTACATTACACAGGTTTGTGACTTCTCCTCTCTGAGAAGATTCTGTCCTTTACTGTCTTTGAAGAAGCAAGCGGCTGCGTTGGCATATACCTAAGAACTAGGGGTAGCAAGAAACTGAAACCCCCAACAACTGTAAGGAAGTGAATTCTGCTGAAACCACATAAGCCTGGAAATGGATCTTCCCAGTCAACCTTGAGATGAGACCCACGCACTGGCCAACACCTTGACTGTAGTCTTGTGGGACCCTAAGCAGAGAACCAAGCTAAGTTGTGCCCAGACTTCTAACCCACAAAGACCTGTGAGATAATAAATGTGTGTTGTTTAAAGCCACTACATTTGTAGTAACATTGTTGCATGGCCACAGGAAACCAACATACGAAGTAAGAGTGACAGGAAGAAAGCAATCAGTGTTAGGGAAGCAGCAACCTCCCTACCAACCAACCCAGCCTAGTTGGAGAAAAGGAGACAGCTTGCTTTATTCGGAGCAAAACAATGTAAGGGCAGATAAATTCCTGTGAAAACCTGCTGGACTTTACAATCTGGATCCTCATCCCATTCCAATCAAACGCTTCCTGATGATTCAAAGGCATCTGCATTAATGAAAGCATCCTGAGCAGCTAGAATTACTGTTTTAATAGGCTTTTGGTACTCTGGAAGATCATCACAAAAGATCCTGTCTCAAAGTGCAAGGTAGAGATTGGGGAAGCAGCAAGCTCAGCTGTGATTTTTCCACCTAGCACTACTGTAGGGGCAGAATGGGCTGCTCCAGAAGATGCAGTTTCTCCTGTGGCTCCTCCAGTGCATGAGCCAATCATATTTTTGGCCTGAACTTTCCTTAGGGGATGTACTAATTAGAGAAGCCTTGATAAATCACAAGGGTAAGAATGAGGAGCTAAGTAAGTAAATTAATCCCCATGGCATGGATCACATTTACCAAAGAAATATAATAAATAAGATCTCACTACTAGAATATAATTTGCTAAAACACAAGTTGGTGACTCCCAGTTTCAGCTGTGATGAATAAAGAGCTTAGAAGTCAGCACTCCTGTGCTTACAAGAATAATTTTCTTAGACCTAGCAGAGAATCGAGGCTGCAGGATAAACTATCACCCTGAAGTCTGTAGAGATTTATGAATTAGAGTCACAGGAAACATCTGCTTACCTGAAGCACATGCCACTGGAGCCATGAGTTGGTAGCAACACATAAATGGTAACTTCTGACAAATTTCTGGCGGTTGACTATGAACTAGCATAAGAGTAAGAAATTTGTAATGGCAAAAATTGTGTAGGTTTTACATCCAGTAAAGCCACCAGGTTGTTAGTGTGAAGAGCTAAGAAAGGTTATTTCCAGGCTTGGACTAGGAAAAAAGAAAAGTAACCACTAGCCCAGGTGCTGTGGCTCATGCCTATAATCCCAGCACTTTTGGAAGCTAAGGTAGAAGTATTGCTGGAGCCCAGGAGTTCAAGACCAGCCTAGGCATAGTGAGACCCTGTCTCTGTCTCCCCCCACCAAAAAAAATTAAAAATTAGGGGGGTATGTTGGCATATCCCTGTAGTCCCAGCTACTCAGGAGACTGAGGCAGAAAGATTGCTTGAGTCCAGCAGTTTGAGGCTGCTGCCATTAGCTGTGATCATGACACTGCACTCCAACCTGGGCAACAAAGCAAGATCCTGTCTTAAAAGAAAAGAAAAGAAAAGAAAGAAAAAGGAGAAGTAACCATTGATAAATACTATTCCCAGAGTGTTCTCCATGGCAATATCTACACTCCAGGGAAAAAGATTTTACCATAGCCTTATCTCACCTGGGGGAAAGGCATTTACCCAACTAAAACCTCCTCTAGCTTTTTTGTCTTACCAAATGGAGTGGAGTAAAGCTAAGAAACACTTGTAAAGCCTACAATCCAAGGACCCAGGCCCACTAAAAAGCTGAGGATTGGTCACATTAAAGAATGCTTCCTTTCCACCAAACATTACCAGTACTCCAACAGCCTCCAGTATAACAACAGTAGATAACAGCTAAAAGAGGTACAAAATCTATCTAACAAGTTCTTAGGGCAGCCAAATGCAACAGACAAAAACACAGACATCAGAAGAATTTAAGGCTTCTGGTATCTACATCTACAAGCAAACATTAAAACACAGCTTAACTCCTAGCCAGATTAACATAAAACTACACACTAATGGCCTTTTACCTCACAGTTTCTATTACCTATATCATGTGCAGCCTTCAAAAAATTAAAAGGAAAGTAAAAGACAAGAAAAAAACACAGTCTAAAGAGATAAAGCAAGCATTAGAATCTGATTCAGACAGGACACAGATTTTGAAATTATCAGGCAGGGAATTTAAAATGATTATAAGTAATGTGTAAAAGGCTCTAATGGAAAAATGTAGACAATATGCAAAAACAGAGGAGTAATGTAAGCAAAGACAAAGAAACTCTAGGAAAACATAAAAGAAATACCAGAACTCAAAAATACTGTTGCAGAATGATGAATGTCTTTGATGGGCTCATCATGGGCCACTGGACATGGTCATGGAAAGGCTCACTGAGCCTAAAGATATGTCAGTGGAAACTTATCAAGCTGAAATGCAGAGAAAAAAAAGTGTGAACAAAACAGGACAAGAAATCCAAGGACAATTTCAAAAGGTGTAACAGAGGTGTAATTGGAATATCGAAAAGAGAAGGAAGAGAGAATGGAGAAGACAAAATATTCAAAATAATAATGGCTAAGAATTTAACTAAACTCATGACAGACAGCAAACAACAGATCCAGAACGCACACAGAACTCTAAGCAGACTAAACATAAACAAAAAGCAAAACCTGTATCTATGCATATCATATTCACATTGCAGAAAACAAATGCAAAATGGAAAATCTTGCAAGAAGGCACAGGAGATAAAAAAAAAAAAACTTACCTATAGAGAAACAATGAAAAAATTTACATCAGAATTCTTAACATAAACCATTCAAACAAGAAAGAATGGAGTTAAATATTTAAGTTTTGAAAGAATGAAACCACCATTCCATAATTATATATTCAGTAAAGTAATCCCTCAAAAGTTATGAAGGAATAAAGGCTCCTCATAGAAACAAAAGCTAAAGGAATGTATTGCCAGTAGACCTGCCCACTTAGAAATTTGAAACATTCTTTAGGGAGAAGGAAAATGATATAGGCCAAAACTAAGATTACCCAAAGAAAAGAAAGTGTCAGCAAAGGAATGCATGAAGGTAAAATAAAATCTTTTCTTTTTTCTTATTAATGTCTTATTAAGCTATTACTAATAGCTTAATTTCTAATTCATAATTGATCCCAAATAAAAAAGTTTGTTTAAAGTTATAACAGCAACAATATAGTAGATGATTACAGCATATGGATAAGTAGAGTGAATGATAGCAATGCCATAAGGAAAGGGAAAAGAGAATTGGAAATTCTCTATTACAAAGCAGCTGGAGGCACACAGCAGGAGGGGACAGGGTCAGACTTAGGAATGGTGGCCTTCATGTTCTATAGCTGACAATTAGCTGCCACTTTTCACAGCCATCAGTCCCAGACCAGACCATAGTACAGTCTACTGCCCAGGTTCTGGGAATTTCTGAGCTGTTTAATAACCAATAACTCCAAGTACAGCAGTAACAGCAAAAGAATCTCTCACTACATGAATATATGAATATGAAATTGTTGCAAGAAGCTGGTGTCTCCCTTCCAAAGGATATGTGGCAAAGTCACCAGATGAAGCTGACGCAATTGTCAAAAAATTAGGTTCTAAAGATGTTGTGATAATGGCACAGAATTTTGCTTGTGGTAGACAAAAAGGAACATTTGGAAGCAGTCCCAAAAGAGGAGTGAAGATAGTTTTCTATCAAGAAGAAAAAGCTGTTCCCTCTCAAATTATTGGGAAAAAGTTGTTTACCAAGTAAACAGGAGAAAAGGACAAAATATGCAATCAAGTATTGATCTGTGAGCAAAAATATCCCAGGAGAGAATACTACTTTCCAGTAACAATGGAAAGGTCATTTCAAGGTCCAGTATAAATAGGAAGTTTGCAAGGTGGTGTCAACACTGAAGATGTTTCTGCTGAGACTCCTGATGTAATAAAGAATCTATTGATGTCGTAGAAGGCATCAAAAAGGAACAAGCTCTCCGGCTTGCACAGAATATAAGATTTCCATCTACTATTGTGGATTCTGTGGCAGAAAACATGGTCAAGCTTTACAATCTTTTTCTGAACTACAACACAACCATGATAAAAATAAGCTCAATGGTATAAGATTCAGATGGAGCTCTGCTATGTTTGGACACAAAGATCAATTTTGATTCTAATTCAGTCTATCGCCAGAAGATCTTTGATCTACAGGACTGGACTCAGGAAGATGAAAGGAACAAAGATGAAGCTAAGCCACATCTCAATAACACTGGCCTCAGTGGAAAAATAGGCTGTCTAGTAAATGGTGCTGGTTTGGCTATAACCACAATAGGTATAAGAAAACTTCATAAAGAGACTCCAAACAGATTCCTTGTTGCTCATGTTAGTGCTACAGTCCATCAAGTAACAGAATCACTTATGCTTATCACTTCAGATAAAAAGAGGTACTGGCTATTCTGGTCAACATTTTTGGAGGAATCACTTGATGTTATGTTATTACACAGGGTATAGTTCTGGCTGTGAAAGATTTTGAAATTAAAATATCTGTTGTGGTACATTTACAAGGTTCACTAGTTAATGATGCTAAGGCACTACTAGCAGAAAAGCTACTAGAATGGCTTCAAAGCTCTCTGAAATAGTGACCTTAGTCAAGCAAACCCTTGTGTGTGTGTGTGTGTGTGTGTATATATATATAATGTAAGTTGCCAACATGATCTTAAAAAGCCACTGAATGGCTGAAAATGTTAATTTGCTATAATCATTGAAAATACTATGTTCTGTGTTATTGTTCTTTTTCTTTTCAGTGTGCGAAGACTGTAATTGTGATCTAGGCACACAGACTTTTAGAAGCATTTGGTGTGCATTTCATTCTGCTATTCAGGATGGACTATTTATATAAAGAACATATAATGCAGGTGTCTAGTTTTGTTTCGTTTTGTTTTATCAGTCAGTCTCTTTCACTTCTACAGAATATCACTTGGAATGTGCCTGTTTATATTGTTGGATATAAAGTTCTACATTGACAAGAGTCCTACAAACAAAATAAATGTGAAGAAAAATAACAAAATTGTTGGCCTACCCTTTTAAAAAGAGGTAAACTTTATAGGTTAAGAGATAAAATAGAATAATAGAAAATGCTAAATTAAAATTACAAAGGCAGAAGAGAAATAAAAAAAGTGTAACAAAAGAGTTAGAAACATGGTAGATATTAAGCCGACTATATCAATAATTACTTTAACTGTGAATGGTCTAAATACACCAATTAAAAGACAGACTGTCAGAGTAAATGAAATATACAAGACACACCTGTACATTCTACAGGAGACCCACTTTCAATACAAATACTCAGATAGGTTAAAGAAATGGAGAAAGATATACTATGCTAACACTAATCAAAAAAAAAAAGAAAGAGGAATAACTATTGTATTAGTCAGGATTCTCTAGAATAACAAAACTAATAAGATAGATGTATATATAAAGTCGAGTTTATTAAGGAGTATTAACTCATATGATCACAAGGTCCCACAACAGTTCATCTGCAAGCTGATGAGCAAGGAAGCCAGTCTAAGTCCCAAAGCTGAAGAACCTGGAGTCCAACATTCAAAGGCAGGAAGCATCCAGCACAGGAAAAAGATGTAGGCTAGGAGGCTAAGCCTGTCTAATCTCTCCACATCCTTCTGCTTGCTTTTTATTCTGGCAGCTGATTAGATGGGGCCCACCCAGATTGAGGGTGGGTCTGCCTCTCCCAGTCCACTGACTCAAATGTTAATCTCTTTTGGCAACACCCTCACAGACACACCCAGGATCAATACTTTGCATCCTTCTATCCAATCAAGCTGACACTCAGTATTAACCATCACAACTATGTTAATCTCAGACAAAGCAGACTACAGAACAAATAAAATTTTCGGGAACAAATAAGGGCATTGCATAAGAATAAAGTATTCAGTTCTATAAGAAGACAACAATCTTTAACCTGTATGCAAAGAAGAAGAGATTATAAAAGTAAGTGAAGTAAAAAAAATTGAAAGAACTACCATTAAACTACCATTGACACTCTTCACAGAATTAGAAAAAAACTACTTTAAAATTTATATGGAACCGAAAAAGAGCCCATATAGCCAAGACAATCCTAAGCAAAAAGAACAAAGCTGGAGGCATCAAGCTACCAGACTTCAAACTACACTACAAGGCTACAGTAACCAAAACAGCATGGTACTGGTATAAAAACAGACACAGACCAATGAAACAGAATAGAGAACTCAGAAATAAGACTACACATCTACAATCATCTGATCTTCAAAAAACCTTACAAAAATAAGCAACAGGGAAATGATTCCATATTTAATAAATGGTGCTGGGAGAACTGGCTAGCCATATACAGAAAATTGAAACTGGACACCCTCATTAAACCACTCAACTGCTGGACCTAATAAGAGAAAATAGCAAGGCTGCAGGATGAAAGGTTAATAAACAATAATGAACGCTTTCCTGTATACCTGCAGTGATCAGTTAGAATTTGAAATTATAATGCCATTTATAAGAGTATGAAAAATTAAATATTTAGGTGTAAGTCTAACAAAATATGTACATAATCTATATGTGGAAAACAACAAAACCCTAATAAAATAAATTAAAGATCTAAATAAAAATATAGACCATGTTTATGGATTGGAAGATGATTATGAAAAGATGTCAATTTTTCCAAATCTGATTTATAGATTTACTGTAATCCCAGTAAAAATCTCAGCAAACTACTGTATAAATAATGGTAAAATAATTCTAAATATTTTATGGCATGACAAAAGAACTAGAAGAGTCAAAATATTATTGAAGACGAACTAAGAGGACCAACATTACCTGATTTCAAGACTTCATATACAGGTACAGTAATCAAGACAGTATAGTATTGATGAAAAAATAAGGAAATAGATCAATAGAATAGACTAGAGAGAGCCCAGAAATAGATCCACACAAACATAGCCAATTAATATTTGACAGGGGACAAAGACAATTAAATGCAGAACAAATAGTCTTCTCAACAAATGTTTCTTGAATAATTGGATATCCCTATATAAAGCAAAAACAAAAACAAAAAACCAAACAACAAAAAACAAAAATGTAGAAATATACCTTATGCAAAAATTAACTCAAAATGGATCATAAAAATAAATGTAAAACACAAAACTAAAAAACTCTAAAAAAAAAAATCACAGGAGAAAATTTAAGTGACTTTGAGTTGGACTATACATTGTCAGATACAACACCAAATCACAATTCTTGAAAGAAAAACGAATGACTGGTTGGACTTCTTTAAAATTAAAAACTTTCCTATGCAAATGATACTGTTAAGAGCAACAAAAAACAAGCCATAGACTGAAGGAAAATATTGGTGAAACACATATCTGGGAAAATAAGCTTCCAGAATAGCAAAGAACTCTTAAACCTCAACAATAAGAAAACAAATGCCCTAATTTAAAAATGGGTAAAATATCTAAAAGGATATAGCATTATAAAAATATATAGACAAAAATTAAGTATAGAAAAAGATTTGTAACATTATTTCTATTTAGGGAATTGATAACTGAAACAGACATAAGATTGTCTAACATCTATAAAACTGACAGTACCAATTGCTGATGAGGATGTGGAGCAACAGGAACTCTCATTTATTGTTGGTGAAATGCAAAATTGTGCCTCCACTTTTTAAGACAGTTTAGGTAATTTTTACAAAGGTAAAAATAGTCTTACATAGGATTGATCAATGATGTTCCTAGATACTTACCCAACTGATTTAAAAACTTCTGTCACACAAAATCTGCAGAGAAATATTTATAGCAACTTTATTTATAAGTGCCAAACTTTCAAGAAAACAAGATGTCCTTCAATCAGGGGGTGCAATAAATAAACTGTGGCATATATATTATCAAATTATATGATATTTTAAAAAAGGAAAATCTCTAGAGACAGTAAAAACACTAGTTGTCACCAGGAGTTTAGGGGGAGCTGAATAGGGATACAAAGGGGAATTTTTGGGGTTGTGAAACTATTTTTAGAGACTATAATTGTGACTATATGACACTCTGCCTTCGTCAAAGCCCCAAAATACTTCAACACCAAAGTAAACTGTAATGGATACAAATTTAATTTTAAAATGTCACTTTGGTAGTCAAAGAAATCCCAAAACGGAATGCAAAATATGACAAAACCATCTAACTGAATTACAAATGCATGACATAATCTCACTTAATGGGCTGGGGGAAAAGGAGCTTATGTAAGTAACTTTATGCTCCTAAAGAGAAGAGCATAATTATCTTTTATGTGTGGCTGATAATTTTATTTATTTATTTTTCCAACTTTTATTTTAGATTCAGGGAGTATATATATGTACAGATTTGTTAGCTGAGTATGTTGTGTGATTATGAGGTTTGGGATATGAATGATTCTGTTACCCAGGTACTGAGCATAGTCCCTAATAGTTAATTTTTCAGCTCTTATCCCTCTTTCCCCTCTAGCGTCCCCCATTTCCCCATTTTTTATTGTTGTCACCTTTATGTCTATGAGTACCCAATGTTTAGCTCCCATTTATAAGTGAGAATATGCAGTATTTCGTTTTAAGTTTCTGCACTAATTTGTTTTGATTAATGGTCTCCAGCTACATCCATGTTGCTGCAAAGGACATGATTTCATTCTTTTTTTATGACTGGATAGTATTCGACAGTGTGTATGTACCACATTTTCTTAATCTAATTCACCATTGATTGGCACCTAGGTTGATTCCATCTCTTTCCAATTGTGAATACTGCTTTGATGAACATGCAAGTGCATGTGTCTTTGTGGTAGAAAGATTTGGATATACACACACACTCAGTAATGGGATTGATAGGTCAAATGGTACTTCTTAGTTCTTTGAGAAACCTCCAAACTGCTTTTCACAGTGACTGAACTAATTTACATTCCCATCAACCGTGTATAAGCATTCCCTTTTCTTCACAGCCTTGCCAACATCCACTTGTCTGTCTGTTTGTCTGACTTTTTAATAATCACCTTTCTAACTTGTGTGAGATGGTATCTCATGTAGTTTTGATTTCTACTTCTCGGATGATTAGTGATGTGGAGCATTTTTCATATGTTTCTTGGCCACTTGCATGTCTTTTCTCTTCTGAGAATTGTCTGTTCATGTCTTTTGCCCATTTTTAAAGGGGGTTATTAGTTTTTTGCTTCTTCAATTGCTTAAGTCCCTTATAGATTCTGTATATTAGACATTTGTTAGATGCATAGTTTGAAAATATTTTCTCCCATTCTATAGATTATCTCTTTATGCTATTGATAGTTTTCTTTACTGAGCAGAAGCTCTTTAATTAGGCCTGACTTGTCAATTTTGGTTTTCTTACAACTGCTTTTGAGGACGTAGACATAAATTATTTGCCAAGGCCAATGTCCAGAGTGGTGTTTCCTACATTTTCTTCTAAGATTCTTACAGTTTGAGGTCTTACATTTAAATATTTAATTCCTCTTGAGTTATTCTTTGTATATGATGAAATGTAAGGGTCCAGTTTCATTCTTCTGCACATGGCTAGCCAGCTAAACCAGCACCATTTATTGAATAGAGCATCCTTTCTCCCCTGCTTATTTTTATCAACTTTGTCAAAGATCAGGTAGTTATAAATGTGTGGCTTTATTTTAGGGTTCTCTATTCCCTTCCGTTGGTCTATTTGTCTGTTTTTGTAACAGAACCATGCTGTTTTGGTTACTGTAGCCTTATAGTACAACATAGTTTGAAGTCAAGTAATGGGATGCCTCCAACTTTGTTTTTTTTGCTTAGTATTGTTTTGGCCATTTGGGAACGTCTTTGGTTCCATATGAATTTTAAAATTTTATAGTTTCTTGTATTTCTGTGAAAAATTATATTGTTAGGTTGATAGGAATGGCATTAAATCTGTAGTTTGCTTTGGAGGCTATGGCCATTTTAACAATATTGATTTTTCCAATCCACGAGCATAGAATGTTTTTCCATTTGTTTGTGTCATTATCATCTATGATGTCTTTTAGCATTATTTTGTAGTTCACATACAGGTCTCTCACTTCGTAGGTATTTTAATACCTAGGTGTTCCTAGGTATTTTATTTTTTCATAGCTATAGTAAATAAAATTGTGTTATTAATTTGGCTCTCAGCTTGAATGTCATTGGTGTATAGAAATACTACCCATTTTTTGTACATTGATTTTATATCTTGAAACATTACTGAAATTTTTTCTCAGTTCCAGGAGTCTTTTGATGCAGTCTTTAGTGTTTTCTAAGTATAGGATCATATCATCCATGAAGAGAGATAGTTTGACTTCTTCTTTTCCTATTCAATTGTCTTTTCTTTCTTTTGTCTGATTGCTCCACCTAGGACTTTCAGTACTATGCTGAAAAGGAGTGGTGAGAGTGGGCATCCTTGTCTTGTTACAGTTCTCAAGGGGAAAGCTTCCAGTTTTTGCCCATTGAATGTTAGCCATGGGTTTGTCATAGACGGCTTTTATTATTTTGAGGTATGTCCCATCGATGCCTAGTATCTTGAAGGTTTTTATAATGAAGGAGTATTAAATTTCATTAAAAGCTTTCTCTATGTCTATTGAGATAGTCATGTAGTTTTTAATTTTATGTGGTGAATCACATTTATTGATTTGCATATGTTGAACTAACCCTGCATTCCAGGAATAAAGCTTACTTCATCATGGTGACTTAATCTTTTGATGTGCTGTTGAATTCAGTTGGCTAGTACTTTTTGAAGATTTTTGTATCTATGTTCATTAGCATTATTGGCCTATAGTTTTCTTTTTTTGTTCTGTCTTTTCCATGTTTTGGTATCAGGGTGATCCTGGCTTTGTAGAAAGCACTAGGGGAGGAGTCTATTATCCTTGATTTTGGGGGGAACATGATATGGTTTGGCTGTGTCCCTAACCATATCTGATCTTGAATTCCCACCCATTGTGGGAGGGACCTGGTAAGAGGTAACTGGATCATGGGGCATGTCTTATCCATGGTGTTCTTATGGTGGTGGGTGGGTCTCATGAGATCTGATGGTATTATAAGGAGGAGTTTCTCTGCACAAGCTCTTTTGTATTCTTTGACTCCTGCCATCCATGTAAAATGTGACTTGTTCCTCCTGGCCTTCCACCATGATTGTGAGGCTTCCCCAGCCACGTGAAACTGTAAGTCCATATTAAACCTCTTTTGTAAATTGTTCAGTCTCAGGTATGTCTTTATCAGCAGCACGAAAACGGACTAACACAGTAAATTGGTACCAGTAGAGTGAGCCACTGCTGAAAAGAGCCAAATATATGGAAGCAACTTTGGAACTGGGTAACAGGCAGAAGTTGAAACAGTTCAGAGGGCTCAGAAGAAGATAGGAAGATGTGAAAAAGTTTGGAACTCCCTAGAGATTTGTTGAATGGCTTTGACCAAAATGCTGATAATGATATGGACAATGAAATCCAAGCTGATGTGGTCTCAGATAGAGTTGAGGAACTTGTTGGGAACTGGAGCAAAGGTGACTCTTGTTATGTTTTAGCAAAGAGACTGGTGGCATTTTGCCCCATCCTAGAGATTTGTGGAACGTTACATTTGAAAGAAAGGATTTAGGGTATCTGGCAGAAGAAATTTCTAAGCAGCAAAGCATTCGAGAGGTGACTTGGGTGCTATTAAAGGCATTCAGTTGTATAAGGGAAGCAGAGCATAAAAATTCAGAAAATTTACAGCCTGACAATGCAATAGAAAAGAAAATCCCATTTTCTGAGGAGAAATTCAAGCTGGCTGCAGAAATTTGCATAAGAAATGAGGATCAAAATTATAATTCCCAAGATAATAGGGAAAATGTCTTCAGAGCATGTCATAGGCCTTCATGGCAGTTCCTCCCATTACAGGCCCAGAGGCCTAGGAATAAAAAGTGGTTTCTAGGGCCGGACCCTTGTGCTGTGTCCCCATGCTGTGTGCAGCCTAGGGACCTGGTGCCCTGCATCCCAGCTGCTCCAGCCATGGCTGAAAGGGGTCAATATAGAGATCGAGCCATGGCTTCAGAGGGTGCAAGTCCCAAGCCTTGGCAGCTTCCATGTGGTGTTGAACCTGTGAGTGAACAGAAGTCAAGAACTGGGGTTTGGAAACCTCTGCCTAAATTTCAGAAGACGTATGGAGATGTCTGGATTCCCAGGCAGAAGTTTTCTGTGGGGGCAGGGCCCTCATGGAGAACCTCTGTTAGGGCAGTGCAGAAGGGAAATGTTGGGTCAGAGCTCCCACACATAGTCTCTACTGGGGTACTGCCTAGTGGAGCTGCGAGAAGAGGGCCACAGTCCTCCAGACCCCAAAATGGTAGATCCACTGACAGCTTGCAGCGTGCACCTGGAATAGCCACAGGCACTCAACACCAGCCGATGAAAGTAGCTGGGAGGGAGGCTGTGCCCTGAAAAGCCACAGGGGCAGAGGTGCCCAAGACCATGAGAACCCACCTCTTGCATCACAGTGACCTGGTTGTGAGGCATAGAGTTGAAGGAGATCATTTTGGTCCTTTAAGATTTGACTGCCCCACTGGATTTTGGACCTGCATGGGGTCTCTAGTCCCTTTGTTTTGCCCAATTTCTCCCATTTAGAGTGGGTGTATTTACTCAACGCCTGTACCCCCACTATATCTAGGAAGTAACTAATCTGCTTTTGATTTTACAGGCTCATAGGTGCAAAAGTCTTGCCTTGTCTCAGATGAGACTTTGGACTGTGGACTTTTGAGTTAATGCTGGAATGAATTAAGACTTTGGGGGACAGTTGGGAAGGCATGATTGGTTTTGAAATGTGAGGACATGATATTTGGGAGAGGCCAGGGGTGTAACGTGGTAATGTGTAATATGGTTTGGCTACGTTCCCATCCAAATCTCATCTTGAATTCCCACATGTTGTGGGAGGGACCTGGTGGGAGGAACATGGGGGCAGTTCTTTCCCATAATGTTCTCATGGTAGTGGGGGGAATCTCACAAGAGATCTGATAGTATTTAAGGGGGAGTTTCTTTGCACAAGCTCTTTTTTTTTCTTTGTCTGCTGCCACCCATGTAAGATGTGACTTGTTCCTCCTTGTCTTCCATCATGATTATGAGGCTTCCCAAGCCACGTGAAACTGTAAGTCCATATTAAACCTCTTGCCCAGTCTTGGGTATGTCTTTATCTGGGACATGAAAATGGACTAATACAAATAGCTTTAGTAGAATAATTACCTGTTCTTTCTTGAATGTCTGGCAGAATTTGGCTGTGAATCCATCTTGTCCACGGCTTTTTTTGGGGTGGTAGGTATTTTATTACTGATTCAATTTTGAAACTCAATATTGCTCTGTTAAGTGTTTAAGTTTCTTCCTGATTCAATTTTGGAAAGCTATTTGTCTCGAGGAATTTATCCATTTCCTCTAGATTTCCTAATTTGTGTGCATAGACATGTTTATAATAGTGTCTGAGCATCTATGGTATGTCTTTGGAATTAGTAGTAACGTCACCCTTGTCATTTCTGATTGTGCTTATTTGGATCCTCCCTTTCTTTGTTAATATAGCTCGTGGTCTATTGATCTTGTTTCAACTTTCAAATAACCATCTTTTGTTTACTTTTTGTGTGTGTGTGTGTATGGATTTTTGGATAAAAGTTTATTCAGTTCAGCTCTGATTTTAGTTATTTCTTTTCTTCAGCTAGTAGTTTGTTCTTTTTTTTCCTAGTTCTTCTAGGTGTGATGTTAGATCATTAAGTTGAAACCTTTCTAGCATTTGAGGTAGGACTTCAGCACTACAGACTTTCCTCTCAACATTGCTTTTGCCGTATTTGAGATTTTGATATGTTGTGTCTCTGTCTTCATTTATTTATAAGAATGTTTTTCGGGGGGCAGCCAAGATGGCCAAATAGGAACAGCTCTGGTCTACAGCTCCCAGCGTGAGTGACGCAGAAGACAGGTGATTTCTGCATTTCCATCTGAGGTACCTGGTTCATCTCATTAGGGAGTGCCAGACAGTGGGCGCAGGACAGTGGGTGCAGTGCACTGTGTGCGAGCCGAAGCAGGGCGAGGCATTGCCTCACTCAGGAAGTGCAAGGGGTCAGGGAATTCCCTTTCCTAGCCGTGACAGACGGCACCTGGAAAATCGGGTCACTCCCACCCTAATACTGTGCTTTTCCGACGGGCTTAAAAAATGGAGATTATATCCCGCACCTGGCTTGGAGGGTCCTATGCCCACGGAGTCTTGCTGATTGCTAGCACAGCAGTCTGAGATCAAACTGCAAGGTGGCAGCCAGGTTGGGAGAGGGGTGCCCGCCATTGCCCTGGCTTGCTTAGGTAAACAAAGCAGCCAGGAAGCTTGAACTGGGTGGAGCCTACCACAGCTCAAGGAGGCCTGCCTGCCTCTGTAGGCTCCACCTCTGGGGGCAGGGCACAGACAAACAAAAAGACAGCAGTAACCTCTCCAGACTTAAATGTCCCTGTCTGACAGCTTTGAAGAGAGCAGTGGTTCTCCCAGCATGCAGCTAGAGATCCGAGAATGGGCAGACTGCCTCCTCAAGTGGGTCCCTGACCCCTGACCCCCAAGCAGCCTAACTGGGAGGCACCCCCCAGTGGGGGCAGACTGACACCTCACATGGCCGGGTACTCCTCTGAGACAAAAATTCCAAAGGAATGATCAGACAGCAGCATTCGCAGTTCACGAAAATCCGTTGTTCTGCAGCCACTGCTGCTGATACCCAGGCAAACAGGGTCTGGAGTGGACCTCTAGCAAACTCCAACAGACCTGCAGCTGAGGGTCCTGTCTGTTGGAAGGAAAACTAACAAACAGAAAGGACATCCACACCAAAAACCCATCTGTACATCACCATCATCAAAGACCAAAAGTAGATAAAACCACAAAGATGGGGAAAAAACAGAGCAGAAAAACTGGAAACTCTAAAAAGCAGAGCGCCTCTCTTCCTCCAAAGGAACACAGTTCCTCACCAGCAATGGAACAAAGCTGGATGGAGAATGACTTTGACGAGTTGAGAGAAGAAGGCTTCAGATGATCAAACTACTCCAAGCTACAGGAGGAAATTCAAACCAAAGGCAAAGAAGTTAAAAACTTTGAAAAAAATTTAGACGAATGTATAACTAGAATAACCAGTACACAGAAGTGCTTAAAGGAGCTGATGGAGCTGAAAGCCAAGGCTCGAGAACTACGTGAAGAATGCAGAAGCCTCAGGAGCCGATGCGATCAACTGGAAGAAAGGGTATCAGCGATGGAAGATGAAATGAATGAAATGAAGCGAGAATGGAAGTTTAAAGAAAAAAGAATAAAAAGAAACGAACAAAGCCGCCAAGAAATATGGGACTATGTGAAAACACCAAATCTACGTCTGACTGGTGTACCTGAAAGTGACGGGGAGAATGGAACCAAGTTGGAAAACACTCTGCAGGATATTATCCAGGAGAACTTCCCCAATCTAGCAAGGCAGGCCAACATTCAGATTCAGGAAATACAGAGAATACCACAAAGATACTCCTCGAGAAGAGCAACTCCAAGGCACATAATTGTCAGATTCACCAAAGTTGAAATGAAGGAAAAAATGTTAAGGGCAGCCAGAGAGAAAGGTCGGGTTACCCTCAAAGGGAAGCCCATCAGACTAACAGCGGATCTCTCGGCAGAAACTCTACAAGCCAGAAGAGAGAGGGGGCCAATATTCAACATTCTTAAAGAAAAGAATTTTCAACCCAGAATTTCATATCCAGCCAAAATAAGCTTCATAAGTGAAGGAGAAATAAAATACTTTACAGACAAGCAAATGCTGAGAGATTTTGTTACCACCAGGCCTGCCCTAAAAGAGTTCCTGAAGGAAGCACTAAACATGGAAAGGAACAACTGGTACCAGCCACTGCAAAATCATGCCAACATGTAAAGACCATCGAGACTAGGAAGAAACTGCATCAACTAACGAGCAAAATAACCAGCTAACATCATCATGACAGGATCAAATTCATACATAACAATACTAACTTTAAATGTAAATGGACTAAATGCTCCGATTAAAAGACACAGACTGGCAAATTGGATAAAGAGTCAAGACCCATCAGTGTGCTGTATTCAGGAAACCCATCTCACGTGTAGAGACACACACAGGCTCAAAATAAAAGGATGGAGGAAGATCTACCAAGCAAATGGAAAACAAAAAAAGGGAGGGGTTGCAATCCTAGTCTCTGATAAAATAGACTTTAAACCAACAAAGATCAAAAGAGACAAAGAAGGCCATTACATAATGGTAAAGGGATCAATTCAACAAGAAGAGCTAACTATCCTAAATATATATGCACCCAATACAGGAGCACCCAGATTCATAAAGCAAGTCCTGAGTGACCTACAAAGAGACTTAGACTCCCACACAATAATAATGGGAGACTTTAACACCCCACTGTCAACTTTAGACAGATCAATGAGACAGAAAGTTAACAAGGATACCCTGAAATTGAACTCAGCTCTGCACCAAGCGGACCTAATAGACATCTACAGAACTCTCCACCCAAAATCAACAGAATATACATTTTTTCAGCGCCACACCACACCTATTCCAAAATTGACCACATAGTTGGAAGGAAAGCTCTCCTCAGCAAATGTAAAAGAACGGAAATTATAACAAACTGTCTCTCAGACCACAGTGCAATCAAACTAGAACTCAGGATTAAGAAACTCACTCAAAACCACTCAAATACATGGAAATTGAACAATCTGCTCCTGAATGACTACTGGGTACATAACGAAATGAAGGCAGAAATAAAGATGTTCTTTGAAACCAATGAGAACAAAGACACAACATACCAGAATCTCTGGGACACATTCAAAGCAGTGTGTAGAGGGAAATTTATAGCACTAAATGCCCACAAGAGAAAGCAGGAAAGATCCAAAATTGGCACCCTAACATCACAATTAAAAGAACTAGAAAAGCAAGAGCAAACACATTCAAAAGCTAGCAGAAGGCAAAAAATAACTAAAATCACAGCAGAACTGAAGGAAATAGAGACACAAAAAGCCCTTCAAAAAATTAATGAATCCAGGAGCTGGTTTTTTGAAAGGATCAACAAAATTGATAGACCACTAGCAAGACTAATAAAGAAAAAAAGAGAGAAGAATCAAATAGACACAATAAAAAATGATAAAGGGGATATCACCACCAATCCCACAGAAATACAAACTACCATCAAAGAATACTACAAACCCCTCTACACAAATAAACTAGAAAATCTAGAAGAAATGGATAAATTCCTCGACACATACACCGTCCCAAGACTAAACCAGGAAGAAGTTGAATCTCTGAATAGACCAATAACAGGAGCTGAAATTGTGGCAATAATCAATAGCTTACCAACCAAAAAGAGTCCAGGACCAGATGGATTCACAGCCGAATTCTACCAGAGGTACAAGGAGGTACTGGTACCATTCCTTCTGAAACTATTCCAGTCAACGGAAAAAGAGAGAATCCTCCCTAACTCATTTTATGAGGCCAACATCATCCTGATACCAAAGCGGGGCACAGACACAACCAAAAAAGAGAATTTTAGACCAAAATCTTCGATGAACATTGATGCAAAAATCCTCAATAAAATACTGGCAAACCGAATCCAGCAGCACATCAAAAAGCTTATCCACCATGATCAAGTGGGCTTCATCCCTGGGATGCAAGGCTGGTTCAATATACGCAAATCAATAAATGTAATCCAGCATATAAACAGTACTAAAGACAAAAACCACATGATTATCTCAATAGATGCAGAAAAGGCCTTTGACAAAATTCAACAACACTTCATGCTAAAAACTCTCAATAAATTAGGTATTGATGGGAAGTATCTCAAAATCATAAGAGCTATCTATGACAAACCCACAGCCAATATCATACTGAATGGGCAAAAACTGGAAGCATTCCCTTTGAAAACTGGCACAAGACAGGGATGCCCTCTCTCACCACTCCTATTCAACATAGTGTTGGAAGTTCTGGCCAGGGCAATCAGGCAGGAGAAGGAAACAAAGGGTATTCAATTAGGAAAAGAGGAAGTCAAATTGTCCCTGTTTGCAGATGACATGATTGTATATCTAGAAAACCCCATTGTCTCAGCCCAAAATCTCCTTAAGCTGATAAGCAACTTCAGCAAAGTCTCAGGATACAAAATCAACGTACAAAAATCACAAGCATTCTTATACACCAATAACAGACAAACAGAGAGCCAAGTCATGAGTGAATTCCCATTCACAATTGCTTCAAAGAGAATAAAATACCTAGGAATCCAACTTACAAGGGATGTGAAGGGCCTCTTCAAGGAGAACTAAAACCACTGATCAAGGAAATAAAAGAGGATACAAAGAAATGGAAGAACATTCCATGCTCATGGGTAGGAAGAATCAATACCGTGAAAATGGCCATACTGCCCAAGGTAATTTATAGATTCAATGCCATCCCCATCAAGCTACCAATGACTTTCTTCACAGAATTGGAAAAAACTACTTTAAAGTTCATATGGAACCAAAAGAGAGCCTGCATCACCAAGTCAATCCTAAGCCAAAAGAACAAAGCTGGAGGCATCACGGTACCTGACTTCAAACTATACTACAAGGCTACAGTAACCAAAACAGCATGGTACTCATACCAAAACAGAGATATAGACCAATGGAACAGAACAGAGCCCTCAGAAATAATGCCGCATATCTACAACTATCTGATCTTTGACAAACCTGAGAAAAACAAGCAATGGGGAAAGGATTCCCTATTTAATAAATGACGCTGGGAAAACTGGCTAGCCATATGTAGAAAGCTGAAACTGGATCCCTTCCTTACACCTTATACAAAAATCAATTCAAGATGGATTAAAGACTTAAACGTTAGACCTAAAACCATAAAAACCCTAGAAGAAAACCTAGGCATTACCATTCAGGACATAGGCATGGGCAAGGACTTCATGTCTAAAACACCAAAAGCAATGGCAACAAAAGCCAAAATTGACAAATGGGATCTAATTCAACTAAAGAGCTTCTGCACAGCAAAAGAAACTACCATCAGAGTGAACAGGCAACCTACAAAATGGGAGAAAATTTTCACAACCTACTCATCTGACAAAGGGCTAATATCCAGAATCTACAATGAACTCAAACAAATTTACAAGAAAAAAACAAATAACCCCATCAAAAAGTGGGCAAAGGATATGAACAGACACTTCTCAAAAGAAGACATTTATGCAGCCAAAAAACACATGAAAAAATGCTCACCATCACTGGCCATCAGGGAAATGCAAATGAAAACCACAATGAGATACCATCTCACATCAGTTAGAATGGCAATCATTAAAAAGTCAGGAAAAAACAGGTGCTGGAGAGGATGTGGAGAAATAGGAACACTTTTACACTGTTGAGGGGACTGGAAACTAGTTCAACCATTGTGGAAGTCAGTGTGGCGATTCCTCAGGGATCTACAACTAGAAATACCATTTGACCCAGCCGTCCCATTACTGGGTATATACCCAAAGGACTATAAATCATGCTGCTATAAAGACACATGCACGCGTATGTTTATTGCGGCACTATTCACAACAGCAAAGACTTGGAACCAACCCAAATGTCCAAGAATGATAGACTGGATTGAGAAAATGTGGCACATATACACCATGGAATACTATGCAGCCATAAAAAAGGATGAGTTCATGTCCTTTGTAGGGACATGGATGAAACTGGAAATCATCATTCTCAGTAAACTATCGCAAGGACAAAAAACCAAACACCGCATGTTCTCACTCATAGGTGGGAAATGAACAATGAGAACACATGGACACAGGAAGGGGAACATCACACTCTGGGGCCTGTTGTGGGGTGGGGGGAGGTGGGAGGGATAGCATTAACAGATATACCTAATGCTAAATGACGAGTTAATGGGTGAAGTACACCAGCATGGCACATGTATACATATGTAACTAACCTGCACATTGTGCACATGTACCCTAAAACTTAAAGTATAATAATAATAAAATAAAATTAAAAAATTAAAAAATAAAATCCACAAGAGATTTATTTACTTACTATTATATTAATTTACTCATAGTTAACTAACTACACATTGTAAGAACTCAGGTTGCATTATCATATTATAATCATCACTGGCCAAAGACTGATATGTTAAATTAATAGCAGCTGGTCTATTTCTGGAATTTAGAAGAAGGCAGATCTAAATTTAAATACTGACTTTGTTAAATTATATTGGTAATTGACATCGATTTTGGAGTCTCATTTTTTTCCAAATGTAAAATGGAAACAATAAAAAGCAATATTTATCCAAAAAAAAAAAAGAATGTTTTTATTTCTGCCTTAATTTTATTGTTTGCCTAAAAATCATTCAGGGGCACATTGTTTAATTTTCATGTAGTTATGTGGTTTTGAGAGATTTTCTTGGCATTGATTTATATATTTATTCCACTGTGGACTGATTATATGTTTGGTATGATTTTGATTTTTTTTAAATTTATTGATACTGAGCGTAATTCTCTACTCATAAGTGTAGGCTGCACATAGTGCCTTCTTTTCAAAGAGTATGATATGGAAAAGGGTAACTTTACAGTGGAGAAACCTGACAAGTACTATCTCAGCCTGTTGGTCAAGATCAGAACTCACAAATATGATGTCATGAAATGGCACTTCACCTTTGTGGTCTTTATCACCAAAATTCAATGAAGCAACATGTAATAAAGCTTAGTAAGGGATGTTTGTGAAATACCTTGCCAGTTTCCTCAAAGTTGTCAAGGTCATCAAAAACAAGGACAGTCTAAGAAACTACCAGAACCAAAAGGAACCAATTAATGCTCCATTAATTGTAACAAATATACCACACTAATGTAAGATGTTAATAATAGGGAAATCTGGGTATGAGTACATGGGAACTCTCTGTACTATTTTTGTAATAGTTATGTAAATTAAAAACTATTCCAATAAACAAATTTATTTTAAAAAATTAATCAGAATTGCTCTGTTCTTATAAAAGTAGCAACTTCATTTAACTCCAGAATCTTTGATAGTGCCTGAAAGTAGAAGTGTATTAGTATAGATTTGCCATAAAATGAAAGAAAGGCTTAAGATCCTCTGGAATATTCCACAGTTAAGATGGGAACAGATGTCTATCTACTTTCTTATTATTCTAGTTTTCACTCCAGATTTTTCCAATGAAGAAAGGTGAAAAGAATGAGTCAGGGGAGGGCGGCTGCAGTAGCTCATGCCTGTAATCCCAGCGCTTTGGGAGGCAAAGGCAGGTGGATCACCTGAGGTTGGGAGTTCGAGACCAGCCTGACCAACGTGGAGAAACCCTGTCTCTACTAAAAATACAAAATTAGCTGGGCATGGTGGCCCATGCCTGTAATCCCAGCTACTCGGGAGGCTGAGGCAGAAGAATCGCTTGAACCCAAAAGGCAGAGATGTGGTGAACCAAGATCGTGCCATTGCACTCCCACCTGGGCCACAAGAGTAAAACTCCATTTCAGAAAAAGAAAAAAAGAATAAATCAGGGGAAAGAATGATTGTAGCGAGAGAGATTCTGAAGTCATTTAGTCATTTCTCTTTTTATTCTTTCTTTCTTCCTCCATACCAGAACTCTATATATTGCCATTTTGTATGGATTCTACAAGAGAAAAAACTCCTGTGTATAAACTCACAACATGCCAGGTTCTTTACCTATGGACTGTACCGAGAAGTATCAAAACAAGACTTACAGCATCTGAACAAAGCAGCGTCATCTTGAGCAGTATTAGAGACATTAAATTTGCACTTTTGACAGAGACGGTTAGCTACCACTCAATATCTATTCCCTCTGCCTTTCTTTCTATCGAATCCTTTTTTTATTCAGGGTGGCCATATGCCTAGACTAAACAATTTCTCAACTTCCCTTAGCAGCTAGTTGTTATCTTATAGCACTGTCATAGTTCTATTAAATGAGATGTAAACAATGGGAAAGCATTTAAAAGGAGGGTCTGACTGAGCTGGCATGGCCATTTCCACACTTTTTTCCCTTTCTCCTTTCTGAAACATGCTTATGGAGCCAGCCACAGTGGAGAAGAGCAAGAGTGGAGAGGAGAGTGTTAGTTTTTGTGACCATGAGACAGTAGCCATATACTACAGTGGCTGAAGGGAAGCAGAGCTCTGTGTCCTAATGACATTATGAAGTAACACAGCAGGCCAGGATTGCTAACTTCTTTGAACTTTTCACTACACGGAAAGATAAAATTCTAATTTGTTTAAGTCACTATTTTAGGACACATTTATCCACAACTGAATGTAGTTGCTGATAGACTGAGTAACGTCTTTTTTGCCCGTGGCTGGTGGAAGAGTTTTAAACCTCATGATGTCTGGAGAAGACAGATGCCGCCTCTATTCTCTTTCTCTTTCTTAAAGCACATTTTCTGTTGACTTTCAGCAAAACCGCATAGACATAGCTACAGCATTTAGTTATATTTGAGGTTGTTGTGTTATTTTCTGTTAATCTATTTTCTTTCTGAATGGCTAGAAGAATCAGGATAAATACTGATTACTCAAGACAGTGCTAATGGCATTATTTCACCTCGGAATCAATCTTGGCAGATTAATAATAAAGCTTCTTTTCTTAATGAGCTTTCTAAGCTGCATCAACTTTTTTCTCCTACATCCATACTCTAATTCTCTTTATTTTTATAACATAAAAAATGCCAGTGACCAAAGGCTCACTGTAAGAATATCATAAAAGCACATATATTGGTCTTCAAGACTACGCAAGTTGATTAATGTCAACTAACTATGTAGCGAGAAAGGATTCATGTTTGCTTATCCATCCCCTCAGAAAAATAGCTGATAGTTTTTTATTCTTTATCTCAGTTGGTCTTGAGCAGCGTTATTAATGACAAAATGAGTGAAAGCATTAAGTGTAGGTCTTCCCACTTGGCTCTGACTTTCCTGTTTTCCACTTTTGGGAAACCGAATATCAAATCTGTGTTATTTGAGTGGAAGCAAGTCATTGGCCAGAACAGGAGGAAATGCGCGTGGTTATTGCTTCATCATGGCCTAACAAAGAAAGATGAGAGTTGCTGGGAGGAATGGGTGTTAATTCAGTCCATGATGATCTTACCAATTCTGAGTTAAAGATAATGTAAACAGTTCATTTATATACTCCCTAAAATATTAGATAATCTTCAGCTCATTTATCATATATTAAAATAGATATCTTAACTGTATAACTAAATTAAAGTCTGACAAAATCTAACAAGCTATAAACCCTTCTAATATTCACTCCACTCCTTCTGCCCTAATGAAATGTTGTAGAAGCACATTCTTAATGCTGGAATCAAGTTATAGTTAGTATCATATATTATACAGCTCACTGCACTCACAAAAAGCATAATTTGACCCATAGTATTATACTATCTGAGGTATAGCTGATTTTCCTGGATAATAATGATAATCCCTAGAATTTGCCTGTAGTGTTTCTTTTTATTTTTGGAGCTATAAAAGTGTTTTAAATACTTCATTCTGTTTTCTCAACACAGTTCATTAGGATTGGCCAATTTATCTGTATACTTAATTGATGGAGAATCAAAGGGCAACCAGACAAACTAGATGGCAGGCTGGAGGCTGTTATAGATATAAACAGGCATTTAGTCTCTTGTTAGCCTGTTCAATGCGTGGATCTCATGAACCACCTTTTTGCCTTTTTTTCTTTCACCATTAAATATATTGACTGTCCTTCTGCTAGTGAAAATGACTCTGGTTATATTTTCTGTTGATGACTTCTGAATCTATACCCTCGCCATCATCTTGCATTCAAGTTACACTCCAATAGGTGCAGCATGCCGTTAGACATTTTTTGGAGTTAGTCTGTCACCTCAGAATCAACATGTAAAAGATTGAGAACCCCTAAACTGGCTTTTCTCTCTATCACCCTGTGTCTGCCAAGGACACCATAATTTTCTGAGTTACCCAGGCTTGAAAACTTCAAGTTGCCTTTGAAGTAGATAAAGTGTAAGTATTCTACTACTTTCATGTCCTGTATCCTATAAATCACAAAGCAGGTTTTTTTTTGGGGGGGGGTGGGGGGTTGTTATCTAGCAACTCCTTCTTTACAATTTTTTTTCATATGGATTGCTTTCCTCTTCAACCCCACTGGCATCACTTTAAACTAAACCAGGAGCAAGCAAACTTTTTCTGTATCACCTGAAAGTGAGTATTTGTATCTTTGGAGGCTATTTGGTCTCTGTTGCAACACTCAACTCTACATTGTAGTATTTAAAACAATCACAGACAATATGTAAATGAGTTCATATGGCTGTTTCCAAAATTTTATTTACAAAACTGGCAGAATTTGGCCCATGGGCTGGGCTGTAGTTTGCCAACCCCTTCACTGTCCTTGCTACCACCCAATTGAATCACCAGACATCTTCTGATTCCCCTGCCTAAACAAATGCTCTTCTTTGCACCTACCTATCTACAAAAAGATATTTATAGATTGGTATTTTTAAACCTCTTTTCCATTATATCATTCTTTTACTAAATTTTTCAAGTGGTTCTCAAACAGAAATTGGCATAACTGGGATAAGGAAGGCAGGGTAGGGACAATAATTTACCCAAAAAAGAGAGTGTAGATTTATAGAGTGATATTTTAATGCAGGGATTTGGGGAAATGTAGTATTCTTACAACAAAACTAGTGCAGATATATTACAAGGTAGAATGTAAATATGAGATACAATTTTAATATAAAACAGGAAACTTTATGGAAATTTTGGGTTTACCATTATCCTTCCATGTTGTCTCCTGGGACCACAAAAGCTGGCTACCTCCATCAGTCATTAGGAATGCTTCATGGAAAAATTTGAAGAACTACTATCATACCCATCAAATATAAATTCCTGATTTTTCAGGTCTTCCATTTCTTGTGACCTCCCTCACCTTACCAGCTCTACTATTAATTCCTCACAGATTTGGGAAGCATTAATGTTTCATTGTCCTATAAAAGTATCATCTCCTTTTTACCCACTCGTATTCTCTTTTTTTTGGTGGGGGGAATGCTTGCTTTCTTCCCAGTTCTACTCCATTTATTGCCCAGTTTGATACGCATGTCTTCCATGAACATTTGTCTATCAAATTCATTCTTTGATTCAGCAAACAGCTGATCATTAATATTATGCTAAGCATTGCACTATAGTCACAAAGAAGACAAAAACAAACAATAACAGAAAAAAGTGGTCCAGTTCTTGACGTAAAACTCCATCAGTGACTTGCCCAAGTAGAAACATCATCTTAGTGTCAAGTTAAGATCAAGTTAGGCTTGAAGTCTGCTTCTTTTCTCTCATTCAAATGCTCTTTCAACTGTAATGCATTGCCTAATCTACTTTTCCTTTAAATCCTCTAGCTTTAAGTTCTGTATTACAGAATATCACGTATGAATATACACTTTAACATGTGTGTAAATATTTAAAATATTCTGATCTATTTTCCTATATATTAATAAGCATATATATTACTGTTTTGTGGGTCTGCTATTATTTCATGTGTAGAAGTCTTACTCTTTCCTCTGAGAACTAAGACCATCTGAATCCATGCTGCTTAACTATCAGGACTTACAGCTGGGAACACTTGTGTCCATGTTATTTTACTGTTTATTCCAAAAATTCTAGCCTGAGGAAAAAAGAGTCTAATGAGTAACTTCACTGTTGCCGGAAATTCTTAAAGACTATTGTGTCCAAGTAAAGCGTTGTCTCATTCAGGGAAATAGCCCCCATCTGAAGTTTATAGATTGTTCATCTGGACAAGAAGCTGGCTTGCCGAGCAAAAATTTATCAAGATCTGTTTCCAGAGCCTTAACTCTCTATGCACCCCCAATATTAAGATATTAAGTTATGAATTTTGCCCAGTCTCAATCAGTCCCTGCCATGAAAAACACGCCTTAAACTACATGAGCCCAGACCTCAATACTTAATACATTTTTTCCCGACATCTTCCTGTAATAAAGTTTTTCCTGTTCTTGTTGTTGTTGTTGTTTTGTTTTTAAAGGCTGTCTTGTCTCACTTTTCAATCCCTAACTTAAGTTCAGACAGTTCTCCTTCTTGAGCAGCTGGTTATGTCCATACTCCAATCACTTCCTTATCGGGGCTTCATACTTCATCTTCCTGGCCACTATGCACCTGTGTTAATCACCCGAGGGCCAGGTATCAGACAACTAGGGACAGTTCTTATGTCCTGCAGCTTGGGAAATTATTCAAATTAGCTAATCCACAGGGAGCCCACAAAACCTAGCTAATCCTATCCTGTTTGCCATACTTAAACTGCATCTTACAGCTCTAGCTTGCTATTACCCTGTCCTGGGAAACTACCCCTAAGTAACCATGCCTGACAGTGATCTTTCTTTTGAGCTGTAGGTAACAAAAAGTTCTGCCTTTCATCTATCTGATTATTATTGTGATGTGGCCTGCCATCAAAAGAACCATTGCATTTTATAAAACACTCCCAATCAGATACTACCAAGCCTGCCAAGGTTCACTACCCTAAACCTTAATAAACTTAGCTTTGCTGATCAACAGGTTATTCTAATGCCTTTTCAGAAGTTGATAGCCAATACATTTGTCTTCCAGTTCACATTGCCCAAGACTGACTCTTAATTGATGGTAGATTGTATTTTCTCTCAATTTCATTGTTCTTCTGTTTTACCAGTGCAGTTTTTTCTCCCACACAATAGGCACATCCTGAATTTCCAAGCCACTAGATCACTAATTCAACTTACCACAAAATGTAAACCAATCATTACACACCTACTTCTTCTGAAAATATTGTTTTATTATATTTAAGGTATTATTAAAATGTTTCTAAATTTAGAAATCTAAAACACAAGCACTACTATACCAGGAAAGCATTTATTACCCAAATCTGTAACTGAAGAAAAGGAGAAAAAAGCTTCATATAGCACTTACAATTACCCAGGCTCTGTGCAACATATTTTCATGTGCTTTATTGATTTAATCCTCACTCCAACCCAAAGAATAAGGTCCTGTTACTGTATTTACAGACAAGGAAAATAAATCTCAGGGAAGAGTTTGTTGCTTCTTGCTTGTCTGAACAGGTTTTAACTTCTCTCATTAACATTCAAAACCCTTTCTTTTTATTGAGTAGCTGCTCTATATCAGCACTGTGATCACTGCTTTACACAACAATCGTGCAAGATAGATGTTATTATCTCCTGTTGACAGTGGAGAAAATAATTTTCAGATGGTAAAGTGGCGGGGGGGAATCTTAAAAGCAACCTAATGGATTCTAAAGGCTTTCCTTGGTCTGCACCTCTGCCATACTTGGAATGACATTTAAAAGCACCTTTCAACCACATTCTGCCTGAATGGAAAAAGCAAAGCATCTCATACTGTATGACCATCTTCAGTCCAAGTGCTCAAGAAATTCTGCCTGTCTAGCAGCCATTTTCCAAATACAACTCAAGAGTTATTTTTGTTTTGCTTGCAGCCCTTACTTCTTCTCTTTTCTATTAAAGAGCAAAATCTATTTTTTTTTCTTTTTTGAGGTTTGACTTCAAACCCTAGTTCTGCTTGTGCTACATTTTCCCATGTGCCAAGTGGGAAGTAATGATGATGCATTAACTTAGAAAAATGATCATATTAATGCATAGCAAAAGAGCTTGCATTTTCAAAGCCTAGTATGTTTTGGATAATACATCCTGCTTACTAGCAGAAGCAACAATTAAGAGCAGAAAGGATACAAATGGAAAGCAAGTGACATCAGTTGCTTCAAAGCCTTTAGTCACTGACCATCTAAAAACTCACCTTCATCTGTGATCATAATATAGGAAGAACACTGAATTGGTGGCACCATCGGTAATTGAAATTCACCCATGTGTGATGATAATGCTTTCAGAAGATTTGGGAGTTCTTGTACAAACGTTGAATATGTCCCCATTAAAATGTGACTAATACTTACAAAGGAATGAGGTCATTTTTCAATACCGAGCAAGAAACATGGTTCAGTCAAAGGTGCCCATTTCCACACTAAAAGAACAATAAATACAAAAGCATAAATCAATAAAACATACTGACAGCTTCACATTAAAGAAAGGATAACATTTTCAGAAACTTTCATGAGAGAGAGTGTCTTCTCACTTCTAAACAAAGCATTGTTGATAAGTTACTTCTGTGCCTTTATCATCACCACATAACGCAAATTTTAAAGGTCTATTTAACTCAATTCATGAGGATGAAGCTCAGGGTAATTTAATACATTTTAATTGAACTTTACCAGAACAATTTAGACCACAGTGAGCTGTCTTTTCCCCTAAACCCACAGTTTTACTGTCTGCATAATTTATTTTGCTATCAACTATGCATTGGGATATCTAATGTATCATTTTGCCTCTAAAAAATTTTTTCAAGGTGTTCATTATTCTCTTAGCTGCCAACATAAATTTTCTTGTATCATTGAGGGTAATTTTAATGCACAGAAAAGAAAAAGAACTTTTGCCTGTTATACATTTTAAAAACTTAGTTTATCCTTAATCTTTAAAGTACATCTTAAAAATCTTATTCCTTTCATAAATCTACTAAAACTTAAAAGTTACTTTTTATAGGGCTTTTAAAGTTAAATACGTTTCTTTAAATATTTTAAATTAGATTTAGACATGTAATCAACCCTTTTTAAGTACTTTGTCTGCCTAACAAACAAAATCTTTTTTCAATACTTAATTCTTATAAGTTTCACCAATTGTATTCACAAGTATAATGACTTTATTCCTCTTAGTATTTCAACGTTATTTATAGTAGTAAAAGTGACCTAGGGCTTTCAATTTAAAATCACTAGTCTAAGTCCACTACTTAAGCATATATTTCAAATTGGTTTCACAAAGTAAGTCTGGTAGATAGTCTAATATACTAAAATTTTCATAATCATTACACTTTAATCACTTGAATACATACCAATTATACCTGAAGTCAAGAGAACATATTAATACTAAGATTGTTTTTGTTACCTTTACTGTTTATGTTCTTAATTATAATGATCCCAAGGTCAAAAAAGAATTTACCCACAGCCATAACCACAGTTTGGGAGCTTTGACATCTTTTAAGATTTTGAAGCACATAAGCCAGATGCACATAAGACAGATAAAGTGCTGAGTGACCTGGCTTTGACCATGGAAAAGAAACTTATCTTTGTTAATATCATATCCTGCTAAGTAGGTCCTGGTTTAGCAGTGCTACAGTTGCACCTGCAGTTGGAATATAACTGCTAGAGTCTTGTCCCATTACCTAAGGCCTGCTCTCCCCATTCTTTTCCACTGCCATGTGTGTGGGTGGGTGTGGGTGTGTGGGTGTGTGTGTGTTTTCAAATCTTGGTATGCCAATTATATCAAAAGTTGGCCCTTTCTCAAGTGTGGTGAGAAACACAGATGACCAGAACCCAAGTCTCTAAAATTCAAATCCCATCTAACCACATCAAACCTCTGCAAGGTTCCCAGTTCATCATAAGAATTTATATGCAAGAAAACAGGGCCAGACTAATAAATACTTCATTACTGCTTCAAATGCTAATGTACTCTCCTAGATAGTATAATAATGTATTCCAGTTTGCCTGGGGCTACCTCTATCCCGGTGAATTAATAAATGTATACCTCTTTAACTCTCAAAAGTGGCTAGTTTTCAATGACATATTACATGGTCCCTTACTGTTTGTAGGTTACACCGGTCCATGTCAAGATGCAATGTCAATTTGCCTGTGTATGAAAGCCTATGTATCAGACTTAAATACTCTAAGCTTTCTCCTTGGCCCCTTTCTCTCTAGACCACACCCAAATCATTCTGTAGGTGAGCCAAGGTGAGCCCAAGGAAAAGTACTTTCACTTTGGTAGTGATGAGTTTAAAGATAGAGAAGACACTGAGATCTCTCTACGCTAAAAGAGCATACTACCAATATTACCAATAAAATAATAACCTTCTTATTTAACATTTACTCAGCACATCTACTAACGGATCAACAAGATTTGTCAAGAAATTGACACAAAGTGAGAAAATGGACAAACCACTTACACATTTTGCTTCTAAATTCTTTTCTAGTCTGTAATAACTTCTCTCTTTCCTCTGAATTAATCACAATATTCCTATTCATAAAAAATACATATGCACTAGAAATAAAGGTCTGTTGTTCCGCAGGCTTGGGCATATCCCAGAAGATACTCTCCTTGTGCACATCCCATAGGATATTGTCATACTTTCCTTGTAACTAACATCATAGCTTGCTTAGTCCGTGAGACTGCCTTGCCATTGCCCCCTTCAGGCAAGTGAGTTGCATGCTTAATAGGTAAGTGGCTGGCCCTGGACTGAGGACTCTTTAGGTATTCTTCTCTTGACTTCAAGTGGAATGGCATCCAAAGTTCTGTAAATGAAAATGCTTATAAATCAGAACTACATTCCAGACAAATACTTCAGTAATACTATACATATCACAGGTGCCAACACACAATTAAGTGAAAAGATAAGCAGCCAATCCCCAACATCTAGCAAATAATTTGTATTTTTCTGCAAAAAGTCCTCAATGTGATTATTATATTTTACCTTGATTTAAGATGACAACTTTTCCATTCTCTAAACATTAATTATGGATGGATTTTCCTCTTCTCTGTGATAGCAAATAGGTAATTAGATGATCAATTCCAGCATCCTGCCACTTATCTCACTGGGGACATTTAAAACAATTAGCTCATCTATTTGTTCCCTTTAAAGAATACCAAGCATGGCTCCCTGTGTCTGTTTGGAGGAAATATCACTGAAAGTGCCAAATATGGGAAATAAAGTGCAGTGTAGCACATAATGGGGTACAATTCACAGCCAACAAAATATTAGATCTGAGGGAATCCCCAAATGGCTCCAATGCTTCTGTCCAAAATTCCTCTCACAGGTGCAGGATTCAGGGAGACTGAAAAGATACAGAATAATAACTACATTTTTCTTTAGTAATTTGCCATTGATATTATTTGTTCAGCATTTAAGACTAGAATGTGTTCCTATAGAGTCTTGGCAAGATAATGGAACATGAAAATGTATATTGGAAAAGCCAGGAGCTTTTACAATTAAAACATGAAGACTAAATATTTTTGAATTATAGAATCTGCCTCCATCCCATCCATATTTATTCCAAACAAATATCTGTAGATAATCCAACCATTCAGAAAGAAAAAAGCACTGATAATAAGGACAAATATTATGGATATAGGTTTAAATAATTTTTAAATTGTGATTTTTTTTCTGTATCTTTATATAAACCTGACTGTTTACAAGGAGTTTGAAGGTATGAGTTTCATGGGTGACAGACAGAGAGCAAGTAACCTCCATTTTAAAATTGGCTTTCTTTGACCATCCTTTAATTGTTAAGGGACCTACATAGAAATTGTCTTGCTTGAAAAACCTTTTGTTTTCCTGATTTCATTGATGTAGAAGTTAAAAGCTTCTACGTCTTCTCCTGGGTCAGTACATCAACTGAAAATACCTTTAAAAAGGACATAGGCACACAGCAATTCATTTTTTAAAGTCACAGAATTTGCTCTGGGGAAAAAAACACATACTCACAAAGTCTGATAGGGTTTTCAAGGGTGAAAAAAAGATGCCTTGTGTACAGACTAAAAACTGACTCAATGTTGGATTTACCTGCCTGATGGCCTCCATGTTATGACTGAAGAAGTTCTGAAAAGACCCCTGTGTCTGAAAATATTTCTTCCCCAGAAGCCAAAACCTTGTAGAGCTTTGAATGATTTAGGACTTCAGGAATTTTGGAAAGTAAAACATATTGAGCTATTAACAACATAACATTCAGACTCTTGGGTATGTACCAGCTTAATAGCTGCTGCAGACAGCAGTCCTTGGGGTAACTGAGACATAGGATTGGAGGGAAAAAAATAAGAACCTAAAAGGAAAAGTAAAAACCTAAAATAAATCTGTGCCACTTCACCATCTTGCCTTAGTTCTCCTCTAGGACAATACTGTTAAAACTCTTGAAAGTAGAAATTCGGTGGGTTTTTTTTTTCCGCTTTTACCTATGTATTAGTCTTCTTGGTGGACCCAAATTAGAAGATGGGGAGTCACCTCATATTTGTTGTCAATCCTTCACGTCTTGGCTATGACAATGGAACAGGGTGAGGTAAACAGAACATGTGCTTCAGTATGAAGTTGACTAGGTTTGAGTCTCCGCATTTAAGCATGACTCAGAACAGTCATTTAACCCCTCTTTTTAATTATTTAATTTGTAAATAATGATTGTGTGATTTGACAGCTGTATGCAAAGTATCACACACAGAGTGATCAGAAAATGGTAGTTAATATTCAGAAACAGTAGAAAAGAGGTGGTTGGACAGAGGTGATTTTAGAAATTTTAGAAATGTACCTCTCCTTCGAATATGTGGGAGTAAAACTATATACCTATTATTCCTAAAGGTCAAAGTTAGTAGTCTCAATCTCAGGCTTAGAGTTACACTGAAGCAAGTGACAGTTGAATAAATTCCTTGAACTAAAGACACATTTGGAGATTTATCATACCCAGAATTTTTACGTGAAACTATCAGTTGAACAGAGAGTGGGGAAAAAATGTCGTTTGGAGTCATCACATGAATAGGATAATTGGAGATTTAAGTGTATGTTTCTACAAACTTTAGGATGTCCCCTTATAACTGTATTCTTCAGACTGTCTGTTGCGCTAATTTTAATAAGTAGATTCTATTAGCCTATTCTAGATTCAAGAGTTTATTTGCCTCCCAGTGTTTTATAATTTCCTCATTCAGTTACTATCTTATCTCTTTTCATTACAGAGTGCCCAGTGATAGATCTTGATTTTACATCTTTCATTCTTTAAATAATGTATAAATTAGGAAAATTTTCTCATAATTTTTCTCAGTTACTAGCACCTGGTCTACTATTTTCTGGAAAGGAGGTTGGTCACTTCTCTGCTAGAAATATCTTCCAGCAAGGTCCCTCTTCTGTGAACTGCAAATTTCACGTTCATATCTCACTCACAATCCCAACATCCCCCAGGCAGGATTTTTCAGTTTTTGACTATCTGCCATCCATTCCAACTAAGTTGATGACATTCTTTATCATAGTTAAGCACATAGTAAAAATCAGAATTTTCTTCCCTATCATGTCACTGAGTCTTCTTTCTCTGGCCTTCAGTGAACTCTCCTTGTATAAACCCCTTGATGCCATCTCTATTTTTACATCAATAAATAACCACGATTTTAATTATCTTTCCAAATAAATAAACAGATTTTATTTTCTTGTACTTCTCATCCTTATTTTTTACCCTCTTTCCCGTGCTTCACAGTAAGCATTCATGAAATGACACTGGTTTGTTATTAATAGCTAATATTTATATAAGGAGAATTGAATATTAGAACTACTATATATTTTGTTGCTTTCATTAACGTATGGAATTACTTTAGGCGAGTCCATTAGTTTTGCAGTGACCAAATAAATCCTTATAGTCATGAAGTAGAAATCTTGAAATTCTTTAGAATCATAGACTACAAATTTAGAAGATTTTTTAAAAAGTTCCCCAAAACGGTCTGGTAATGACTGGTTTGCAACTGAGTTCTTCTAAGAAACCCCAAGTTAGTTTCTGGCATTGTTTTATGCTGTGCCTTCGATTCTAAATTAAAGGAAGAGTTTTATTATCCTTTAATTACAGAAAATATTCATTGATACTTACCAACAATTATGTCAGTTTCATCATTTGTAGGTAGATCTGATTTTTAGCAGGAAGAAGCAGGAGTGAGTTACACAGACCTGGGTCACTAATCACAGTTTGGGACATGTGGCCCACATAGGACCTTCAACCCATGACTAAACTGAAAATGTGACAGACAGAAGAGTGTTTTTTTAAATTACACTTCAGCCAAGAGACTCTCTACCCCCTTCCAACTCACTCTATGGTATCTGAATATTAAAGTTGAAAAATGCCTTTAAGAAACAGGCTTAAGAATATCATATTCTGAGAGCTTCATCTTTTATGGGACAAGCTCTTCCTGGACAACTTTAATTTCAAACAACTATTTCTAAAATGAAATTTTAGACAGAATCATTACATTAAGAAGGCCCTCAGATTTCATCTATTTAGATCCATTTTAAAAAATAGAGGATACTGAGTCTCCCAGAACTTAAGTGATATTTTTTCAAGGTCATAAGCCTAGTCAATGACAGATTTGTGACAAGAAGCTCGGCTTTCTGACAATAGTGTTTATACCCCCTTCCTGCTCAAAATGGAATAATCTGCCTTTATTCTGTTGTTACTATATATTACTAAAAGACCTCTTAGATCTTTGTTGACATTAAATGGGCTACTAACCAGTTATTTTAAAAGAATCTTTCCAAAAGTCACGTTTTTATTCTTATTTACAATTTTATTTGAAATTCTAACAGTGAATGTTTTTAAATTATTATTATTTTTTTTTTTTGAGATGAAATCTCCCTCTGTCACCCAGACTGGAGTGCAGTGGTACGATCTCAGCTCACTGCAACCTCCACCTCCCATGTTCAAGCTATTCTCCTGCCTCAGCCTCCCGAGTAGCTGGGACTACAGGCAATCGCCACCATGCCTGGCTAATTTTTTGTATTTTAATGGAGACGGGGTTTCACCGTGTTGCACAGGCTGGTCTCGAACTCTTGAGCTCAGGCAATCCGCCTGCCTCAGCCTCCCAAAATGCTGGGATTACAGGCGTGAGTTACTGTGCCCAGCTTAAATTATTTTTTTCTATACATAATTCAGATAAATAACTCAGAACTAAGCCCTGACCATTCTACAGATAACAGATTTTTTTTTCATGGTACTATGTGTGTGTTTTAGGCACTGATATCCAACTAGTGACTGGAACATACAGAAGATCAGGAACTGGTCCTATTCTTTTTATTTAGCCAATTACAACTCCACTCTCCCTTTGCTTATCATAATCATATACATAATGAGACACCACTTACACCAGTTTCAATATAATATACTGATGGCAGTCAAGCTGCTTGAAAACATGCTGGGCTGCTGTTCCCTCAGCCCCCATTACAGTTCATCTTTTCAGAATTCCTCCGAAACTCAAGTATTTTCATAGTCATAAAGAAATGATCTTAATAAGAATGAAACATTTCAACAAGTGCCTGTCCACCACATCCCAATTTGTAGATTAAACTGCTTAAACATCTTTGATTTCACCAACTTATTTTTGGAATTGTACTTTGTCAATGTGTTATTGGCCACAAGTCTGAAAACAGCAGGGTTAATATAGCACCATGGTAGAGTTAGCCCATCTGTTCAGGTTTCCATCCAACCATGTCATTTTATGAGCTCTCTCTAGGAGATTTTTGGTTATCCAATTTGTAGTACTCTCTAATATAAACAGCCTGGTATCACTTGAGAAGCTCAGTGAGCCAAGCCAAATGATGTGAAATTGCTAGCAGCAAGTACAGTTAAATTAGAAATGCTTTAAAATATATGTATTATGTATAATTTTCTCTTCCTTTTATATTCGGGACACAGGTAATCCATGTTTATTACAGAAAAAAATTTGGAAATAAAAGTAAACAAAAAGAAGAGAGATATAAAAATCACCCATAGTTCCACCTCCCAGAGAAAAGCATTGTTAACTTGTTGGTATATTATTTGCCCAGATTTTATCAATTCATACATAGGAATGTAGAAAAAATGATTTATAATAATGCTCTACATAAATTTTTAAAATAAATGTATTTTCACATCACAGTACAAGGAAAATATTTTCTCCCATAAATAACTTTTTCTCCCTAAATGTTGAATATGTATATTTTTTATTTTAAACAAATTGAAATTACTGGGTACTTTTATTAATATGTACAGGTACTACCACCTATTTCAGATGATTTTTTTTCCTAAGAAAACTTAAATGTATATAGCTTTTGACAACTTAAATGTAAATAGCTTCTGGATAGTCTCTAACACTGAGCACTAACATAGTTTTGGCTTAAGGTAGATTTAACTGAATTTAAAGATGATGGAATGGATTGACATGTAGATTGCTTAGCATGATTGATTAGGCCACTGATTATCTGCTTTTCTTAACTTTAAATGTCTGTTTTGGCACACTTTGAGGAGTGCGAGCATAACTACTATAGGAGTAGTAGGTTTCAAATGTGGAAAAGTTAAAGGAAGCCCATGCTGAATAAGACAGATTGTGCGGGGGAAGTAAAAACAGACAAGTCATATTGCATTATAAGCACATAAGGCAGACTCTGTCCTATAAATTAAGGTTTATTAAAGGTCTTTTTACTTATAGTCACAAGATTCTAACTAAAAGTGCAACAAAACCCTAAGGACCATATTTCTCCTTTCTTCTCCAGCAAACCTCTTAGGCCTAAGCCAGACAGTCATGAAATTAGTTCTAAAAAAGTAATAAAAGCTTTTTCTTCTGACAAGAAACATTTAATTAGAGCAGCACAGATATAATGCCTCTAGCGATCCTAGCTCTAATCTCAACAGTGGCCCATTTTTGATGGAAAATTTATGCTGATTTAATGATGACTTCCTGGAAGAAGTTGACATATTTCATGGTTATTTCATGGATTGGAAAACATGCATACAACAGTGATTTAATTATTATGTTATAATAAAATCTCAGTTTCCAAAAAAGCTATCTCTATGTGTCAGGATTGAGGTGGTCTCATCTGTTAGATCACTGTAATTCCCATTTCCAGTAAACAGTTTCCAATACAAATACTTAGGACTGCTATCATTCACTCTTCAGAGACAGCATATGCAATTGAAAATAGTTAGAGAGACACTTCCAGGAACAATGTGGCAAAAAAAATGGTATTCACTGCCTTCTGCCATCCTGTTGTCATGACCCCCTACCCAACAAAGGATATAAGAAGAAACACAAAAAAAATCGGGTGTAGAAAGTCCAGTGCCCTGAAACTAGAGCACATACTCACCCCACACATTTTAGGGAATCTTTGCCATACACAGTGTAAATGGGACAGAACTGAAGACACAGCCATGTGTCATGTCATACTCCACTTGTTGTGGGGAAAGCAGTGTGATATTCCCAAAAAGAATTAAAGAAAGTCATTTACTCTAACCAGTACCATATATTGAGTCTGATTCCAAGGATAAGAGTGAGAGAGATAGGACCAGCTAAACAGGAGTAGTTTTTCCAGATCAATAGTACTTGTGATGGCTCTGCCAAGGTTGGGAGTCCAAGTACAGGAACACCCAAAACAAAATTTGCAAGCGGCTGGAATTTTGCCCAACCTAGTTTCTAACACATTGGCCTGAAATACTGTGATTTCAGTATAAAACATATTATGCTGAAATGAAGAGACATTCCTCTAATGAGGCAGGACACTTTTTGTACTCAGTGAGAAGTATCATTAGGGAAGAAACTCGGATGGGGCATCAAATGCCAGAGTGAAATATAGGCCAAACAAGAAACCAGTCATAAAAAAATTTTACCTCTGGTATGTAATTTTTCAGTGTGCACTAAGACCACTTGCAAAGAGGCAGCTTCCCTTGTTAAAACTTGTCATTGCTTAGTTCTCTGCTCGTAAAACTCAGTCTGCTAAGTTTGCTCCTTTTCTAGTTCCTCAAGTTCCTTTTTCTAGATTGTTTGGAAATTTATCACTATAAATTTCCCTCTTACAACTGCTTTTGCTGCATCTCGTAAGTTTTTGTATGTTGTGTTTCCATCTTTGTTTGTCTCAAGGTATTTGCTTAATTTCCTTTTTGATATCTCCTGTGACTCACTGGTTGCTTACAAGCATGTATCTTAATTTTCACATATTTGTGTATTTTTCCATGATTTCTTCTGTTATTGATTTCTAGTTTTATGCCACTATAATCTGAAAAGATATTCAAAAGATGTGTATAATTTAAATCCTTTTAAGTTTGTTAAGATTTGTGATCTAATATAATTTTTCAAATCCTGGAGAATGTGTCATGTGCATTATAGAAGAATCTATATTCTGCTGCTATTATATGGGATGTTCTGTATATATGTGTTAGGTCCATTTGGTCTAAAGTGCAATTCATTTTCAGTATTTCTTTATTGATTTTTTCTTTGTCTAGATTATCTGACCATTGTTGAAAGTGAGGTATTGGGGACTACTACTACTATAATATTGCAGTCTATCTCTCCCTATAGGTCATTAATTGTTTTATATATTTAAGTGCTCCAATGTTGGGTGCATATGTATTTATGTCTTATTGGTGAATTAACCCCTTTATCATTGTGTAATAAACTTCTTTCTTTTCATAGTTTTCAACTTAAAGTCTATTTTTTTCTGACTAGATACTTCTGCTCTCTTTCAATTTTCATTTCTACAGAATATCTTTTTGCATCCCTTTACTTTCAGTCTCTGTGTGCCCCTTCTAGTAAAATTAGACTCGTGAAGTCTCCTTCAAGGAACTTGAAGGAGAAGAAGAAACTAAGCCCAAAATTAGCATAGGGAAGAAAATAACAAAGTTCAGAGCAGAAATAAGTAAGAGACTAGAAAAGCAATAGAAACATTAATGAAACTAAGAGTTGATTATTTGAAAAGAAAAACAAATACAATTGACAACATCTTAGGTTGATTAACTAGGAGAAAAGAGAGACTACTAAAATAAATAAGACCAGAAATGAATAAGGCGATATTATAACATTAATATCATTGAAATACGAACTATAAGACACTACTATTCTACACCAACAAATTGGATAACCTAGAAGAAATGAATAAATTCCTAGACACATAATACTTACCAAGACAGAATCATGAAGAAAGAGAAAATCCGAACAGACCACTGATGAGTAAGGAGATTGAATCAATAATAAAAAGTCTCCAATTAAAGAAAAGCCTAGAACCTGTTGGTTTCATGGCTGAAAACCACCAAATATTATATATATAAATATATATAATAGCATATATAATATAATATATATTATATATAATATATAACAATATATAATTTATAACATATAATATATACTTTATATTATATATAATATACATAATATATACTTTATATTATATATAATATACATAATATATACTTTATATTATATATAATATACATAATATATACTTTATATTATATATAATATACATAATATATACTTTATATTATATATAATATACATAATATATACTTTATATTATATATAATATACATAATATATACTTTATATTATATATAATATACATAATATATACTTTATATTATATATAATATACATAATATATACTTTATATTATATATAATATACATAATATATACTTTATATTATATATAATATACATAATATATACTTTATATTATATATAATATACATAATATATACTTTATATTATATATAATATACATAATATATACTTTATATTATATATAATATACATAATATATAATATAATTTATATATAATATACATAATATATAATATAATTTATATTATATATAACATACATAATATATTATACATAATATAATATATAATATATAATATACATAATATATAATATACATAATATATAATATACATAATATATAATATATAATATACATAATACAATATATAATATATAATATACATAATATATTATATAATCATATTATATTATATAATTATATTTATTATATAATATAATATATAATTATATTATATTATATAATTATATAATATAATTATATTATATTATATAATATATATATATTATATAATATAATATAATTATATTATATTATATAATTATATATTATATTATATAAAAAATTATATATAATAATTATATTATATTAATTACATATAATTAATTATATAATATAATATAATTATATAACATTATATATTATATATAATATATAATTATATTATACATTATATTATATTATATTATATATATTATATTATATATAATATATATTATATTATGTATATTATGTATTATATATTATATATTATGTATATTATATATTATATTATATAATTATATATAATTAATTTATAATTAATTATATATAATTATATTATATATAATATAATGTATATGTTATATATAATATACAAATAATATAATTATATATTATATAATATAATTATATATTATATAATATGTAAATAATATAATTATATATTACATTATTCACATATTATATAATATATAATTATATATTCTATATTATTATATATAATATATATTATATAATATATAGTATAATATATAATTATATATTCTATATTATTATATATAATATATATTATATAATATATAATATAATATATAATTATATATTCTATATTATTATATATAATATATATTATATAATATATAATATAATATATATATTTAATAATATATAATATATAATAATATAATATACAATATATATTATATATTATATTATATATTTTATATAATATATTGTATATAATATAATATATATAATTCTCAAATTCTTCCCAAAAAAATCAAAGTAGAGGGAATAAATACTTCCAAACTAATTTTATGAAGCTGTCGTTACCCTGATACTAAAGCCTGAAAAAGACACTACAAGAAAATTATAGGCCAATGTCTCTAATAAACAGAGAGGCAAACTCCTCAACCAAATATTAGCAAACTGAATTCAAGAATGCATTAAAGGGATTATTTACCATGATCAAGTGTGATTTCCCCCTGATATGCAGGGATGGTCAAACATATGCAAAGCAATAGATGTCACACACCACATTAACAAAATGGAAGATAAAAATCTTATCACCATCTCAATAAGTATAGAAAGAAAGCATTTGACAAAATTCAACAGATTAGGAATATAGGGAATGTACCTCAACACAATGATGGCCATATATGACAAAACCATAGCTAACATTATTCTCAAAGGTGAAACATTGTTAACTTTTCCTCCAGGATCAGGAACAAAACAAGATGCCCATTCTCACCACTTCTTTTCAATATAGTACTTGAAGTCCTAGCCAAAGCAATTAGGCAAGAGAAAAAAAAGTAAAAGGAATCCGAATAGAAAAGAAAGAAGTGAAAATGTCTCTACTTGCAGATGGTATGATATTGTATAGAAAAAATCCTAATGGCTCCACGAAAAAAGTGTTAAAGCTGATAAATACACTTAGTAAAAATTAAATAAAAAACAAACCACAATTGATTGGCACAATTCAACTAGAGAGATACACGTTGTTGTTGTTTTTTCTCATGGCAGTTCATTTTATTGCTAAAGAATTAAGCCACTAGAAAGTGGCTCTTTCTTCCAAGCTGAATCCAAAGCTATTTTGTACTTTTTCTTCTTTGTAATAAAAGCATTTCAGACTGACATTTTCCTCTGAGTACAGGTTTTACTGCAAGTCATCATAGCAGCCAGTAACAGAGCACTCGCTTTTAACCATTATACATTCTGCCCTTTATAGGCTTGATATATACTTGTAACAATATGTTTTGAAATTTCTGGAGAGCTGGAAAGTTATTTTTAATTAAAAATATAAAATATAGGGATTAAATTATAACAAACACCCAAAACACCCATACTCTTTTCGTTTTGTATTAATAACTGCTTTTGTCACAAATGCATTTACATGTATGCACACTCACACATGTGTGCATGCATACCCACATACGTATTTTAAAACTAAAATTAAAGTCCCTTTTAATTAGCCCTGCAGTTTTTCTTTTCTCAAGATAAACATTACCATGAGTTTGATGTGTCCTTTATAAATCCATTTATTTTTATATTTTAACATTTATATAAATATTCATAAGCAACATATATAATTGTTTTAAAGTTATCATAAATCAGTATTACACATGATATACAGTTCTGCCTTTTCCTTATTTACTATGCTTTTAATACCTATCCAATCTGACCAATATAAAATGAATTCATCCATTTTATCTGACATAAAGTGTCCGTCCTATGAATATTCAAAATTTTATAAATATATTACCCTAATGATGGGTATCTAGGCTGTTTAAAAGTCTTATGATTAGAAACAGTGTTACAACCAGCTTCTTTGGAGACACACACAAGAGACTTTCTCTGGGCAACATAACTGGAGATGGAATGGCTCCCTGAGGTTTGCTGTTATGTCACCCATGCTGCAGTGTATTTAACATACAGGTTACCTGCATCTTGCACCCGCATTAAGAAAACTTTCTTCTTTTGCCTGCGTTGATTGCCATCATTAAAAAAGAAATTGGTTACCCATGTGACAACACCATGTTTTTAAATCTTCCATTACTACTCTCTTTCCATCAATGTCTTATTATGTTCTAAACAGCTTTTACTCTACATATTTTGATGCTTTGTCATCTGGTATGGCATCAGTATATGACAACTTGCTTTTTCACATAGAATGCATTTAACTTTGGATTTTCTGTATTTTGATTTCACCATTATAGTCATGCTTTCTTATCTGTTGGCATATCTTTCCTCATTCTTTTATTTTAACCTAAGTCACTTTATAAAAGTGTCTTTTATTTATATCCATAAATCAATATTTTTTGAAACATGCTTTCCCCATTCTCTCTTCTACTTTCTTTTTCTTATGTATTTCATCTTTTTTGTGCTGCTGTGTCTCAGCCCACCATCCTTATGCTATTTCCACCCTTTTCTCTTCAATGCACCATATCCTTGTGTCTTCCTGCATTTTGAGACAATCATTATTCTGAACTCACCTTCATTTGTATTCCTCATGGCACCTCTATGTTATTATTTATTTTTTATTCCATCATTTCACATATACTTACCGGAAATCTACTATGTTACAGACATTTTTGGACCCCTGAGATATGATAAACAATATAAATATATAAATGCAAACCTCAGTGAGTGCTGTAGGAAAAATGATATAGGGTGTTTTGAAAGAACAAAAGCAGACCAGCTGACAAAGTCTGGGAAGGAAACTTTAAATGCCATTTGGGATGATAGCTAAAGGATATGATGAATAAACGAAGAGATAGAGAAAAGGAAGGAGTAGTATGGCAGAAAAGGAAAACTTCAGGTTCAAGTACCCTGAGGTAGAAGTAAATATGGCAGAACTTTTGGGAAATCAAAAGTTCTATGTGGTTGAAATACAGCAAGCAAGGATGGACAAAGAACAAGATGAAGCTACAGAGGTACACCAGCATCAGGTCACACGTGGAATTCAAGGCAGTATTAAAGATTTTTTGCCTTTTTTTTTTTTTTTTTTTTTTTTGAGAAGGAATTTCATTCTTGTTACCCAGGCTGGAGTGAAATGTCGCGATCTTGGCTCACCGCAACCTCCACCTCCCGGATTCAAAACTATTCTCCTGCCTCAGCCTTCCTGAGTAGCTGGGATTACAGGCATGCGCCACCACGCCCGGCTAATTTTGTATTTTTAGTAGAGACAGGGTTTCTCCATGTTGGTCAGGCTGGTCTCAAGCTCCTGATCTCAGGTGATCTGCCCGCCTCAGCCCCCCAAAGTTCTGGGATTACAGGCGTGAGCCACCGCGCCCGGCCTGTTTGCTTATTTTAAGAGAAATAAGATTTTATGCAACAGTTTTAGTTAAGCAGATAGTTAACGAAATCAGATTTACATTTTTAAAATACCACTCTAGCTTCAAGATTGAGAACAGATTTGAGAGGACAAAAATGTATTCAGAGACTCACTGCAGTGGTACAGGTGAAAGAAGATGATAGCCTAAATACGTGCTATAGGGAGAATTAAAAGGGAGATTCAAAAAAATGTTTAGGCAGTAAAACTGACAAAACTGTTAATAATGACACCTAATGCTTTGTGTTGCTGAGCTATGCACATTCAGTTACAAAGTGATGTGCTCATTGAAGCAAGCCCAGTACTCTATTATCCCAGGCACAACTGTATCTGGGGGGAAACCCTACATTGGCTCAAGTTTCTGTTAAGAGTGTCACAGATACTTCTTTTATGATTTAGCAAAAACTTGCAACAATAAAAAGAAGGATAATAACTAATTCATGCCAATTGGTTGTTATGGCTTGCATTGTCAGAATGACTACTGATTTCCCAGTAAATGTTTATAAAATGCATGCCCTAAAAAGTCAAATTCTTCAGAATGCCTGCAGAAATGTTACCAGGAACACAACTGGGAAGAAAACTGTCACAGACTTCTTGGAGGGCAATTGGACCATATGTATAAAAATGTTAAAAATTTGTATGCCTTTGATCCATTCAACTGTCTTCTAGGTGTGTTTGATTTTTCACAAAGTAGGCATGCATGCAAAGAAATGTCACCTTCTTCAGAATGTTGTAAATAATAGCAAAATTATGAGAGCAATTATTCCAAGTAAGCACTGATTCTAGGCAGCAGAAATGATCCTCACGCACTAGAAAGGAGGCATTTCTGCATTGAGCCAGGAATAAATTGAATCTTCTCTCTGAAATATCAGTCTATCTTTCAGATCTTCATTTTTTATCCATATGGCTTTTAAAATGCTACTCGGGAGGGGTTTAACCAAATCCTACCAAAACTTTACTTTCAGTGTACAACTATATAGCAAAGTTAGATATGAAAGTTCTTCCTAAAGTCTCAAATAATATTCCTTTTCTTTTTCTTTCTTTTTTTTTTTTTTTTTTTTTTTTTTGGTTTTATGAAGGAATCCCCATCTGGCTTTTCCAATTTCTCACTCCATTGGCAATCTTTCCAATCTTGGGTAAAATTTCACAGCCTTTTAAATGTGTACATAGTGGCTGCCAGAGGCCTATAACCATTGTTGTTCAAAAATAGAAAAGAATAGATAGGAGTAGTCTTTGATTTCCAGCATCCTCATCTTTTAACTCTTTTCTCCTCAGAGGAGACCAATGCTTAATAATCTCTATTTCCACCATATAAACTGAAATCAGTAAAACATCAGAAACTTTCCTATTCACATCACAGTATATTAATCCTCCCAAGGAGCATGTATATTTTAACAAGGATCAAAGTCATAAGTTTAAGTGCTTAGAATAAAATTTTGAACATCAGTGGACTTACAGCTGGGAAAAGTGCCTACCTATTCAAAAGAGTAACCCATTTTTTTCTAATAAAATATTCCAGAGAGCCTTATGCATCAATTCATTTTTCAATGACCTTGTAGTGCTCTTCTGAGATAAAATTTAAGCTTAATTTTGGGAGAGATTAACATTGTATAGGGTGTCTTGCAATATTCGGAATTGGAGTTGTACCAAGTCAAGGTAAAATACTTAGAAGCATTGTCCTATGTTTTTTCTCATAGAACTTGTTTCGTTGCCCACTTATATCCAAAGCATGTCTAAATGTATTCATTTATTTATCTTCTTTTCACATAAATTGGCTTCACACAAGTTAGGATTTAAGAGATAATTTTAGGAAAATTAGGATATTAAATAAAAATAAATATATATATTTATTTAAGCCATTCCTTAGGAATTCTTAATGAAGGTAATAGTAAAAGGTAATTAGAAAATGTTATCTTTCAGATAACTATCTACGTAAAAGTATTGATGATTCATAAAATGATTCAGTGTGCTTAACTATAGATGGGTATTTATATAGAGAGCTCATATTTGAAATGTCAAAGAAGATCTGGGTATGAAAAACCAAATGATGAAAAGAAATATTATACATAATGACAGCACAGCACTGCAGGAGAGTCAGTTTCCCAAAATTAAACAATGGATAAGATCAAGTAGTAAACTTTCCAAACAGCTGAAATAGATATTGTAAATTCTATTTGCTTCTTTCTGTAATAAATCTGCTAGAAATCTTTTGATGTAAAGTGGCAGAAAGGCTAAATCAGGCCTGATTCAGTAATAATCAAGGCAATGAGTAAAATTATACAACTAGGGCAAATGTTAGTTCTTGCTCTCTTTCCTTATGGTTTTCCAGGAGTTATCTGCCATAATTTGCCACACTTCGCCAAAGTTACATATTTAGCAGCCTCTATCATAAATTTTTTAAAGCCTATCCTCCTGAGGTTTCCTCTTAAAAAGGAGGAAATTTCTTTCCTAAAACCTCCTAGCAAGGCTTCCTTTGCATATCATTGACCTCACATGAATCAGAAATAAGAGTAACGAAAGATTTTTTTTTATTAAATGGAGAGAGTACTTCTTCAGAAGTAATCATAAGTATCTTACAGCATTAAAATAACCGACTTTTATAACAAAAAAAATTGCAGTCATTAAGACAGTATTAAAATACATAAAATGAGCCAGGCATGGTGGTGGTCCCCTCTATTCAGGAAGCTGAGGCAAGAGGATCACTTGAGCCTGGGAGTTTAAGGCTGCCGTGACTGCACTCCAGCCTGGGTGATGGAGTGAGACTCTGTCTCTTAAAAAAAAAAAGTATAAAACGTATTTGTTTAAGAGGTTAAGAGGAAGGACAGGGTAGTAAGGATTAAGCTTTAGGAATGTTCCTGCCAAAAATGACTAAAAATAATTTACAACTTAAAGAGAAAGATTAGGGTATTTGGAAATAACTGTTTGTGGAGAATATGGAATACTACAATTTCTGATCATGGCAGATAAATATAATGAAAGCTTAAACAACTGTAGATTTTTAAATACACCCACCAAAAATCATTTACCATAGATAATCTCAAATTACTGTTACCTTTGATCACATTAGTAAAATGTATAACTAAGAAAATTTACGAATAAGATTAAGATGGAAGCTTTTAAAATTAAGAAATGACAGATGAGAGAGCTAAGAAAAATACATGTCAAAAAGTATTTTTTTTGTGTGGAAAAAATGAAAACCAGATAAAACTCAAGGAAACTTTGAAAGCAGCAAAAAGTCTACTCCAGGCTGAGAGAAAATGTTGGCAGGTTGCTGTTGTATCTGCTTTGTCTACCTTAGTTTTTTATTTCCCCAAAAGTGTCAAAAATGATGTTTCTGTATGTAAGAGAGAAAGAAAGAACTAAATCTGGTCAAATTACATATTTACAGAAAACAGCCTATCTATGAATCTAAAATGAAAAAGAGTTTCCCTGAAAGGCATAGATATGGAGGCAGAGGGTGACACTGATTACTTTTTTTGGATAAAATAATACGGCTGCCATTTGTGCCTGGAACTGTGATAAATGGTTTAAAGTGCATTATTTCTTTTAGCGCTCATGCTAGCCGACAGTTACTCCCATCGTATAGATGGTAAATCTAAAGCTCAGAGAAGTTAAATAACTTTATCAATTTTGCAAAACTAACAAGCAATGAAGTCAGGATTGCAGCCAACGTATACTTTACTCCAGGGCCTGCTTTTCTCTATTTCCTCATGCTGAAAAAGCACTGGCAAGAAGAAATTTTATCATGAATACTTACATTCCTAGTATTGTCTATAGAGTCTGAAATGAATCTTCTAAAACAGGAATTTTAAATATTATCATCAAGAGTACCCTTGAAGTCCCAAGCCTATAGAATATTGAGTTATGATGACAGAGAAGTGCCATAGGAAAAAAAATCCTGAAACACATTTGTTCTCTGGGAGGAATTCTTTACCTGGGAAAAAAATATGTCATCCAAAGAAGAGGAATCCAAATAATCCACTGGGCAGAGGCCTTTTGATCTCCAGAAATAAGTATTTTGAGGTATCTTCTTCCTCTTTAGATGCTGAGCATGGGCTCATCGTGGCCCAACTCTATAGAAATAGCACTTTGGGAGGCCAAATTGGGTGGATTACTTGAGGTCAGGTACAATTTCTATAGAAATACAGAGGACTTAGCTGAGTCCCACATGGTCCTGTCTTGGCTTAGGTTGACATAACAAAGTAACATAGACTGGGTGGTTTAAGCAACAGAAATTTACTTTTCACAGGTCTGGAGGCTGGAAAATTCAAGATCAAGGTGCCAGCAGGATAGGTTTCATTCTGAGGACACTTCTCTCGGAAGGTCTGAGGACCTCCTCACTGAATGCTCACATGACCTCTTCTTTGTGCAGAGAGAGAGAGAGAGAGAGAGAGCGAGAGAGAGATCTTCCTCTAAGAAGAGGAAGGAGATATTAGAAGGCCTCTTCCTAATAGTATCAGATTAGGGCCCCACCCTTAGGACCACATTTAACTTTACTTATCCCCTAAAGGCCTCATGTCACAATACAGTCACCACACTGGGGATTAGGATTTCAACACACGAATTATGGAGATACACAAGTTTGTCTATAGCAGTCCCAGATTTATGTATGTGGGTACATTGATTTTTTTTTTTTTTTTTTTTTTTGAGAAGGAGTCTCCCTGTCGCCCAGGCTGGAGTGCAGTGGCGCGATCTCGGCTCACTGCAGGCTCCGCCCCCGGGGTTCAGGCCATTCTCCTGCCTCAGCCTCCCGAGTAGCTGGGACTACAGGCGCCCGCTACCTCGTCCGGCTAATTTTTTGTATTTTTAGTAGAGACGGGGTTTCACTGTGTTAGCCAGGATGGTCTCGATCTCCTGACCTCGTGATCCGCCCGCCTCGGCCTCCCAACGTGCTGGGATTACAGGCGTGAGCCACCGCGCCCGGCCACATTGATTTCTGTTAATATGATCCTGAGAGTAGTAGAAGTGCCAAGCAGGTAAGACCTTATACAGAAATATTTTGATTAAAACTGACATTGTTAATTTAAGAAAAGTATATATCCTGTGATAAAAGAGGCTTCTAAGTAAAATGGTTACTTGAGGAGGATGTCTAAAGCCCCCATTTGGTCTTTACAAGTGACAGAATAAAAACACGGCAGAATGAAGAAATAACTAGGGTCATTTTATTTTTTAAAATTTAGAGGAAGTCAAGCATAGTACAAGTGGGAACAAAATGAAGAAAAACACATAGGACAAATTATCAACTCCATAATGAAAAAAAAAAACTGTCAAAAGAAATACAGAGAAGAGTTATTGGCAAAAGTCATTTTGAGCTTCTACTATAGGAAAGGCTAAAGAATGAGGCTGGCCCACGGGGAAATGAGACCACAACTGTATAACGCGTAGATTTCCTTTCCTTGCCATGTAACTACACTATTCTGAAGTAACTGTGCTGGAAGATCAAATCATTTTTGCAATCTTTTCAAGTCAAATGGCAAGATAACTCTTTAAGGAACAATTTATCTCTCAAGCGGCAGGAGTAGTATCAAAGAGTCTGGACACAGCCACAAAAGGCACCTGGAGTAATGTCCAGGCCAAAGTAAAGAGAGAATCAAGATATACTGGATTAATTTCTTATTGTCACTGTAACAGATTTCCTCAAACTGAATGGCTTAAAATAATGCACATTACAGTCTTAACAGTTCTCTAGGTTAAAAATCTAACACAAGTCTCACTTGGCTAAAATTAAGGTGTTGCCGGCCAAGCAAATTTTCCTTGTGAAGGCTCTAGGGAAGAATCTGTTTCCTTGGTTTTCCTAGGTGAATTCTCAGCTCCTAATCCTCTTCCTCTATCTTCAAAGCCAATAATGGTCCATCAAATCTTTCTTATAGAGTATCACTTTGACCACCTCTCTTGCCTCCTTCTTCCACTTCAAAAACCCTTGTAATGGCCAGGCATGGTGGCTTATGCCTGTAATCCCAGCATTTTGGGAGGCCGAGGTGGATTACTTGAGGTCGGGGATTCAAGACCAGCCTGGCCCACATGGTGAAACCCCGTCTCTACTAAAAATACAAAAATTAGCTGGGCGTGGTGGCAGGTGTCTGTAATCCCAGCTACTTGGGAGAGGCTGAGGCAGGAGAATCGCTTGAACCTGGGAGTGGAGGTTGCAGTGAGCCGAGATCGCACCACTGCACTCCAGCCTGGGTGACAGAGCAGGACTCCATCAAAAAAAAAAAAAAACAAAACAAAAAAACACCTTGTAATTATAGTAGCTCTTTCCAGATAATCCAGGAAAATCTCTCTATTTTAAGGTCAGCTGATTTGCAACTTTAATTTCACCTGCAACCTTAATTCGACATTTGCCAGGTAACAAATGTATTCACAGATGCAAAGATTAGGGTGTGAACATCATGCAGGGAGACAGTATTTTGCCTACCACAGGGGTTAAATTCAAATAGAGAATGTACAAAAATTTAAGCACATATTTTAACTACTCTCAGTCACAGGTTTACACTCACTCCCCTGACAAAATAATGAAAGTTAAATGCAACATAACCCTGCTTGCAACTAAAAAGAAGAAATATAGTTGCACCCTGTGAAAAATAAAGGAATTCAAGAAAAATTATAGACATTATATTGAACAAAAATGGGACCCAGACAGATGAGAAGCATATAAATAGCAACATACAAACCTTTGAAATATTAAAAAAAAATAAAAGATGTATTAATCTAGTGTCAGTAGGATGAGGAAGAGTTAGAGGAAAGGAGATTTACTACAGAAAACAAAAGTGCATTCTAAATAAGATCTACTTTTGCTCTCAATAAAATTTAAAATATAAAATAAGAGATGACAGATGAAATAAGAAAGCAAACTGAGATAAAAGGGAACTTGATGTAGGCAGGAATAAAAAAAGTAAGATGATTGAGATATAAAATGTTTTAAATAAGTTAAAAATGCCACCACAATATTATAAAAAGTACTAGCATCAGAACTAAAAAATGTTTCTGCTGTTTGAAAGAAAAGTCAGAACTTTTATTATAATGCAGATGAACAGAACAAAGTTCCCATTTTAGAATCTAATGGAAAGCATAAAACTCATCCATGAAAAGATCACAGCACTTACAATTTTGAATAAATTTCAAAGTTCATGGATTCCCCCCACCAAAAAAAGATAAATTATGGACCTCAAAGGAAGAATCTCTGATCTAGTAAAAGAAAATGAGCTATAATTCAGGTCCAGAATTAAATAAGGTCTTTGTACATTAATCGCTGATGATATCTTATATCTAGAAAACCCCAAAGACTCAATCAAAAAACTCTTAGATGATAAATAAATTCAGGAAAGTTTCAGAATACAAAATCAATGTAGAAAAATCAGTAGCATTTTTATACACCAATAACTATCAAGCTGAGAACCAAATCAAGAAGACTATCTCATTTACAATAAATACAGAAAAAATAAATAAAATGCCTAGGAGTATACTTAACCAAGGAAGTGAAAGATCCCTGCAAAGAAAACTATGAAAGACTAATGAAATCTACTGGGCAGAGGCCTTTTGATCTCCAGAAATAAGTATTTCTTATTACTTGGCACAAACAAATGGAAAAACATCCTATGCTCATGGTCAGAATAACTAATATTGTTAAAATGACCATACTACCCAAAGCAATCTATACATTCAATGTCAAAATACCAATGTCATTTTTCAAAGAATTAGGAAAAAAATTAATTCATATGGAACCAAAGAAGTGCCAAAATAGTCAAAGAAATCCTAAGTAAAAGAAAAAAGCTCAAGGCATCACATTACCTGACCTCAAATTATACTATACAGCTATAGTAACCAAAATAGCACAGCATGGTACTGATATAAAAATAGAAACATAAATCGATGAACAGAATGGAATACTCACAAATAAAGCTACATATCTAACTGATCTTTGAGAAAGTTGACAAAAACATACACTGGAGAAAAAGAAAACCTTTTCAATAAATGATACTATAAAAACGGGATTGCCATATGGAGAAGAATGAAATTAGACCCCTATCTCTCATCATATAAAAAAAGAACTCAAAATGGATTAAAGACTTAAGTGAAAGAGGTGAAATTATAAAAATACTAGAAGAAAACCTAGAGAAAATTCTTCTGGACATTGGTCTTGGCTAAGAATTTATCACTAAGACCTCAAAAGTACAGGCAACAGAAACAAAAATAGACAAATAGGACTCAATTAAACTAAAAAGCTTCTGCACAGCAAAAGAAAGAATCAGCAAAGTGAACAGACAACCAGCCTGCAAAATGGAAAAAAATATTTGCAAACTATGCAACCAACCAACGGGGAACTAGTATGTAGAATTTATAGGGAACTCAAACAACTCAACAACAACAACAATGAAAAAAACACCCAAATAACCCACTAAAATGTGGGCAAAGGACAGAATAGACACCTTTTTTTGAGCCAGAAACTGCTGTAAAAACAGCAGTTTATACACATTTGTTTCCTTCCCATGGTTGTTTCCTTCTCAGCGTAGGCACAGAGCCTTTGAGAAGGGCAGCCTCTGAACAAGGGAGCCAGGAACGCAGGTAGGACATGTCTTTTGCAGGCATGTTCAGCCCTAGCAGGATGCAATCCTTCAAGCTGGAATTCCACTGGGTATTTGAGAGGGACCAAGGTAATGGGTAGAGAGGAAGCCTTCAACAGGACTCACATCTTGGTCCAGGCCTCCTCTCTCACTATCCAAGTCCATTCCAAGTTTTAGGACCCTGGGGGGCAACAATCAGGCCCACCCACTTCAACAGGGACAGATTCTTCAATCTGTGCCCAGTTCACACACACCTGCTTCCGCTGGTCGCACAGTTAAAGAGAATTAGCCTTATGGTAAGAGACAGACCACTTTCTCTCTGCCCCTCACTGGCACCTCTCTTCAGCATCTTCACAGGAACCGCTGGGAAGATGGAGGCCTGCCTTCTCAGAATAGGTACTTTTAAAAGAAGACATAAAAAGGACCAACAAAATATCAAAAACAGTTAAACATCACTTATCATCAGAAAAATGCGCATTAAAACTACAACGAGATATCATCTTACACTCATCAGAATGGCTATTATTAAAGTTAAAAAATAGATATTGGCAAGGATGCAGGCAAAAGAAAATGCTTTCATACTGTTGGTGAGAAGGTAGATTACTACAACCTCTATGGAAAACAGTATGGAGATTTCTCAAGGAACTAAAAACAGAACTGGCATTCAATCTAGCAATCCCATTACTGGGTATCTACCCAAAGGAAATAAAATCATTATATAAAAAAGATACTTGCAATTGCAGCACTGTTCTCAACAGCTAAGATATAGAATCAACTTAAGTGTCCAACAATGGGGATAATTGGACTAAAAAATGTGGGATATGTAAATCCCAGGTTTGGACAAGGTCAGCCTGAGAAGCTACTTCATGAAATAAGGCCCTGATATTTGGTGTCCTTTGGACTATCTGACCCACCAAACCATGGAGAGAAACGATTCAATCTCCCTGCCTCTCCTAGCGTCTTTTACTGTCTACCAGCCCTGAAGAAGCAGGATCATGCAATAAACCTCTTCCTTTTCTTGGCCAGTTAGAGCACCCCATATATACAACTCTATCTCCTAATCTACTGGGAGCTGTTAGGGGCTAAATTGTGCTCCTGTAAAATTTATATGTAAAGTCCTAACCCACAGTACCTCAGAATGTGAATTTCTTTGGAACTAGGGTCTTTACAGAGGTAAACAAATTAAAATGAGATAATTAAGGTGAGCCCCTATTCAAAATGACTAGTGTCCTTATAAAAACAAAAAATTTGAACACAGAGACATGCACAGAGGGAAAATAACATAAAGAAACACAGGGAAAAGATAGATACCTGTATGCCAAGAAGAAATACGTAGAACAAATCTATCCCTCAAAGCCCTCAGTAGGAACCAACTCTGTCAAAACCTTGATTTTGGACATCTAGCTTCCAGAACTGTGAAACGATAAATTTATATTATTTAAGCCACTCAGAATACCACAGAGTAGCTTCCCAATTCTTCATATTCTCTCATCTGCTGATTGGATAATGTGAAGTGAGCTTATGGCATACACACTTGTTGATTCCTTACAGTATGCCCTTCCTTTCAACCTTCCTTCTCTTCAGATCTAAGCAGAGAGTGAGTAAGTCCTGACAGCCAAATCCCTGTGCTTGAGTTATTAAAGGCTGCAAGCTATGTCCTCAAATGAATACCTTCTTTTTCTATTTTGCTACACATTTTGTCTTTAACTTCTAACCAGCCTTCTTAGAAAAACAATTCAATAAATATATATTATAGATATAAATGTAAAACCTAAATTTTTAGAGTACCTTCATTCAAGAGTCAGTCTAAGAGAAGATGCTATGGCATAGATAATTCTAATACACTATGATAAGGGCTAAAGTAGAGGTATGTATAAGTTCACCCAAAGAAGGTGATAAGCAACTCTGCTCAGAGCAGCGCTATGGTGAAGGACATAGACATCCTTTAAAAAGTAAGTTCAGGAGGCCGGGTGTGGTGGTTCACGCCTGTAATCCCAGTACTTTGGGAGGCCAAGGCAGGTGGATTATGAGGTCAGGAGATTGAGGCCATCCTGGCTAACACAGTGAAACCCTGTCTCTACTAAAAATACAAAAAATTAGCCAGGCTTGGTGGTGCGTGTCTGTATTCCCAGCTACTCTGGAGACTGAGGCAGGAGAATCTCTTGCACCCGGGAGGTGGAGGTTGCAGTGAGCCAAGATCGCGCCACTCCACACTCCAGCCTGGGAGACAGAGCGAGACTCCATCTAAAAAATAAAAAATAAAATAAGTTCAGGAATAGATACCAAGACTGTAGACCTGCAGGCAAGTGGTGAGGTTGGAATGCAAAGAGGGGGTACAGGAAGGAGCAATGGGTGAAAGTTCAAGAAATAAGTGTGGATAGAGAGGTGAAATGGCAAAGAGTGAAACGTCACAGAATTGTGATTCCTCATGTCTGTGAAATTCAAAGTGAAAACATGAGCACGTCAATACCTAGCACTTGGTAAGCAAGCAGTAAATGTTAAGTAGTTCTCAATATTCATGATCTGTCCTGATGTGCACTCTTAAAACCCAGAGCACTCAAATATTGACATTCCATTACCATATTTAGCTAGTACTGTTAAAATTACTTTTCCTTTAAGGAAAGAAGAACCTGCCTAAAAACGAGACAGATATTTCTTAAAATTAATCTATGTATGTGTCTCATAAGTAATATTTAGTACTTTTTTCTCCAATTTTAAACTATATATACATATATAGTGTATATATATAATATACCATAGTGATATACTACTATACACTATATAGTGTATACTATAGACATATAGCACTATAATGTAGAATATGTACTTGTATAAAATGTACATATATAATGCATGCAATATATACATGTATATATAATATATAGTTTAGTATATTATATGACAAATTATATATAGTATAAGGTATATTAAATGTATTATAGTCAGATGATATATATACTATTCTACTTCACTATTTTTCTGCTGCTTGATTTTTAAAATAACATTAACATTATGCTTTTAAAATTTATTCTTGTTGATATCTGTGCTATGATTCATTTATTTTTACTGCTGCTTCCAGTTCCACTCTATGAATATACCACAGTGGGGCTTCAACTATATCATTAATGTTTTACTCCTAAAACTGAGTTGGGCATACACAGGTGTTAACTATATTATTCCTTAAGATTCTTTGTAAGTAGTAAATATTTTCTAATAAAGCTAAGAGTAAAAAAGTAGGTTATCCAATGTGTGGTTTTATTCGGTCTTCCATGCAGACAAAATCATGTACTGCTCAATCTTGTAGAGTCCACCTTGGACTTATCAGATTTATCTTGGGAGAGATTACTTGAGCTAACTGCCTTGTAGTAATCATTCTACAATATAAACATACATCAAATCATCACATCATATACCTTAAATATATGCAATTTTTTTTGTAAATTATACCTCAATAAGCCTGGAAAAATAAATAAAAGTTAAATAAAATAGTATCGTGTGCTTCTGACATCATTGGAGCTAAGATGATGTGGAGCTTGATTTCAGATGGCAGAGGCAGGGAAGGGAGTAAAGTAGGCAAGGTAAGCTAAACTGAAAATAAAGTGGATACTATCAAAGTCCTATAATAAATCATATTTAAAACAGTGACTTTTTTCTAACTAGTTATATTCTATTTTTCCTTGTTTTTCAATTTAAGTAAATTAGTTTCATATGTTTTTCTATAAAAATATTTAATGTTCTCAAATTGACATTTATCAGGAAATTCTTAAAAGGAATATAAAGAAAAGTAAATTTAATACTATAATACTAAAAGTTAAATAATGTTCATAAGATTATAAAACACCACTTGGTTATAGAGAAGCTCTTTGTAAGATTAAATTCAACATGTCCAACAAATGTACTTGTGACATTTCAAGCCAAATAAGTTTAGTAACAGGAGAGAAGGAAAGAAAAAGAACAAGGGTGATAAAGACAAGTGAGAGAGAATTTAACAATGCTCCCACCAAATTTGGATCTGTCTAGCTGATGTATTTATTTGCTTGCCTCTTGTTGAGGATATTACATAGTGCACGTGATTTTGGCCATTATTTGCCTGATTATTGTTTTGCTTTGCTTCCTCAATTTGCTTCACAATGAAGCATTTATTATCTTAATTTAATTTACATGATGATCTCTATCTTTCAGAATGATTCTTGATTCTTAAATTTCCTTTCACCTGTATTCACAACTAGTGGCATACCAAAAATCTCCACCCACAAAGAGAGACAGTTCTCTCTCTTGTTCCAGAATGCTAGCCAAAAATTAATTTCAAAGAACAAAAAAGGAATCATTCTCTTTGGGTTTTATCTTAATAGAATTTCATATCACAGTCACATCTTAGTGTGATGAGATTTTCTGTAAAGCCTTATGCTCCACATTTTTGAAACGCTCCTCTGAGAATGTTTTATGGGTATTGAACTGCACCTACAAATTTAATGACTCTGTGTGTGTGTGTGCACGTGTGTGTGTAAAAGCTAAATGTTTATGCTTTCAAAACAAGTCCCAGTATATCATAGAATGAACTCCTAACAATTACAGGAAATTTATTTTAGTTGCTATAAGAAACAATCTCTTCCTTTCCTCCAGTGATGATGAGTGTGTTCCATGGAGCACTAACAATTTCCCAGCTTATCTTCAGCCTTGTTTATGTTCCAAGCTAATGTACGTGGCAATGCAGATGTCTCTTTTCCTTTTTGGATTTAATAACTTACTCATAATATTTAATCAAAACTAGACACTACGTCAATGGATTTCATCGCAAACTGTGCTCGTCTTCCCATTAACTTCAACAGGCATTTTTTTAATGGCAGGAGGAAATAGATGCAGCAGAAAAAAAAACTGAGGACACTATCCTAAATCACAGAGCTTTGCCCAAAATTACAAGTCAAGAAATGATAAACACAGAAAGATCGGAAGCCTGATTTTTGGCAATACCCATCAAAAAGTCTTAAAATGATGCATGTCCTTTCACCTAGCAATTCCACTCCTAGAAATTGATTTTAAGGATATAAACCTAGATACACAGAAATACAACTATGGGGGTATTCATTACAGCCCTCTTCATAGGAATGAAGAATCTGAAATAACTAATGTCCAATGGAAGGGTCTTGGTTCAATAATAGTTTCTCTATAACCTGTATAATATAAAGCCAAACGTGTGTTATAGAAGGAAATTTAATGATAAGTAGAAATGGCATAGGAACTGCTAATTGTCAGATTTATGAGCCTTTATTCCCCTCTAAAAGAACCTTGACTTTACTTGGAATGGAAAAAAGGCCAGTTAAAAATAAAAAGACTAATCCTTTAACAATATGTAAGTGAATACTGTTTGATGAGCTTCCAGAAGAACTTTTTCAAAAGAGGCATATACGGATTCCATCCTAATCTCCTTTTTTTTTTAAAATTATACTTTAAGTTTTAGGGTACATGTGCACAACGTGCAGGTTTGTTACATATGTATACATGTGCCATGTTGGTGTGCTGCACCCATTAACTCGCCATTTAACATTAGGTATATCTCCTAATCTCCTTTTGTCCCATTGCTCTTTCAGCCTGGAAAGCCCACTTTATGGCTGGAGTTGTAGTAGCTCCTTTGCGACCTAGAGAATGGCAATCACATGTAAAAGATGATGAGGTAAAATTATAAAGAAGGCCAGGTGCAGTGGCTCACGCCTGTAATCCCAGCACTTTGGGAGGCTGAGGCAGGTGGCTCATTTGAGGCCAGGAGTTCGAAACCAGCCTGGGCAACATGGCAAAACCCCATCTCTACTAAAAATACAATAAATTAGCTAGCATGGTGGAGCATGCCTGTAGTTCCAGCTACTAGGGAGGCTGAGGTGGGAGGGCAGCTTGAACCCGGGAGGCGGAGGTTGCAGTGAGCTAAGATCACACATGCAAGTCTCTGGAGTCATCATTTCAGGCATGAAATATCCACCTCTGGAATTCTTTATATGAAAGAAAAAACTTCTTAATTCAAGCAACTATTATTACATCTCTGTTAATCTAATAAAATTGAATAAAATTTTGAACTGAAACAACAGACTACACCAAAAAGTAAAAATAGAATTCATTTTCTGTAAATAGTATATATGCACATATATGCATAACTGTATGCATATATGTCTGTGCATATATTTAATATATATTTTATATACACACTAAAAATAATAGGATTTGTATGAAAATGTTGATAGTGGTTAAAGAGACTATAAGTAACTTTTTATTTCATAATTTTTATTATATATAGAAGATATCCTATAATGAAGTCACTATACATAAAATATAGATAATATATTAAATATAAACATAATTTGAAAATAATAGGGGTTTTTACATCCTTATTGAGATTATCAAAGAAATCACTATCAGTAAATCAAAAGTCTGATTAGCCTGTTTGCATGTGTAAAAAAAGTTTGCATTAAAATTAATATAAGAAAATACTAGAATAACTATCAGTTTAGAGATCAGGAAAACTAGAAAAGAGAATTTTTGCAAGGTGGGCTAAGGGTTGAATAATAAACCACACTCCTACTAAATTCTGTAATAAATGCTCTGGATGGGAGGAATGCTAGGGAACAAGAATCCCAAGGCAGCACTGGTAACTGTATTTGTTTAAGGGGATGAGTTAAGTTACCTGCTCAGACAGAAGAGCATGTACTATGGTTTGAAGTTTTCTCTAGAATAGAACTGTGAGAAATAAATTTCTGTTGTTTATAAATTACCCAATCTCAGTTATTTTGTTATAGCAGCAGTGAACAGACTAAGACAACATGCTAATAGTGAAGGATCATTGTTGCAGCTGCCTTGGGACTGCCAACACAAAACATGGAAAATATTTTGGTTGACTGTAAAATATCTGTTATAAGTCTGCCTTCCCTTTCAGCTCCTCTTCAAACACACTACTGTAATATAAATGTCTATGATCAAACTTTGCAAGTTCTCATTTTCTTGGTGTGAAGAATTTAAACAAAGAATTCACGTGATCTGACTGAATCCATCTCTAGTACTAGAAATATACTAATATAGACCTATTTTATAAGACAGAGAAAAATGTAAAAGGTATTGTATGTTTAAAATAAAAAATTCATAAGTAGAGTTCTGGTTCCAAAATAGCAGCATGGAAGCAAGCTAGCTTCACTTCCCCAACAAAAATAAAAATAAAAAAACAGACACAGCATTGAGATTATCACCAGCAATATCAAAGAACTCAAATATGAGAATGGGACAGTTCCCAGGGCCAGAGAGAAGTGAAAAAACTCAAAGCAGATGGTAAGAGAATTGGACTTCCATATCTGCAACACCCATCCCCTCAGTCTGCCCAGCACCAAGCACCCAAAAAATTTCTAACTTGTAATGTATACACTAGAAAAAGTGAGATAGAGGTAGACAATCAGCTTCCTCACCATCTTAGATTCCTATATTAGTCCATTCTCACACCACTATAAAGAAATACCCAAGAGTCGGTAATTTATAAAGTAAAGAGGTTTAATTGGCTCACAGTTCCACAGGCTATAAAGGAAGCATGGCTAGGGAGACCTCAGGAAACGTACATAGTAGAAGGCAAAGAGGAAGTAAGCACATCTTACATGGCCAGAGCAACAAGGAAGACAGAAAGGAGGAAGCTGCTACACACTTTTAAATAAGATTTTATGAAAACTCTATCATGAGAAAAGCACTAAGGGGATGGTGCTAAGCCATTAGAAACAGCCCCCATGATCCAATCACCTCCCACCAGGCCCCACCTCCAACTGGGGATTACAATTGAACATGAGATTTGGGTGGGGCACAGGTCCAAACCATATCAGTTTCCTGGAAGGAGACCTGTTCCTGCCTCAACCCATGGGAAGCATCATGAGTGTCTGAAGGGAGACATATTTCTGAGGACAGGCAGAGAGAAAGGGGGGAAATGGAACTACCATCTCCAGCCCTGGAAACTCTGCTCTATAACCCAGCCAAAGGAGATGCCATATCAGAATGATTGGCAACAAACTGTTGTTACGTATGTTCCACAGGTATCCTGGTCATGAACCCATAGGCCAGCCTTCCCACAATACCAAGATATCCCCTTTGGAATGTCCTCCATTTGGGATGGAAAGGACTGGGATCATTTACTAGAGCCAAGGCAAACCTGGGATCAAACTGCCATCTAGTGCCAAAGAGGAGGCAATGACCTAGCAGAAAATAAAAAAGAAAGAAATCAACAGATAAATTTAAAGAATCTCTAAGCAGACATATCCAGCTAAAAAAAAAAAAAAAAAAAAAAAAAAGCCAGACAGAGAAGACTGAAATAAATAATTAATTCCTCAATGCAAAGACATGAAACATCAGCTAATAGGAAATTATGACCTTCTCAAATGGACAAAACAAGGAACCAGTGACTTTCCCTGATGAGATAATGATATGAGAGCTCTCTAAGCAAGAATTCAAAATAGCAGTTTTAAGGATAGTCAGTGATCTCTAAGCCAACACAGAAAAGTAATTCAGAAACTTGTCAGAAAAACTTAATGAAACTTATAAATACATGGCTGAACTAAAAATTTATTAGAGCCTATCAACAGTAGAATGCATCAAGCAGAGGAAAGAATTAGTAAACTTGAAGATCAGCTATTTGAAAATATACAATCAGAAGAGAAAATGAAAGAATAAAAAGAAATGAAGATTATCTACAAGATATAGAAAATTACCTAGAAAAAAGAAGTCTAGGAATTATTGGTGTTCAAGAGAGAGCTGAACAAGAATAAGGTATGGAAAACTTATTCAAAGAAATAATAACAGAAAACTTCCCAAAATTTGAGAGAGATATAAACATTCATGTACAGGAAGTTTAAAGAACACCAAGCATATTCAACCCAAGTAAGGCTACCTCCAGGTGAATAATAAGCAAACTCTCCAAGGTCAAGGACAGAGAGAAGACGATAAAGTCAGCAAGAGAAAAAAAAAAGCAACTAACATATACAAGAGCTCCAATTTCATTTGGAAACTTCTCAAAAGAAATCATACATGCCAGGAGCGAATGGAACATCATTTTAAAGTGCTGGGTGAAAAAAACTCCATCCAAGATTGCTGTATCCAGGAAAGTTATCCTTCAAATATGAAAGAGAGATAAAGCATTTTCCAGACAAAAGCTGAGAGAATTCACCACCATCAGCGACATCTTACAAGAAATGCTAAAAGGAGTCCTTCAGTCTGAAAAAAAAGACCACAAAAATGCAAAAAAAAAAAAAAAAGAAAATATTTGAAGGTATAAAACACACTGGTAAAATTAAGTATGTAGACAACCACTGAATACTTTAATACTGCAATTGTAGTGTGCAATTCACTCATAACTCTAGTATGAAGTCTGACAGATAAATCTTCAAAACAATAATAGCTACTGTAACCCAATAGGAGATAGGCAATATAAAAATATGTAAATGGAGATAACAAAAATTGCAAATGTGGGGGGATGGAGTTAAAGTGTACAGATTTTATAGCTTTTTCTTTGTTTCTATTATTTTTAGTGATGTAAGACAAGTTGTTATTTTTTAAAATAATGTATCAGTAAGATGTTTTTTGTAAACCTCATGATAGCAAAATACAGAAACCTGTAATAGATGCACTGAAAACAAAAAGCAATGAATTAAAACATTAAACCAGAGAAAACCACTTTACCATAAAGGAGACAGTAAGAAAGAAAGTATACAAGTGAGGAATTACACAAGAATAGAAAAACAAGCAACGAAATGGCAGAAGTAAGTCCTTACTTATAAAAACACTTCATATAAATTGATTCATCATGACTGAGTAGGAATTACCTCTGGAATGAAAGAATGATTAAACATATGCAAATCAATAATGCAATACGTCGTATCAACAGAATAAAAGACAAAAACCATGTGATCATTTCAACTGATGCTGAAAAAGCATTGGACAAAAATAAGCATCCCTTAATAATAAAAACTCTCAAAGAACTGGGTGTAGAAGGAACATACCTAGATATAATAAAAGCCATATATTACAGACTTACAGCTAAGATAAAACTGAATGGGGAAAAAATACTGAAAGCTTTTTCTCTAAGATCTGGAACACGACAGAGGTGTCCACTGTCACCACTGTTATTCAAAATAGTACTGGAAGTCCTAGCTGAAGCAATCAGACAAGAGAAAGATATAAAGAGCACTGAAACTGGAAAGAAAGAAGTCAAATTATCCTTGTTTGCAGATAATATGACCTTATATTTGGAAAAACTTAAAGACTCCACAAGAAAACTATTAGAACTGGTAAATAAATTCAGTAAAGTTGCAGGATACAAAAATCAACACACAAAAACCAGTAGCATTTCTATATGCAAACCACTAACAATTTGAAAAAAAATTAAAATTCCCATTTACAATAGCAAAAAATAAAATTAAATATCTAAGAATTAACCAAAGAAATGAAAGATCTCTATAATAAAAACTATAAAAGACCAATGAAAGAAATGAATTGCACACCAAAAAATGAAAAGATATTCCATGTTCATGCATTGGAAATATCAATATAGTTAACATGCCCATAATATTCAAAGCAATCTACAGATGGATTCAATGAAATCTTTATCAAAATACAAATGACATTCTTCACAAAAATAGATCCAAAAATTCATGTGGAACCACACACAACACACACACACACACACACACACACACACAAACACACACACAATGTCAAAGCTACCCTAAGCAAAAAGAGCAAAAAATTAAAGGAATCACATTACCTGACTTCAATTATACCATGGAGTCATGATAAATGATCTTTCTAATGTATTCTTGAATTCAGTTTGCTGGTATTTTGTTGAGGATTTTTGTATCAATATCATCAGAGACACTGGCCTGCAGTATTCTTTTCTTGGTGTGTCTTTGTCTGGTTTTGATATCAGGGTACTACTTACCTTGTAGTATGAGTTTGGAAGTATTCCTTCCTCCTGTATTTTTCAGAATAGTTTGAGTAAGACTGGTATTAGTTCTTTCAATATTTGGTATGATACAGCAGGAAAGTCATCAGGCCCCAGGCTTTTCTTTATTGGGAGATGGCTTCATCTCATGACTTTTTTATTATAGCTTCAATGTCATTATTTTTTATGTTTTTGTTAGGTCTGTGTCTTGATTGGTCTGTTCAGGTTTTGGATTTCTTCCTGGTTCATTCTTGATACCTAGGAATTTGTCCATTTCTTTTACATTTTCCAATGTATTGACATATAGTTGCTCATATCAGCCATTAATGATCCTTAGAATTTCTACAGTATCAGCTTTTAATGTCTCCTTTTTCATTTCTGACTTTATTTGGATCATCTCTCTTTTTTTCTTAGTTACTCTGGCTAAAGGTTTATCAATTTTGTTTAACCTTTCAAAAAAACCCAACTTTTTGTTTCATTGATCTTTTGTATTTTATTCATTTCAATTTTGTTTATTACTGCTCTGATATTTATTTTTTTCTTCTATTAATTTTGGGTTTGTTTTGCTCTTGTTTTTTTAGGTCTTTAAGATACATCATTAGTTTTTTTTATTTGAAGTTTTTTCTCTTTTTTGATGTAGGCACTTGTACAGCTATAAACTTCCATTTTAGCACTGCATTTGCTGTATCCCATAGGTTTTGATATATTGTGTTTCCATTATCATTTGCTTCAAGAAATTTTTCAATTTTCCTCTTAATTTCTTCATTGACTCGCTGGTCATTCAGGAGTATATTGTTTAATTTGTACAGTTTCCAAAATTCTTCTTGTTGTTAATTTCTAGTTTTATTCCATTGTGGTCAGAGAAGATGTCTGAAATAATTTCAGTTATTTTGAGTGTTTGAAGACTTTTTCTGTGACCTAAAATCTGGTCTGTCCTTGAGAATTACCCATGTGCTGAAGAAATTAATGTGTATTCTGCAGCTCTTGGATGAAGTGGTCTGTAAATGTCTAATAGATCCCTTTTGTCTAGAGTGCAGAGCAAGTATGATGCTTCTTTTTTGACTTTCTGTCTGGAAGATCAGGCTGATGCCAAAAGTGGGGTGAAGTCTCCAGATTTTATTGTATTGGGGTCTATCTCTCATTTTAGCTGCCATATTTTCTTCATATGTCTGGGTGCTCTATCATTGGGTGCATATATATTTACTATCATTATATCCTCTTGCTGAATTGACCCCTTTATTATTATAAAGTGTATTAGTCCATTTTCACATTGCTATACAGATACTACCTGAGACTGGGTAATTTATAAAGAAAAGAGGTTTAATTGTCTCGCCATTCTACATAGCTGGGGAGGGCTCAAGAAACTTAAAATCACAGCAGAAGGCAAAAGGGAAGCAAGGCATGTCTTACATGGTGGCAGGAGAGAGAGAGAGACAGTAAAGGGGAAAGTGCCACTTTTAAACCATCAGATCTCATGAGAGTTCACTCACTATCATGAGAACAGCAAGGGGGAAATCCACCCTCATGATCCAATCATCTCCCAGCAGGCCCCCCACCACCGACATAGGAGATTACAGTTCAACATGAGATTTGGGTGGAGACACAGAGCCAAATCATATCATGTAGTGACTCTCTTTGTCTCTTCTTACAGTTTTTGTCTTGAAATCTACATATTTTGTGTAACATAAGTATAGTGACTCCTGGTCTTTTTTGGTTTCCATTGGCATGAAATATCTTTTTCCATCCCTTTAGTTTTAGTCTATGTGTGTCTTCACAGGGAAGTGTATTTCTTGTAGGCAACAGATCAATGGGTCTTGTTTTTTCAGCCATTCAGCCTTTCTATGTATTTTGATTGGAAAGTTTAGTCCATTTATATTCAATGTTGTTATTGATGAGTAAGGACTTACTCCTCCCATTCTTGTGGTTGTTTTGTGGTCTTGTCTTCCTTCTTTCTTTCATTCCTGTCTTCCTCTAGTGACGATGATTTTCTCTGGTAATGTGATATAGTTTCTTGCTTTTGTGTGTGTGTGTATCCATTGTATGTTTTTTGGTCTGAGGCTACCATGAGGCTTGAAAATACTATCTTATAACCCATTATTTTAACCTGATGACAAAACTATTTGCATAAACAAGCTAGCACAAAAAATACTAATTAAAAACTCCACACCTTAACTTAGTCCCCATGCTTTTTAAATATTTTGTTGTTTTTATTTATCTTATTGTACTGAATATATCTGAAAAAGTTGTAGTTATTTTTGATTGGTTAATTGTTTAGTCTTTCAACTTAGGGTAGAGTAGTTTACACAGCAGAGTTACAGTGTTATAATAGTCTGTGTTTTTCAATAAGTTTTGTAACTTCAGTTGATTACTTATTGCTCATTAATATCCTTTTCTTTCTGATTAAATTACTCCTTTTAGCACTTCTTGTTGGATGGGTTTAGTGTTAATGAAATCCTCAGCTTTTGTTTGGGAAAATTTTATTTCTCCTTCATGTGTGAAGAATATTTTTGCCAGATATACTATTATAGGGTGAAAGTCATTTTTTTTCAGAACTTTAAATATGTCATGCCACTCTCTCCTGGTCTGTAACATTTCCACTGAGAAGTCTGCTGCCAGATGAACTGGAGCTGAGAGCTACTTCCACTCAATAAAACCTTTCAGTCATTCTCCAAGCCCATGTGTGATTGGATTCTTCCAGTACACCAAGGCAAGAAACCCTGGAATACAGAAAGCCCTCTGTCCTTGAGATAAGGCAGGGGGTCTAATTGAGCTGACTAATACAAATCGCCTACAGATGGATAACTAAAAGAGCACCCTGTTACACACGCCCACTGAGGCTTCAGGAGCTGTAAGCATTCACCCCTAGACACTGCCATGGGGTCAGAGCCCCACAACCCACCCTCTGGATGTTCCCCCTAGAGGTTTGAACAGTGGGGAACTGAAGAAGTGAGCCACACCCCCATCGCATGCCCTGTGAGGCGAATAAGGGAATTTTTCCCATTTCAATATGAAAGTATATTTTTAGAATAGTGTAAGAAGTAAAATTTGGGCTTCTTGGTTAAAAGATCTGTATGCTATTATGATTTTTGATACATAAGGCATAATTATCCCCTATAAAGTCTGAGCTAGTTTAAACTTTCATCTCCAGTGTTGGATAATACTTAGTCCTTCATGTCCTCATTAACTTTAACTATTCTAATGTTCGTCACTTGAACTTTAAGACATATGTCTGTTAATTTAATATGAATTTATCTGATTAATATTGAAGCTGAACATTTTTTGCCATTTATTTTCTATTCATTAATTATTCTTACCCATTCATAATTTTTCCCCAATTCCTAATACAATTTTAAATTCTGCTGATTTTCAGGAGCAAGATGGTAGAATAGAAAGCTCCACTGATTGTACTCCCTGCAAGTACACCAAATTGACAAGTATTTGCACAGAAAAAACACCTTCATAAGAACTAAAAATCAGGTGAGCACTCATAGTACTGGGTTTTAATGTCATATGGCAGAAAGAGACACAGGCCCAGGGATAGAGCCCTAGCCACACCTTTCTCTTCCCAGCACTTCATTGCCCCCCTCCCATATCAATTATCATTTCTGGTATTTTGCTATAGGGTTAAAGTAGTTAAATTTTAATTTTAAAATAATTCGATTATATCAACAATTGGAAGCCGCCATTCACTTAACCATGCAGCATTCACACAATAGAATAATAAGGGACAATTCTAAATGGTTGTATAAAAATTAAAGAAAATAGAAAATGAGTTAAAAATCAGTATATAGTATTACAATTCCATTTGGAATTTATAACAATTCAGATAATTAACTATGATTATTCTGATTACAGATGATTTTAATTTCCTGTGGCTTTTCTAGTCTTCAATACTTATCATTAAAATATGTTACCTTAAAAATAATTTTAAATAAAATAATATAGCAAGGAATAAATATTAAATGGAAAGCAAAGCTTGTATCTCATTTCTCCCTTTTTAACATTTAATCTAGTTTATGGGAGTTAATAGTGTAATTTCCCAAGTTGGCATTAATGAATTTGCACTAAAAGTTATGGTAATTATTTACCTTAAATTTTGATGGCTGTCACCTTTTATCCTCAGTAATAAAAACACAATCAATCAAAAGTTATGTTTTCAAGCTGCTCGTATAATATCCAGAAATATATGTATCCATTTTTCTTTGAAAAGTTTTGCATCGCTTCTTCTAAGTCCTCAGGTATAAATCAGTGTCTTTCTCAAGTGAAACACAATGGAAAAGAGAACACCTTGATGGATGTTATCTTACCCAGCTACATATTTTATTTTAGTCCTCATCTTTGCATCATTTCATTGCAAACTGTGTGCATATTTTTTTCATGTCTGTCATTACAGAGACATATAAGTTACTTTCACCTTCCATAATTTTGCTAGCATTTTAATTACCCATCACCATCTGCCTACAAGTTTAGGAATGGTTTAAGACTAGAATGTAATAAAAGAGGCACTCAGTGTAATGCATACCTCCCCAATACATTTATTCTCACTTTTGACAAATCTGTGGGGTTCTATAGGTATTGCACTTTGCTTACTTTTGACAGATTTATGCATACATGTACTATGATTTTTGCTTATCATTCTCTAAAGAAGTCTAACATACAAAAGTAAGGTTGGGCTGCAAAATTTCCCCTAAAGTTATGTGAAGCTGAGTAACCAAGCCTGCATTTCAATGCCTTGAAGATAATGAATTCTCATTTTATTCATCAATTCAAATGATATGATGTAGCATCTTAGCAGAGTGCAGTTTTTCTAACACTATCAAGCTATGTTCATTAAATGACATGGATAAAACGTATTGCAGACAGCTGGTCACAACTGCAAGAAGTAGGGGTAGAGGTAGTATTGGCATCGAGGAGAAAAAAATCTATGAGGTCAAGCAACATTTTCCAAATACAGATTACATATCTGTGCCTTTGGTTCTCATTCATTTATCCT